>NW_025791772.1:0-308682 GCF_000001405.40 Homo sapiens | reverse complement strand
TGTGCTTGGTAGAAGCATGCCAAATTTAGATTAGACTCCACTGTCTGCACCCTTTCTCTCATTTCCACTTTTTTTTTTTTTTTTTTTGAGAAGGAGTCTTGCTCTGTCGCCTAGGCTGGAGTGCAGTGGCAGAATCTCGGCTCACTGCAACCTCTGCCTCCTGGGTTCAAGTGATTCTCCTGCCTCAGCCTCCTGAGTAGCTGGGATTACAGGCACACACTATCACGCCTGGCTAATTTTTGTATTTTTAGTAGAGGCAGGGTTTCACCATGTTGGCAAGGCTGATCTCGAACTCCTGACCTCAAGTGATCTGCCTGTCTCGGCCTCCCAAAGTGCTGGGATTACAGGCATGAGCCACTGAGCCCAGGCTCCACGTCATTTTTTGTTAGACATTTGGATGCATAATCTATTACACTAGGCTCTGAACATTAAGCCAAAATGGTACAGTCTGTGTTTCTGGGAATGTGTGCAATGTTAAAGAAACAGGCTCTAGTCCCAAACAGTCTGGGTTCAAATCTTGGCTCGGTCAGACACTTATTAGTTGTGTAACCTTGAACAAATTACTTTACTACTTAGTTTCTCATCTGTGAAATTGGATAGTACTGGCATCTACTTCCTTGGGTTGTTACGGGTAATTAATAGATAAAAAACCTAGAATAATGCCAAGGAAATAGTAAGCATTCCAACAGATGTTTTTTATTACTAAAATGTCCATTTTAATGTTTTAAGGGGTATGTTGTATGGTGTAGTGTAGGAGGACAAAGGAGCCTCTTAGTATAGAGAACATCATCTTACATGATAAATGTGAAATGATCAATAAGATAAATGCAGTGGGGTGTTTCCATACAATTGAAAACAATTCAATAGTTTTAGCTCAGTGGTTCTCACTTTAGTGTGCACCAGAATCACCTGGAGGGTTTGTAGAACCTTAGATTTCTGTGTTCTCCCCCATAAATTCTGATTCATTGGGTCAGGGACAGAGCCAAAGAATTTGTATTCTAACAAGTTCTAAGGGGATGCTGATGCTGCCAGTCAGGACCACATTTTGAGAATCACTTGTTTAGATCAGGGTTTCTCAACTTCGGTGTTACTGACATTTTGGACCACACCGTTCTTTGTTGCAGGGAGCTATCCTCTGCATTGTAGGATGTTAAGCAGTATCACTGGCCTCTCTACCCACTAGATGCCAATAGCACCTCCCTGCCCACCACCCACCGTGACAATCAAAAATATCTCCAGATATTGCCAAAGGTCCACTGGGGAGGCAAAACTGTTGGCCAGGTTCTGTGGCTCATGCCTGTAATCCAGCACTTTGGGAGGTTGAGGCAGGTGGATCACCTGAGGTCAGGAGTTCGAGACCAGCTTGGCTAACATGGTGAAACCTGTTTCTCTCTACTAAAAATACAAAATTAGCTGGGCATGGTGGCGGGTGCTATAATCCCAGCTACTCAGGAGGCTGAGGCAGGAGAATCAATTGAACCTAGGAGGTGGAGGTTGCAGTGAGCCAAGATAGTGCCATTGCACTCCAGCCTGGGTGACAGAGCAAGACTCCATTTCAAAAAAAAAAAACTGTCGAGAGCCACTGGCTTACAGGAATGAACTAGTAACATGAATCAATCTTTAAAAGTATAGTTTTAGGCCAGGTGCAGTGGCTCACGCATGTAATCCCAACACTTTGGGAGGCTGAGGCAGGAGGATTGCTTGAGCTCAGGAGTTCTAAACTAGTCTGGGCAACATAGCGAGACGTCATCTCTACTAAACATTTTAAAAATCAGTTGGGCATGGTAGTGCGTGCCTGTACTCCCAGCTACTAGGAAGGCTGAGGTGGGAGGATTGCTTGAGCCCGGGAAATCAAGAGATCAAGGCTGCAGAGGGCCATGATCGTGCCACTGCACTCCAGCCTGGGTGATAGAGCAAGATCCTGTCTTATACACACACACACACACACACACACACACACACACACACACACACAAAATATAGCTTTTAGTTTAAAAAGCAAGCTACAAAAAAAGAGATACAGACAGCATATATCCATTAATGTAAATTTTAGAAACACAAAAAGCAATGTACTTTTTATGAATAATATATATGTATTAAAATTATCAAAAATGTGGACTGGAAGGACACACAGCAAAACCATGAAACTGAAAGAGGTTGGAAAAGAAGAAAGGCAATGGGCCTGGGGCAGGGCACTCTTATCTGTCATGTTTCAGTGTAGGGTTTTATTACCTAAATATTTGGGCTCATTCGACTACATGATAATCTTTGTTAATTCTGAGTGATGGGTATGTGGATGTTTATTATACTATCCTCTGTATTTTTCCATATTCAGAATGTTTTTTCCAAAGTAAAAAACACACACACACACACAAATATTTAATGAGTAAAGGAACTACCCACATTACCATTTGTGTTATTCGTGTTTCTGTTGAAAGTGTTTTCTTTAGAACTTTGTCTTGAATATTGTCTTAAGTTTGGTTTTGTATATATGCTTCTGCCTAAACCTTATTGTCCAATTCCCACAGCCAACATTCTGAAATTTCTAGGTCAAGCCACTGGTCACTAACTACTCTGACCAGATAATTTGGTCACCATTGCCCTCTTGGCTCAAGTGAAAAATATAGCTTTCTTACTACATTCTGATAATCTTTTCTAATACAGCCTGCAGTTTCTTTCTAAGGGCAGCTACCTTCTCCTCTTAAATAAAGTAGCATAAGAAATGTCAAACTAGGCCATATACAGTGGCTCATGCCTGTAATCCCAGCACCTTGGGAGGCCAAGGCAGATGGATCACTTGAGGCCAGGAGTTCAAGACCAGCCTAGCCAACATAGCAAAACCCCATTTCAACTAAAAATACAAAAGCTAGCCAGGTGTGGTGGCACACACCTGTAATCCCAGCTACTTGGGAGGCTGAGGCACAAAAATCACTTGTACCCAGGAGGCAGAGGCTACAGAGAGCTGAGATTGCATCACTGCACTCTAGCCTGGGTGACACAGTGAGACTCTGTCTCAAAAAAAAGCAAAAGAAATGTCAAACTAATCACCAACATTCTCTCTCCAGCTTCACAGTCCCAAAAAAGAGGCCGTGTTATAAAATAAATTATCTCTCACACACACAAACATACATTTGTATACAACAAAATAACTTAGAAAATTATAAAGTAAAACTAGCAATGGCTAACTATAGAATTTTTATTTCTTTTTTATTATCTGTACTGTATTTTCTATAATGGACATGTATTCTATAATTTTATAATAAGAAATTTTATAATTTTATAATAAAAGGAATAAGAGCTAAGTTTTTGTTTTTTGTTTTTTAAGGTGGCAAAGTATATATAAGATAAAATTTACAATTTTAACCATTTCTTATTTTACAGTTCTGTGGCATTAAGTACATTCACATTGTTATACAACTATCACCACTTCCATCTCTAGAACTTCGTCAACTTCCCCAGTGGAAATTTTATACCAATGAAGCCCCAACTCCCTTTTCCTCTTTTCCCTCAGGCCCTGGCAAACACCATGCTATTTTCTGTCTCTATGAATGTGACTATTCTAGGAAACTCGTATAAGTGGAATATACAATTTTTTTCCTTTTGTGGCTCGTTTACTTCCTTTAGCGTAGTGCCTTCAAGGTTCACCTATGAAGATACTATGCTGTAGCATGTGGCAGAGCTATTATGATTGTTTTTTAATAAGGAAAGGATTGAATTTTCCCTCCTAAAAAAAAAATTCACAGTGGCCTGCAGCCTCATATTTACAGTAGGATGTATTTGTTTGAAAGAAGCAGAGGAATTCTACATCTCAGCTAATGCATTTCCCATAGGGGAATATACCTTGCTTGTTTTCATTGAAACCAAGGGTCTCCAAATAGCTACAATAGTAAGTAATCATTTTTTCTTACAAGAAACTCAGTCTGGTAGTTCTGTTCAGGTCAAGTAGAAATTTCCTAATAGCTTCAGTGAAGGTAGCTGTAAAAACTGCTTAACTAGAAAGCTGTTAGGTGTCCAATTTATCCTGCTCACTGCTTTCTGTATTTGATAGGACATGGTAACTGTATGATTCAAAACGGAATGACTCAAAATACAGAATAGGGTTTCATTCAGAATCTGAGCTCCCTTATTCTATTTGATTGTTTTTGTTTATGACAATTGACAACCTTACCCTTTTAAAATATGTATTAAATTTGCACTCATCGGAAAGCCAGTTTTATTTCCCCTTTCATCATTAAGAAAATAGAATTTTCTCAAGGATTCAGTTATTTCATTTATCTCTAGAGCCTTGGAGACACAGCACTGTGAATGCTAATGAGGTGGTCTTGAAGAATTGGTTGCGGCTGGGTGAAGTGGCTCACGCCTGTAATCCTAGCAGTTTGGGTGGCTGAGGTGGATGGATCGCTTGAGGTCAGGAGTTCAAGACCAGCCTGGCCAACATGGTGAAACCTCATCTCTACTAAAAGTATAAAAAAAAAATAGTCGGGCATGCTGGCACATGCCTGTAATCCCAGTTACTCAGGAGGCTGAGGCAGGAGAATCATTTGAACCTGGGGAGTGGAGGTTGCTGTGAGCCGAGATCACACCACTGCAATCCAGCCTGGGTGACAGAGCGAGACTCCATCTCAAAACAAAAAAAAAAATTGGTTGGATGTTTTGTTTTGTTTGTCTGATTGGTTGGTTGGTTGTTACTCTGCCATACAGTGGCAGAATAAGGAAATCCGTATCTCTGGAAAAAGAAATTGTTCCCATTGGCTTAATTTTTACCTTCAGGCTGTCTTATGTTTACACTTCTTCCTATTTATATGCTACATTATTATATCTATCATGGATGAAAAAAGTTTTAAGAAACAGTTTACTAAACTATTTACTAAGTTATTACCAATTATTTTTTAAAATCATCTGAACAGAATTCAATGCTCTAAAAGCACTTACTGCAATTCCTGCCATCTTTTTTTGAAAACTTACAATTGTTTTATCATTTATAAAATCTTTGAATTTGATATATTTCAGTGTGCAGTAGGGCATATTCAAGTCAAACCATGATAAGAGATACAGTTTAACATTTGCAGCTTTCAGTGGGTATTTTAACTTTTGTCCTTAATGTTCATTAATTACTACAATTTTTGCTACCTTTCCTTTCACCTAAACATTTCCTAAAGTTCTAGATAAAGTCAAGATGTTAAGAGAAAGCCTTCTCTAATATAAACTTTTAAAATAGCCCTATCCAGGTTATTTGTATTTAATGACTCATTAAACTAGACATTTTAACTTATTGAATATAATTGATAAACCAAAATTAAGCATTTCGTATACTGTTTCTCCAGCTTTCATTAGTCAGCCTCTTCTAAATATTATGTGAAAGTAGGAACACATTGTAAGCCTAAAGTATATATAAAGCTTTTATACAACATGGAAAACACAACAAAAATAATATTTAATAATTGCATAGAGCTTTACAGTTTAGTGTTTTCAGAGTAAATAATGAGGACCTGTCAGAAATTCTCAAAATAATTACTAAATTCTTTGCTGTTCAAAGCTATGTAGCATTTTCCAAATGTATATTTATAATTTTTGAGCGATAAAAAAATTTTTCTATGAAAATACAGAAACATATAAAGCACTTCTGTTTCCACACAACATGGAATAACAAAAACCAGATTTATTGTCTTTCCTGAAGCAGCCAAAAAAGGAAAAAGACCAAACATAAGAAAGCATAGTTTTCAAGGCAACAGACATCAGGCAATGTAGAAGAATGAGGTCTGGAAGATAGGACACAAGCGAGGGGAGCCTTATTACTATTAAGAAAATTAAATGTGTAGTTAAAAACCTTCCCACAAAGAAAACTCCAGGGCCAGATGGCTTTACTGGTGAATTCTAGCAAACATTTGAGAAAAAAATTCTACCAATTATCAACAAATTTTCCTAAAAATTTAAAGGGAGCAATACTTTTCAGTTCACTCAAGGCCAGCATTTCCCTGATACCAAAACCAAAGGTGTTACAAGAAAACTATAGACTAATTATCTTCCATTAACGAGATCTAAAATTCTAAACAAAATCTCCCAATATAGAAAAAGAATAATATGTCATGACCAAATGGAATTTATCCCAGGAATGAAAAGTTGGCTTAAAATTAGAAAATGAATCAATATGGAGCTGGAAGCCATTATAATAATAATAATAATTATTATTTTTGAGATGGAGTATCGCTCTGTCACCCAGGCTGGAGTGCAATGGTGCGATCTCAGTGCGCAATGGTGCAATCTCAGCTCACTGCAACCTCCACCTCCTAGGTTCAAGTGATTCTCTCACTTCAGCCTCCTGAGTAGCTGGGATTACAGGTGTGCACCACCACGCCCAGCTAATTTTTGTATTTTTAGTAGAGATGGGGTTTCACCATGTCAGCCAGGCTAGTCTCAAACTCTGGACCTCAAGTGATCCACCCACCTCAGCCCCCAAAAGTGCTGGGATTACAGGCATGAGCCACCGCGCCCGGCCTGGAAGCCATTATTCTAAGTGAAGTAAATCAGGAATGGAAAACCAAATACTGTATATTTTCACTTCTAAGTGGGAACTAAGCTATGGATGTGCAAAGTCACACAGAGTGGTATAATGGAGACTCAGAATGGGGGAGAGTGGGAAGGGATAGGTGATGAAAAGCTACATATACATCCATTTTCTCAACAAGCTAAGGAATTCATCAACCTGATAAAGGGCATCCATAAAAACCTACACCTAATACTTAATTGTGAAAGATTTAATGGGTTACCCCTAAAATCAGGAGCAAGTCAAGGATGTACACTACTTGGGACTGGTATGCTGAAATCTCAAACTTCACCACTATACACTTCATCTATGTAACCAGAAGCCTCTTGCACTCCAAAAGCTATTGGAATTAAGATACATATGTATTTTGTGTGTGCGTGTGTGTGTGTGTATGTGTGTGTATATATATATATATATAGTAAATCAATATAATTCATCATCTTTTTTTTTTTTTTTTTTTTTTGAGACGGAGTCTCACTTTGTCGCCCAGGCTGGAGTGCAGTGGTGCGATCTCGGCTCACTGCAAGCTCTGCCTCCTGGGTTCACGCCATTCTCCTGCCTCAGCCTCCTGAGTAGCTGGGACTACAGGCGCCCGCCACTGCGCCCGGCTAATTTTTTGTATTTTTTAGTAGAGACGGGGTTTCACTGTGTTAGCCAGGATGGTCTCGATCTCCTGATCTCGTGATCTGCCCACCTCAGCCTCCCAAAGTGCTGGGATTACAGGCGTGAACCACCGCGCCTGGCCTATAATTCATCATCTTAACAAACTGAAAAAGAAAACCACAAGATCATCTCAATAGATGCAGAAAAGGCATTTGACAAAAATCCAACATCCATTTTCTCAACAAGCTAAGGAATTCATCAACCTGATAAAGGGCATCCATAAAAACCTACGCCTAATACTTAATTGTGAAGGATTTAATGGGTTACCACCATGCCTGGCTAAGTTTTATATTTTTAGTAGAGACAGAGTTTCACCATGTTGGCCAGACTGGTCTCGAACTCCTGACCTCAAGTGATCCACCAGCCTCAGCTTCCCAAAGTGCTGGGATTACAGGCATGAGCCACTGCGCCTGGCCAATTTTTAAGAATAAGTCAATTATCCCCAAATTGATTTCTAGTTTCAATGACATCCCAGTCCAAATTTGGTTTTGTTTTTGTATTTTCTTAGAAACAGGCTGACCTCAAACTCCTGAGCCAAGAGATCCTCCTGCCTCAACCTCCCAAGTAGCTAGGACTACAGGTGCACACAATGGCACCCGGCTAAAATTTCACAGATTTTTTGTGTAGAAACTGATAAGGTGATTCTAAAACTCATATGGAAATATAAAAGAACTAGAATAGCCAAAACAACTTTGGAAAATAAGAACAAAGTTGAATGACTAACCCTACCATGTTTCAAGACTTATCATAATGCTATGATATTCCAAAAGATAGTACTGAGGAGGGGTAAATTGCAGCACCCTTTCACTTGACAAATGGATGAAATGTCTTTAATCCAACAATTCAGTTCTAACAATTAATGCTAAGAAAATAATCAAAGAGACGCAAAAGCAAATGGATATTAGTCTCATTCTTACCAGCTAAAAACTAGGAAATAAAAGAGATATTTAACAATAGGAGATTGGCTGAATAAGTTATAGTTCACACTTATATTAAAATAAGTATTCAGCCCAGTCATAAAAAATCATGTACTTAATGACATGGGAAAAGTTCAGGATATATAGTTATATGAATTTAGCAAGTCACAAAACAATAGGTTTCTATTTTGTTACAAATATCTGTTCTGCGGAAACAAGAGGACCACTTGAGGCCAGGAATTTGAGACCAGCCGGGGAGCAAAGCAAGACTCTCATCTCTATAAAAGTAAAATAAAAATAATTAGCAAGTTGTGGTGGCAGGCGCCCCTAGTCCTAGATACTTGGGAGACTGAGACAGGAGGATCATTTGAGCCCAGGAGTTCGAGACCAGCTTGGGCAACATAGAGAGACCCTGTCTCAAGCAAGCAAGCAAGCAAGCAGTCTGGGATCTCACTGCATATTGTTCGGATTTTGCTTTTTTTTTTTTTTTCACTTTTTTCTCTTTATCATTTTCTCTATCTTTAAATAATCTGCAAAACAGATTTTTTTTTAATGGAGGCATTGTATTTCTTTGATAAACATACCACAGGTCATTTAGTCAGCCTCTGATCATTGGACCTTTTCATTATTTCCCTTTTTTTTTTTTTTTTTTTACAAGGAAAGCCCACTGTTTACTGAGATGGGGGGCATGTAGCAAGTCCTGTAGGGATGGATCATTGTTTTACAAACATGTTTGTACTCCGCATGAATTTATGCTAGACTTGATAGATGTGGGGATAGATGATAGAGGAAGGAAGTGTGGAGGTGTAGAAATGGGGCTAATGTGTTCCACCTAGTTCAAGGAGAGCCCTATTATTTGCTGCTTTGGGGAGGGATTCCCTGTAACCCCGCCCCTCAACTATTCTGCTTTCCGCTTCCCACTGTCTGCTGAGCTGCACTGCTACCCTGTGGCCGAGTGGTGGCACTGCAGCCCAAGAACGCCAAATCATAGTGGCCTTATGGAAGCCATTTGGGTTCATTTCTTGACTGATTTTTTTAAACCCAACTTAAAACTGTAATATTTTTCTTCAATCCACAAATAGAAATGTACATGCGCAAAAATGACTGAATGTGTGAGAATTCTGTCTGGAATTAACGCTCCTTTAGAGCCCTGAGTATTTAAATAAAGATAAACATACCATTCAAGTCCCGGGCTCTTTCCCCAGCTTCAGCCCTGCTCACCTTGCCCTTAGGTACTATCCTCTAGCCATAACTGAAGCAAGTCTTCAAATAGGCCGGCTTTCTTGCTTACTGGACTTTAACCATGCTCAGCACACCCAATACCCCCTCTCTCTGCCTGACTTATTTTATTTTATTTTGAGACTGAGTCTCGCTCTGTCGCCCAGGCTGGAGTGTAGTGACGCCATCTCGGCTCGCCTGGCCAATTTTTTTGTATTTTTAATAGAGATGGGTTTTCACCGTGTTAGCCAGGATGGTCTCGATATCCTGACCTCGTGATCCGCCCGCCTTGGCCTCCCAAAGTGCCGTGATTACAGGCGTGAGCCACCGCGTCCGGCCCTGACTTCTAAATTTCACTTAAGACTTAGACTTATTTGGATTCTTTAAGATGGGGTTAGCTGTGCCTTCCATGTGCTCACCAAATTCCAGTCATTCCGGGAAACTCACCTCTTTCCCCTGCTGGATTGGAGGGTCCTTGAGCACATGACTCCTCCTCACTTTGTCCATCACTTTTCTTATCTTGTCGACAGTAAGTCCCAAACCGGAAGTAGGAATCTAGTATGTTCAAAGGAGGAAAACACAGGAACACGGATAGTATAGTATATTCTCTCATTTCAGTTCCATTATATTCAGTTCTGCCAATATTTATGGGATGCCTACTCCGTGACAGTCCTCACTGATAGCATTGGAGGTGAAAAGAGAGAGGAGAGAAGATATGGAATGAGAAACTGATAACTCTGCTACTCATTTTGCACAATTTGTTGTTCCTTTCAAAATGTACTGCATGGACAAAGTTTGGGGTATCCACTGGACCCCACTTGAGAGGTTAGGCTCAGTCATCCATATATTTTTGAAACCTTTTCTGGCTACCCACATGACTCTGATATACAGCCAACATTGAGAACATTTGCCCCAGAGTAGCCAATTAACTGTAGGAAACTCTTGAGACCCAAAGTCTTAAAGAAATAGTTCTGACAGTGAGAATTTCAGGTAAGTTGGTGAACACCGTTTGAGGATAGTAATTTTGGAGATCTACGGTTTTGCCTGCCCAGCATCCATTCTTCTTTCTTCTACTGGAAGCACCTTAATTTTCTTTCTGAAGACCATTCCTTCCCCACTTTAAGTCCTTGAAATTGAGGTAGGGCTTTGTCTCATCTCCCCCGCTCCCCCCACCCCCAACACACACACACACACACACATACACGCACACACACATACACACACACTCAGCCCATCTGAACTCTGCATTTGCTCTTTTCCAGCTAGAATTGTGCTTGAATTCAGTCACATCTGAACCTTTAGACTGAACTTCAACTCTTAGTCTGTTCAATTATTGAGCAATCAATCCCCCTGCTACTATTTTTCCTAAATGAGTTTGAGGTGGGTCTTGTCATTTGCAACCAAAACATTTCTAACTAGCAGAAATTTAGGAGACTTTCAAATGGGATAAGCAACTCCATATTCTGTCTTCTTAGAGAAAGGGGATAGATTAATTGATGTGTCCTAGTATTTTGTTTCTTGTTCTATAATAAAAATTTCCTTCATTGTTCTTAGCAGGGCTTTAAGTTTATTAAACATAAAAAGCCCATTTCTTTGGTCTAGTTTAGCCCTGTTTAATTTATCTGTTTGGAGCATGGATTTTTAAAAGCTGCCCACACATATAAAATGGAGATAATGAGATTTATTTCACTGAGCTGTTGAAGGTAAAATGAAATAACATATGTGAAATCATTTCATGCTATATAAATGTTGGGTATTATTACTATGGGTATCATCATAATTGTCATCATCTTTCATTTTCTGTCACAAAGTTCCCGGATAGTTATTTATTGTTAGTATTGATAGTTGTACAAATGCAAAACTGTAGTTGAGTAACTAAATGATCAAAACAGGAAATGTGATTCCTTTTAGGTTATAATCATCCCAGGAATGTAATAAAAGATCAGTTCAAATAATGTATTCTAAGGTACTTTAAAAACCAAAAGGCTATATGACTATAAGGCACTCTTATCTCAGTCCTGCAGGTCACTGAATCTTTGATGTTCATTTGCATATATGTTTTATTTCAGAGCCTATTAATATCATATACTTTTTATTTATTTTTAAAACAAAAAACCCACAGACTGCCTTATAGAGTGCAGTTTTATACAATGAATGGCTTTCTCTTGGTTTTCATTCTCTTCAGCCTCTCTGACAACCCACTCCTTGAAATTCTTTCCTCCCTTAGATTCAGTGACACTACATTCTCCTTCTTCTTGACCTTTCAACTACTTTTGACTCCCTTCCCCTCCCAGCTCCTAACTCTCTGGGTGCCCCTGCTAAGGCTCTGATTTCTCTCGCTATTCAGCTCCTGGAGAATTCATCCAGCCTCATCTATCCTGCATCAGTCCATAGTTCCATCTTCTTAGTATTTATTTCAGTGTGTATGTCCTGCCATGAGCTCACTTTCAGTATCTTTTAAAAATTCATAATTTCTGCTACTGTAGTTTGGCTGCCTTTACAAGTGCCCTATTTCAGTTGGTGGCAACCCTACTGTTCCTTCCTGCCCTCCTTATTGCTTCCCTCTTTTCCAACCCTCCTTTTGCAGGTGGCAAGCACTTCCGTACCTGCAGGTTCACTCTTCTCTGCTCTCCCAAGACCTCTACATTAGCCCAGGCCCTCATTTTCTCACTGGCCATCCTCATAGCTGGTCTCTTTAGCTCTCAATTCACCCCATTCCTGTCTGTCCTGTGGACTTCAGCCAAATCAATTTCCTAAAATGCCTCTTTGTGAGCTCCATAAGAGCAAGAACTGTACACTGGTCATCTTGGTGCCCTTAGCAACTGGCACAGTGCCCAGCACATATTATAGCCCTTGAATGACTGTCATTCCCTTATTCGAGAGAGTTGCTTCTGTGTGTGTGTGTGTGCGCGTGTGTGTGTGTCTGTGTGTGATCAATTTCAGACTTTCTAGCTTGACTAGCTCCATGATATGAATTATTCATCCCATCTTATTTCTGACTACTTTACCGAGTAAACCATTTATTCAAGCCAATCTGGTTTTTCCTTTTATAAACTAACATTACACTGATAATGAAGACCAAACTATTTAACACTCATTAATTCTCTACTATCAATGTAATTTGTCTTCCTAACTAGATTATGATATCCTTGAAGCCTGAAACTCTATTAACCAGCTGCCATAGAATAGTCTTTTGATTTACCCCCTACCAAAACACTCCTTCACCACAAATACTGTCTCTGACTCAGTAAAAACATTTGATATGTTTTCTTTCTATATTTATATTTGCTTTTATATTTATAGATCAATAACATATATTTACATGTCTCATTGCACCTAACACTGGTGGTCCTAAGTAGCAGTGATCACTCATTAAATATTTGTTGATTAATATATAATATATATAACATATATTATATAATATATAAGACTGAGTAACATTTTACTTTGAATCACTCCATGACCTCTAAGCCCAACATAAAATAGCATCTTAGTGGTCTGACATTGTTCCATATCTTTCTTTGGAGATAAAATAACTTAACTTGTCAAAGAGCAAGTGTCTTTTGATACTGACATCATAGAACCCCAAATTTTTTTTTAGCTAAAAACACAATTAGATGGAAAAGCAACAAGAACAGCAGTTGATGAACAGAACTGAATAAAATATGGGACTTATGTTGAAAGGCTGCCTCTGAGCTGCTGCCACATAAATAAGGAGATGGTGAGGTGGACCGAGGGACATTTACCAGTCCATGCTGTGTTATTTCTGATTTTTTTTCTTTTTTCCCCCCACAACAGGAATGACCAAATGTTCACCTGGTACCCCAAGAGAATTAATGGGTATCTTTTAAATCCCAACTCAAAGCAAGGGAATTATTTTGAGTTCTTGGTAGAATCTAACACGTTGTGTCGATGCAGGAAGGAGCCTCAGAAATAGTCTTTAAGGCTGTTGAATTCTGCATGTATTTGAATAATTAAAATGTATGTATCCCCTCCCCCCAGCCATCCTTTTATTCCTAGCACACTGCAGACATTAATAACATGAAGCAATAGTGCACTCGCACGCTTTCAGAAACAATTGCGCTAATTGTGAACTTGCCAACTGCTAACAAGAATGCTAGTGTGCATTACTCTGCAGTTATGCCCAGTTCTATGAAGAGATAGCAGCACTTTTGTCTCCAGTAGCCAAGGCTTACAGATGGGTCACTCAGCTGAGGCAGAATTGGGCTGAGCTCTTGGCAGATGGATTGGAAAGTTGGCTGACTTGTTTAGAAACCTGACATCTTGATCATCTCTAGTCTCCACAGACAGACTCTTCTGACATGCCATTCACCTCAGTACCTCCCTTACCACTCATTCACATTTTCCTTGGAAAAGTCCTGTTTTTACTGTAGATCACTTTCAGTCTGTTTCTTTCATGACTGTACTTTTGCATATATATATATATATATATATAGAGAGAGAGAGAGAGAGAGAGAGAGAGAGAGAGAGAATAGTCCTTCACAGTCCTTCTCAACCTCAGCATTCTTAACATTTGGGGCTTTGTTGTAAGAGTGTAAAGGGCTGTCCTGTCATGACAAGCAAAAATGTGTCCAGACGTTGATAAATGTATTCAGTGGTGGAGAAATCATTCCTGGTTGAGAACAAGTGGTATAGAGTCATTTGGGGTAAATTATTTGAATTCAGGTCTTGACTGACTATATATACATAGGCATAATCCACTATAAAGT
Source organism: Homo sapiens (assembly GCF_000001405.40). Lineage (NCBI taxonomy): Eukaryota > Metazoa > Chordata > Mammalia > Primates > Hominidae > Homo > Homo sapiens. The sequence goes on along the minus strand of NW_025791772.1, from coordinate 294,610 downwards.
ACAACTGTATAAAAATTCACTAGAACAAAAGCATTTCCAACTGAAAGTCATTTTATTTCAAGAAATATCAAGTATAATGTAATTAGAGTATTAAAAATTGAATGGACCCTTAGATTTGATGCAACCTGTCTTTTTGTTTTCTGAGACAGAGTCTTGCCCTGCCCAGGCTGAAGTGTGGTGGTGCAATCATGGCTCACTGTAGCCTCTACCTCCTGGACTCAGGTGATTCTCCCACCTCAGCCCCCTGAGTAGGTGAGACTACAGGCACACACCACCATGCTAATTTTTGTATTTTTTGTAGAGATGGGGTTTTGCCATGTTGCCTTGGCTTGTCTTGAACTCCTGGTCTCAAGTGATTCTCCAGCCTCAGCCTCCAAAAATGCTGGGATGATAGGCATGAGCCATGGTGCCTGGCTAACTTGTCCTTCTTAATCAGGATATTTAATATACTAGGCTTTTATTCAAGACATCTGAATAAGGAAGAAAATTGTTTCTGTGGATTGCCACCTCTCCTATTCTGCCCTACTACAAATGTTTATTATATTCCCAGATCCTGTCCTAAATGCTTAAAAACATTTTAAGGGCTGGGCACAGTGGTTCATGCCTGTAATCCCAGCACTTCGGGATGCCGAGACAATTTTTAATACTCTGAGTATTTAACACCTGAGGTCAGGACTTCAAGACCAGCCTGACCAATATGGTGAAACCCCATCTCTACTAAAAATACAAAAATTAGTTGGGCATGGTGGCGTGCACCTGTAGTCCCAGCTACTTGGGAGGCTGAGACAGGAGAATTGCTTGTACCTGGAAGGCGGAGGCTGCAGTGAGCTGAGATTGCACCACTGCACTCGAGCCTGGGTGACAGAGTGAGACTCCATCTAAAAAAACCCAGCATTTTAAGGACTGGGTACCATAGCTGACTCCTGTAATCTCAGCACTTTGGGAAGTTGAGATGGGAGGATTGCTTGAGGCCAGAAGTTTGAGACCAGCCTGGGCAACCTAGCGAGATCCTGTCTCTATGAAACATAAAATAAAAAAGAATAAGCCTTTCCTTTGGCTGTTTTGCTGGAGACCCTCTCTTCCCTTCCCTCTTCAGCTCTGACCCAGCAGGGCCAGCACCAGTGCTCCCACTGCAGGTTCAGACACTGGAAGGGTTATTACAGATCAGCAGCTGGTGAGTCATGACCAAGTCACTGCCTGGTCCTTAGGGGACACAACTCACAAAAGCTACTATGAGTGTCTTTTAATGCATACATTTGGCTTTTAGACATAGAAAATTCCATGTCTAAGTGAGAAAATTAAAAGATGTCTTTCAAGATAAACAGAGATTGAAGGTAAAAAGAAATACCTTTTAAATTAAACAATTTGAAGGACTTAAGCCAGTGTCAGTGACTCTGAAGTAATTAAGACATAATTAAGGTACACTGAAGTATGGGGACATCATTGATTCATACTCTGTTGAGTGGAACCCAGTCAAAAATTTAAGTCTTTGGAATTTGAATCAGGAAACCCTCAGAGTTCCAGCCAAAGTCAAATGAGCACCTACACGGGACTTTTTGCCTTTGCATAGTAGTTGTTGTCTTTGTGTACCTGCTCTCTTCCCCACTCCTCTGGCAGAGTCCCAGACTCCCTGACCACAGGGGAGGGCGTATAACCCATGCTGAGTTGATCATGGTGCTCTGTCCCCATCACCCCACCCACCACACTTCAGTGTGAGGGCAGGAGGCACACAGATCAAACCAAGGAGTTCCAAGCCTTTATCCAGAATTGTCTACTGGAGCTATAGAGAGGAGGCTCATTCTTGCCTCTTAGGTCACGATGCAGGAAGGACGTGAATCTGGGGCTGCCAGAAGTCCTGCTCCCCACTGGCAGAGGGAATGGTAAATAGACAATCTGGGCAGCCTTGGCCCAGCTATCATCTCCAAGCACCCAGAGCTGCCTACTTCTGGCTTTTCTTTCAGTTCTGTGAGCTACTTCAGTATCTCTCCAATAAATCTAATGCAAGGCATAAGTGGTTTTGGCTGTCACTTAGAACCAATGGAATCCTGAAAAATACACTTGTATTCTGTTCTAAGACTACAGAACATGAAATGTTTTTCCCATATGTAAGTACAGCCATACCTGGGCTAACAGTCACTGAGGTTTAATATGTGCCAAGTACTGATAAACTGAAAGTTTTCATAGTACATTTTCTAGAGGCTTCACTGACCCCATGATCAAGGGTGTCCTAACTAGGCAGGGGAGAACCTACCATGTTCTAGGTCTATGGTTATCTGTCTCAGCTGAGATCTGTCTTCAAACACTACACAATGATAATGACAGTATCTGGTGCCATGAAAGGGCAACCTGAGAAGAACGAGTTTTTATACAAAAACCTCAGAAACTACCTCAGCATTTGACACTTAATTATACAGTAAAAAAAATTCAAAACCTTAGGTAAGCCTGTCAAAAAGATTTACCTCGCCTTTGTATCCAGTGCTGGGCTGACAGCTCTCAGTGCCTATAGTAATTAGCCCTACCCAAACCTGCAGCAAGTCACCACACGCTCCCCAGCTCCTCCTGAAATTAGTGCACTCAGCCTAGCCTGACAAACACCCTGCAAGGCTCACCTAACCTCTTGTTACATCTTTTTTGTTTGTTTGTTTGTTTTGAGACAGGGTCTTGCTCTGCCTCAGCTCTGTCACTGCTGGAAAGCAGTGGCATGATCACGGCTTACTGCAGCCTCCAACTCCTGGGTTCAAGTGATCCTCCCACCTCAGCCTTACCAGTAGCTGGGACTACAGGCATGCACCACCATAACTGGCTAATTTTTGAAAAATTTTTGTAGAGACAGAATCTCACTGTTGCCCAGGCTGGTCTCCTACTTCTGGGCTCAAGCAATCCTCTTGCCTTGGCCTCAAAAGTATTGGGATTGGATAGACTGGATAAAGAAAATGTGGCACATACACGCCATGGAATACTATGCCGCCATGAAAAAACATTAGTTTATATCCTTCGCAGGGACGTGGATGAAGCTGAAAACCATCATCCTCAGCAAACTAACACTGGCACAGAAAACCAAACACCATGTTCTCACTCATAAGTGGGAGCTGAACAGTAAGAACACATGGACACAGGGAGGGGAACGTCACACACCAGGGCCTGTCAGGGGATGGGGGCAAGGGGAGGGAGAGCATTAGGACAAATACTTAATGCAAGTGGGGCTTAAAACCTAGATGACAGGTTGATAGGTGCAGCAAAGCACCATGGCACATGTATACCTATGTAACAAACCTGCACATTCAGCACATGTATCCCAGAACTTAAAGTAAAAAAAAAGTATTGGGATTACAGGCATGAACCACCTCTCTTACATTTTTATCTTCTTTATCTTCTATCTTGCCCCTCTGATTCCTGATTTGCTTTAGCCATGGGGCGCCATTCTCAGCCTCCCTATATTCCTTGCACAATCCCACCTCTGCTACCCTGCTGATGCCGTGCCTTTTGCTGGTCCTCTTACCCTTGAAGTCCAACTCAAATGCTTCTCTGTCAGCACAACCAAAAGTGACTTATTGATCCTTGAACCTCCACGGCCCCTTAGTTGTGCCTCTCTGCCCCTTGCCACCATCTGCCTTTGAATGTAGCTGTAGTGAGGGCATCCTCTCCCCTCAGTTCCGTACTCTCTAAGGATAGAGACAAAACCTAAAAAAGTTAACAGCATGTTTTAGGGGAATGAATGAATAAACAAAGGAACGTTTATTGGCACTCAAGGCCTTTAATTACCTGGCCTAACTCTATTAATCTACTTTCTTTTGATTCTTTTCACACAGGCTTTGTGCAGGTCATTCTTAGCATTGTTCCCTGGGTACAGTGTTGACTTGAACTCTTTGCTCACATTAATTTTCCACGTACCCTTTTATTTATTTGATCATTTATCATTCATTCATTTATTCACTCATTCACTCACTCACTCATCCAGTCATTCAAATATTGACTGAGCATCTGCTGAGTGCCAAGCACTGGGCAGGGGCACCAAGAACACAAAAATGTCTAGGATTTGCTCCTTGTCTTCCAATATGGTAGGCGAGACAGATGTGTAAACCAAGCATTACAAATACTGTGTGGTATTGAGAGGTGAAGCCAGCTGGGCTTCTGGGTCGGGTGGGGACTTGGAGAACTTTTCTGTCTAGCTAAAGGATTGTAAACACACCAATCAGTGCTCTGTGTCTAGCTAAAGGTTTGTAATTGCACCAATCAGCACTCTGTAAAAACGCACCAATCAGCGCTCTGTGTCTAGCTAAAGGTTTGTAATTGCACCAATCAGCACTCTGTAAAAACGGACTAATCAGCACTCTGTAAAATGGACCAATCAGTGCTCTGTAAAATGGACCGATCGGCAGGATGTGGGCGGGGCCAAATAAGGGAATAAAAGCTGGCCACCAGCTCCAGCAGTAGCAACTTACGGTCCCCTTTCATGCTGTGGTAGCTTTGTTCTTTCTCTCTTCACAGTAAATCTTGCTGCTGCTCACTCTCTGGGTCTGCACTACCTTTATGAGCTGTAACACTGTGAAGGTCTGCAGCTTCACTCCTGAAGCCAGCGAGACCATGAACCCACCGGGAGGAACAAACAACTCCTGACGCGCCACCTTTAAGAGCCCTAACACTCACTGCAAAGGTCTGCAGCTTCGCTCCTGAAGTCAGAAAGACCACGAACCCACCGGGAGGAACAAACAACTCTGGACGCACCACCTTTAAGAGCTGTAACACTCACTGCGAAGGTCTGCGGCTTCACTCCTGAAGTCAAGCAAGACCACAAACCCACCGGAAGGAAAAAACTCCAGACACATCTGAACATCTGAAGGAACAAACTCCAGACATACCATCTGTAAGAACTGTAACACTTACCGCGAGGGTCCGCGGCTTCATTCTTGAAGTCAGCCAGACCAAGAACCCACCGGGAGGAACCAATTCCGGACACAGTATGGTTGGTCCACAAGAGAGGTATGTACACAATAAATGTGGAGACAGAGAAGGGAGTGGTTAATGCTAACCAGGAGGTGGAAATACTACCCAGGAAAACTTCACGGAGATGTACCTGCAACACCAGATCATGCAGAAGGTGTTGCTAAGAGTGGGCTTACAGCAGAGGATGGCAGGCAGTCCTGGTGGTGGCACCTGCAGGCCCCTGTGAGGCCGTCTCCACAACTGGGAACTTCTCTGAAGCCAGTGTTTGGGTCTCTCCTCAGAATGGGATTAGGCATCCAAGAGACCCTCAGACTTGCTTTTTTGGTCCTAACTTGCAACCAGTTGGTCCCCTCCAACTGGTGACCAAACTTTTTTTGTGTGTGAGACGGACTGTTGCTCTGTCACCACGCTGGAGTAGTGGTGAGATCTTGGCTCACTGCAACCTCTGCCTCCTGGGTTCAAGCAATTCTCCTGCCTCGGCCTACCGAGTAGCTGGGACTACAGGTGCGCACCACCACAGGTGGCTAATTTTTCTATTTTTAATAGAGACGAGGTTTTGCCATGTTGGCCAGGCTGGTCTCGAACTCCTGGCCTCAAGGGATCTGTCTGCCTTGGCCTCCCAAAATGCTGGTATTACAAGCGTGAGCCACGCACCCGGCCCAAACTCTTTATGTAGATAAGTTAACATCTCCCAATTCTGCTCTGAACAAATCATGTGCTTGGCCTGAGAGTTGTTCGGTCCCTTTAAAGTACCTGTATCTGAGAGTATCTGTATCCAGTATAATCTGATTTGCCTTTATTTTACTAGTCCAGTTCTCAGAGTTTACCAGTGACTCAGTGGCAGATTCTAAATTTAACTGCTTCATGCAAGAGGTTCTTCCCTCTGCACTAAGCTGTAAACTCCCTGAATGCTGAGTCTATTTTCTCTCTCTGTGTATCTCCACATCACCAGCTCTGCTTGGTCCATGGTGAGGGGGGTCAGTGTCCCCTGAAAAACATACAGGCATACCTTGGAGATTGTGGGTTCTTTTCCAGATCACCATAATAAAGCGTGTCACAATTTTTTGGGCTTCTCAGCACATATAAAAGTCATGTTTATAGTACATTGTAGTCTACTAACTGTGCAATAACATTATGTCTGAAAAAATCTACATACGTTAATTTTAAAATACTTTATTGCTAAAATATGCTAATGATCACCTGATACTTCAGTGAGACATACTCTTTTCACTGGTGTAGGGTCTTGCCTTTAGATTGATGGCTGTTGACAGATCAGGATGATGGTTGCAGAAGGTTTGGGTGGCTGTGGCAATTTCTTAAGATAACCACAAAGTTTGCCACATCGATTGTCTCTTTCTTTCACAAAAGAATTTTCTGTAGTATGCAATGCTGTTTGGTAGCATCTTCCCCACAGTAGAACTTCTTTCAAAATTGGAGTCAATCCTATCAAACTCTGCCACTGCTTTATCAACTGAGTTTATGTAATATTCTCAATACTTTGTTATCATTTCAACAATATTCACGTTATTTTCACCAGGAGTAAGTTTTATCTCAAAAAACCACTTCCTTTGCTTATGCAGAAGAAACAATTCCTCATCCATTCAAGTTTTATCCTGAGATTCCAGCAATTCAGTCACATCTTTGGACGCCACTTATTCTAATCCTCTTACTATTTCCACCATATTTGTAATGACTTTCTCCACTGAAGTCTTGAACCCCTCAAAGTCATCCATGAGGGTTGGAATCAAATTCTTCCAAACTCAGTGTTGATATGGTGACCTCATCCTTTGAATCATCTGGCCATTTACTTTGCCCAGATCTATCAGAAGAATCACTATCTATGGCAGTAATAGCCTTACAAAATGTATTTCTCAGGTAATAAGACTTGAAAGTCAAAATGACCCTTTGATCCATGAGCTACAGAATGGATGTTGTGTTAGCAGGCATGAAAACAGCATGAATCTCCTTGTACATCTCCATCAGAGCTCTTGGGTGACTAGGTGCATTGTAAATGAGCAGTAATATTTTGAAAGGAATCTTTTTTTTCTGAGCAGTACATTTTAATAGTAGAGTTAAAATATTCAGTAAACCGTACAGTAAACAGATGTGCTGTCATCCAGGCTTTATTGTTCCATTGACAGAGCACAGACCAAGCAGATTTAGCATAATTCTTTTTTTTTTTTTTTTTTTTTTTTTTTTTTTTTTGAGTCTACTCTGTTGCCCAGGCTGCAGCGCAGTGGTGCAATCATCACAGCCCCTGCCTCAATCAGTTCTCCCACCTCAGCCTCCCAAGTAGCTTGGACTGCAGGTGCATGCCACCATGCCCAGCTAATTTATTTTTATTTTTGTAAAGACAGGGTTTTGCAATGTTGCCCAATCCACTTGCCTCAGCCTCCCAAAGTGCTGGGATTACAGATGTGAGCCACTGTGCTCAGCTGCATAATTCTTAAGGGGCCTAGAATTCTAGAAATTGTAAATGATTATTGGTTTCAACTTAAAGTCACCAGCTGTTTTAGCCCCTTACAAGGCAGTCAGCCTGTCCTTTGGAGCCAGGCATTGACTTCTTTCTAGCTAGTAAAGTCCTAAATGCCATCTTCTTCCAATATAAGGCTGTCTTACCTACATTGAAAATCTGTTGGCTGGGCGCAGTGGCGCAGGCCTGTAATCCCAGCACTTTGGGAGGTCAAGGCGGGCAGATAACAAGGTCAAGAGATCGAGACCATCCTGGCAAACTTGGTGAAACCCCGTCTCTACTAAAAATACAAAAATTAGCCAGGCGTGGTGGCGGGTGCCTCTAAGACCAGTTAATCAGGAGGCTGAGGCAGGAGAATCACTTGAACCCGGGAGGTGGAGGTTGCAGGGAGCCGAAATCGCGCCACTGCACTCCAACCTGGCGACAGGATGAGACTCCGTCTCAAAAAAAAAAAAAAAAAAGAAAATCTGTTGTTTAGTGTAGCCACCTTCATCAGTTATCTTAGCTGGATCTTCTGGATCACTTGCTGCAGCTTCTCCATTAGCACTTGGTTCGCTTTGCACTTTTATATTACAGAGATGGCGTCTTTCCTTAAATCTCAGGAAAAAGTAGCTTCCTACTTTTTTCCTGCAGCTTCCTTACCTCTCTCAGCCTTCATAGAATTAAAGACAGTTAGGACCTTGCTCTGGATTAGGCTTTGGCTTAAAGGAATGTTGTGGCTGGTTTGATCTTCTATCAGACTCTCTCCATGTCAGTAATAAGGCTGTTTCACTTTTTTTTATCCTTTGTGTGTTCACTGAAGTAGCACATTTAATTTCCTTCAAGAACTTTTCCTTTAAATTCACAACTTGACTGGTGCAAGAAGCCTAGCTTTTGGCCTATCTTAGCTTTTTTTTTTTGAGACAGAGTCTCACTCTGTCACCCTGGCTGGAGTGCAGTAGTGCAGTCACAGCACTCTGCAACCCCAACCTCCTGGGCCCAAGTAACCAACCCCCCCACCTCAGTCTCCCACGTAGCTGGTACCACAGGCAGCAGGCACATGCCACCATGCCTGGCTAATTAAAAAACAAATTTTTTTTTTAGAGACAGGGCCTCACTGTATTGCCCAGTCTTGTCTTAAACTCCTGTCTTCAAGTGATCCTCCCGCCTTGGCCTCCCGAAGTGCTGGGATTATAGGCATGAGCCACCACGCCCAGCCTATCTTTTGACATGCTTTCCTTAATAAGTGTAATCATTTGTAGCTTTTTATTTAAGGTGAGAGACATAATCCCTACAATAATAAACGAATAAATAAATAAAGTGAGAGATATGCAACTTTTCCTTTCACTTGGCACTTAGAGACCATTGTAGGGGTTTGTTGTTGTTGTTGTTGTTTGTTTGTTTGTTTGTTTGGGGGACAGGGTCTCACTTTATCAGCCAGGCTGGAGTGCAGTGGTGTGAACACGGCTCACTGCGGCCTTGACCTCCTGAGTTCAAGTGATCCTTCCACCTCAGCTTCCCAAGTAGCTGGGTCTACAGGTGCTCACCACAAAGCCCAGCTAATTTTTTTTTTTTTTCAGATAGTGTTTCACTCTTCTTGCCCACACTGGAGTGCAATGGTGCAATCTCAGCTTACTGCAACCTCCACCTTCTGGATTTAAGCGATTCTCTTGCCTCAGCCTCCTGAGTAGCTGGAATTACAGGTGCCCACCACCACGCCCAGCTGATTTTTGTATTTTTAGTAGAAACGGGGTTTCACCATGTTGGCCAGTCTTATCTCAAACTCCTGACCTCAGGTGATCTGCCCGCCTCAGCCTCCCAAAGTGCTGGGATTACAGGTGTGAGCCACTGCGCCTGGCCTAGCCCAGTTAATAATTTTAAATGTTTTCTAGAGACAGGGTCTCACTATGTCGCCCAAGATTATAGTAGGGTTATTCACTGGTCTAATTTCAATATTGTTGTGTCTTGGGGAACAGGGAGGACTGAGAAGACAGAAAGAGAAGTGGGAATGGTTGGTCGGTGGAGCAGTCAGAACACACACAGTATTTATCAATTAAGTTTGCCGTCTTATGTGGGCATGGTTTGTGGAGCCCTCCAAAGAGTTACAATAGTAGCACCAAAGATTGCTGACCACAAATCATCCTAACAGATATACAAACTGGGAACGAGTTTGAAATATTGCGAGAATACCAAAACGTGACACAGAGACACAAAGTGAGTATGTGCTGTTGGGAAAATGGCATGGATAGACTTGCTCCAACCTTCCATTTGTAAAAAATATAGTATCTGCGAAGTGCAATAAAGTGAAGCTCAATAAAACGAGTGTGCCTGTAAACTTTCCACTCTTCTCTCCCTAAGGCAGTTCCCGTTTCTCTCCCTTCCTCTTCTCCTTTTCTAATTCCTTATTGTCCACTGCCCCCAGTTCTCCTTCCTACTCCTGTGAACCCACTGGCTTAGAGGGAGAATCCACTATCTAGGAAATGCAAAATGCTTTTAGGAGCGTTTAGAGCCTTCCCCTGCGGAAGAATATTTGAATGTAGAGCAGGATTTAGGTAGACGTTTGACCTTCAGTGTTTCTTCCCTCACCGAGATTTTATGTTTCTGTCTTAAGGTACTGCTTCTAAGGCTCAAACAGCTTATTTGCTACAATTCCTTGTTCTCATGATTTTTGAGGGGGTTCTATTACGGGGGTGGGGAATTTTCAACATAAACCATACCTTTAAACTGAGATTGGAAAATCATTAGCTGATGTTTATTGTGTTAGTCTTTAATGATTTTACAGTATAATCTTTGACTCACACAGTTATAAATCAAAGAATACCAAGTTCAAGGATATTGATGGGAACTAGTTTGCATAATATTGCTTTGTAACCTTCACAAAAATAAAATGTAATTATTAATGTCATTATTACTGATAGTTGCTCCAAATGTGTGATTTTCCTGACTCATGTAAAAGATGAAGAACTCCAGAAATCGTTCAGTTCTTTGCCAGTGTAAGATACCAGTAACAAGCAGAGATAATTTTCTCTTTGCCAGTTCATCATAGACTCTGATCAATAGTCAGGGCCAGAAATTTAAGATGACACAATCCATTAAAAAACAAAACAAAACTGTGTATCCTCTCAATGTCAGGACAAAGTTTGGAGGCCAAAAGAAAGTTTTCTCAAAGTAAAACCTTATCACCAGTGGACACTGGTGTTTCAGGCAAAAGATGGCAGCCACTGTAGCTCATGGGGTTTGGTCCTGATGGGAGCCTGCCTGGCCTCTTTCTGTTCCATGGGTGCACCAAACCTACCACCAGAGCAACTGGGCCATGCTGCTAGGTGTATACGGTTTATCTGTTGGAATATAAAAACAGGGTAGAGTAGGGTTATCAACATTTCTGAGAGCACACCCTCATATGCATGTGATTTGTACAAATATGTCTGTTTGGCATCAAGAGATTTTATACAATAGAATACAAAAATGTAGAACTGGAGTTTGAATTCTGAGTGAAGAGAACAATGAAAAGAAAGTGACATATGCTTGAACTATTTGCTTTGCTCCAGGAGAATTTTGCTGTGCTTATGAATTTATTAAGGAATAACGTTAAATGAGTTACTAATTGTGAAGTATCAAGGCCACTGCTTGATACATAGTAGGCACTCAATAAATGTTAAACCTCCCTCCTGTTATCATATCATTGTGATTGCCAAACTTTGAAGACAAGATCTAGAATAAATTGCCACCAGGACCAGAGACACAATCAAGGGTATATAAAAATTTTGTTAAGACAGCTGCATACTCACCCTTCGGTCAGAGCTTGAGGTGTTTGATCTTGCTTTATGCAGTGTTCAGAATGAATGGCCTTTAAGATAAGTTGGCATACACTCTTAGAATTAGGTATTAGGCCAGTTCACTCAGAAATACATCCGGGGTGGACGGGTGGGTGGGTGATGTCAGAAATGATCCAAATCTTCTAGATGTTGTTTAAAATCAGTATCAGTTATGAAGCTGCCCTAGCCCAAAATAACCCCAGCATTTACCAATCTTCACAAAATAGAATTTCAGGATGGTAGCGAGGAAAGGCACATTTTTCTTTTCAAAACACTATGTTAGAGCATCAGTTATCACTATGAAGATAAATCATAGTTCATCTCCTGCATTTATCAAGGTGCCAGAAACATCACAGACACTCAGTATTTAGTAGATAAATAAATCTCAGTTTTTTTGGAATGTTTGACAGTTGATTCCAGGTAGAGATGATGGATTAAACAAATGCATGTAATTTGATTCCCTCCAGAACCCCACTAAAACCCTCAAGAACGAGGAGAGAATGAGATGAAGCAATAGCAACAGAATTTTGGAGGCCAGAGAATAGTGATAAAGGACTTAGCAGACGAGAAAACCAAATGCTAAGTTACTGGCATTGCAAAATCCTCAGGATATAGAGTGAAGATGAAGAAGGAATAAAATAAGGGAACTGGTTGGAGGCTGGGAACTACTTAAAAAGTAGTAGTACTTCTTATATGCATGCTCTCTACTCCTTTCTACTGGGTAACTGCCCCTCCTCCGTCCTAACAGATGCAGAGGTTTGTCCACTTCTTAGCCATAGCTGAAGGGGATAGGGACTCTAGAGAGAAAACTGGGATTGATTAATTAATGCAGTCATGCTAAATGCTCAGATCCTCTCACCTTCCAAGTGGAAGATTGGAAAAGCCTTCTTAAAGGAATATTACCAGCCCAAAAGGAAAAAAAAAATCCCCAAAGATAGTGATAAGAGGTAATATGGAGGAGGATAGGGTGTGGTTAGAATTCCCCAACAAAGAGCCTACCCATTTCATCTTACAGTAAAGTTCCTGGGCAACAGGTCTTCCCCAAAGCACAGGGCTTCTACTATGCAGCTTTTTGCTTTCTCACCCTTGAATACGAGCAGACAACCAGGATTACCAAACATCTTAAGAAATCCTCTAACATGAAAGGTAACAGAAAGACCTAAATTGCCAGATTGAAAGGGCCCACTAAGTACTCAGCTCAGTGAAGGGAAGCAGACCCATACAAAGCATATTATCATGAAGCTTTAGAATGCCAGGCACAAAGACAAAATACCCAAAACTTCCAAAGAGAAAAAGCACATCCAAAGAAGTAGAAATCCAGATGGCATCGGACTTCTCAACAACAACCCTGAAGCTAGAGACGGTGGGGCAATGCCTCCAAATTTCTAAAGGAAAATTATTTTCTGGGTAGAATTCTATACCCAGCCAAATTGTTCATCAAGAATAAAGGTAGAATCCAGGCATGGTGGCATGCACCAGCTGTCCTAGCCACTTAGGAGACTGAGGTGGGAGGGTCACTTGAGTCCAGGAATTCAAGGCTGCAGTGAGCTATGATTGCACAACTGTGCTCCAACCTGGGCAATAGAGCAAGAGTCTGTCTCCAAAAAAAGTTTTTTAAAAAGGAATAAAGGTGAAATATACATAAATTCTCAAGAATCTTTTCCTTTCTTAAGAAGCTAAGCTAAGATGTGCTAAATTAAAAAGATGGAGAAAATCAAGAAGGAAGAAGGTATGGATTATAGGAAAACAGAAGATCCCGCTAAGGAAATAGAAGGGAGTCCTGAGGATGATGGTCTACTAGCTGTATATCAGATGTAGAGGGCAACAACTCCAAATTAGAACAATGCAATGCCAGAAAGAAGATGCATCGGCAGAGGCTATCACTAAGATGTCAACTACCATTTTAGTACTTTTTAAAACCTGCAAATCAAATGCCTGTATGAGCCTATTCCAGGTTGCTGTTTGTATTTGATTTGCCTTATTCATGTTTTGATGGCGTTTCTCTTCTCCTACCCATCTGTTGCCCACTATGACCTACTGCCTGGATAAGCTGAGGACACTCATTAAATCCCACAGAAGTTTTCTTCTTTGATCTACTCCAGAACTGGAGATGGGCTTTGGTGAACTTAGAAGCAGAAAATACAGAGCAACCCTCTCCCTGACCATAGTCTTGCCAGATGTCCTGCACCCAGGCCACCTTCCAGTTGCTCCAACCTTAGTTAAGTTCTGTTTCCCAGATCTCACCCATAACCTTGCCCACTGATTTCCCCAGAAGTGGCTCCTATACACTTTCATGGAAGCTGAAGCCAGTTTATGGCCCAGAAATTCTACTCAGCTTATCTTCTACAAGATCTCGTTTAATAGTACCTTCATGTTTTTTTCATATGCATCTGGCTTTGTGCTTGCTCTTCAGTTTCTATATTAACCACATACAGTGATCAATAAAAGATTTGAGAAGAAAAGAACAATTTATGGCGATATTCCTTACACATTTCAATTATGTCCTCTTTTGGAACTATGGAGATGGCATCCTCAGGGTTGAGCTGATGAGTAGTGGATTGAAATGGAAAGAGTCTGTGTTGTAGAAAAGCAGCCTCGATGGGCCATGAGCAGCCAGATAAAGCATCCGTGTTCTCTGCCTCTATTTCATGCCCAACTCCATCTCCATTTGGCTGCTAAAATCTCCAATCCAAATTTTCCTTGACTGCCAGCTCCCAGACCTTTTCCAAGGAAACAAATGACCTAAGTGATAGCAGCAATGCTGCCCAGAAATGGAGGGTTTGATAAAAACAGAAAGATGAATTCAAAATACTGGCCCTGGCCAGGCGCAGTGGCTCACGCCTGTAATCCCAGCACTTTGGGAGGCCGAGGCGGGCGGGTCACTTGAGGCCAGGAGTTCAGAACCACAGCCTGGCCAACCACGGTGAAACCCCATCTCTACTAAAAAATACAAAAATTAGCTGGGTGTGATGGCGTGTGCCTGTAGTCCCAGCTACTCTGGAGGCTGAGGCACGAGAATTGCTTGAACCTGGGAGGTGGAGGCTGCAGTGAGCTGAGATTGCACCACTGCACTCCAGCATGGGTGACAGTGTGAGACTCTGTCTCAAGAAAAAAACAAAACAAAACAAACAAACAAAAAATACTAGCCCTTCTCATTGCTCTTCCTGGCCACCTGTTTACTCTGCTGCTTAAAACCCTTCTGTGGAAGGCCGGGCATGGTGGCTCACACCTGTAGTCCCAGCACTTTGGGAGGCTGAGGCGGGCGGATCACAAGGTCACAAGTTTGAGACCAGCCTGACCAACATGGTGAAACCCAGTCTCTACTAAAAATACAAAAATTAGCCAGGCGTGGTGGCACATGCCTATAATCTCAGCTACTCAGGAGGCTGAGGCAGGAGAATAACTTGAATCCAGGAGGCGGAGGTTGCAGCGAGCCCAGATTGCACCACTGCATTCCAGCCTAGGCAACGGAGCGAGACTCCATCTCAAAAAAACAAAAAACAAAAAAACCTTTCCATGGATCTTTATGCCCCATCAATGGGTCTCTTGGTGTGGTACACACACAGACTATTTATAATTTTACCTCTGCTTATCTCACCAGCTTCACCTGTTGCCCTTACAATCCTTTTCTCTTGGCCACAGCAATATTTCACTATTTGTAAGTCACTGAATACTGTGTTCATAACTCTCTATTTTGATCATGCCTGGAAATCTCTTCTTAGACCCTCCTCTCTTTTTTGCCTGGTTAATGCCCGCTTGTTTTTAAGACTCAGTTCAGGCAGAACCTCCTCCAGCAAGAATTCCCTGCCCTAGCCACAGCTCCTTCTCAGCCTGGATTAGATGTGCTTCCTCTGTGCATACCTGAGCCTGTCACAGTGTATTGGAAATTATCTCTTTATCTCTCTGTTTCGCATGGGACTGAAATCCCCTGAAGAGACAAGGTCTTCCATTTACATGACTCCACTACCTAGCACCAAGCCTAGCACAGAATAGACAGTAAATAAATATTTGCTGGATGTAATTATTATAGAGCCTGTCTTCTACTTTAAAGCTATTATGTTCATATTATTCTAATTTTTTATTTAAAAATAATTTATAGGCTTTATTATTTATTTATTTATTTATTTATGTCTATTTTTGAGACAGGGTCTTGCTCTGTTGCTCAAGCGGAAGTGCAGTGGCACCAACATGGCTCACTGCAGCTTTGACCTCCTGGGCTCAAGTGATCCTCCTGACTCAGCCTCCCAAGTAGCTGGGATCACAGGCATGCAATGCTGTGCCCAGCTAATTTTTAAATTTTTTTATTTTGAGCTGGGCGCAGTGGCTCACACCTGTAATCCCAGCATTTTGGGAGGCCGAGGCAGGCGGATCACCAGGTCAGGAGTTTGAGACCAGCCTGGCCAACATGGTGAAACCGTGTCTCTACTAAAAATACAAAAAATAGCTGGTCATTGTGGTGGGCGCCTGTAATCCCAGCTACTCAGGAGGCTGAGGCAGGAGAATCGTTTGAACCCAGGAGGCGGAGGTTGCAGTGAGCCGAGATCACACCATTGCACTCCAGCCTGGGCAAAAGAGCGAAACTCTGTCTCAAAAAAAAAATTTTCTTTTATTATATAGAGACAGGGTCTCGCCATGTTGCCCAGGCTGGTCTCAAACTCCTGGACTCAAGCAATCCTCCTGCCTTGGCCTCCCAAAGTGCTGGGATTACAGGAGTAAGCCACCACTTTAAGTCAGGAATTCGAGACCAGCCTGGCCAACATGGTGAAACCCCGTCTCTACTAAAAGTACAAAAATTAGTTGGGCATGGTGGTGCATGCCTATAGTCCCAGCTGCTTGTGGGGCTGAGGCAGGAGAATGGCTTGAACCCGGGAAGTGGAGGTTGCAGTGAGCCAAGATCGCACCATTGCACTCCAGCCTGGGCAACAGAGCGAGACTCTGTTTCAAAAAAAAAAAAAAAGAATTCTGAATATTGGGCATTTGGCACAATCATCGAACATAAGTGCCCGTTAAATGCTAACCGTTATTACTTCACTTAGTCCTTACAACAGCTCTGAATGCTAGATGTTGCGATTTCTTTCTTTTTTCTTTTTTTTCTTTTTTTTTTTTTGAGACTGAGTTTCTCTCTTTTTGCCCAGGCTGTAGTGCAATGGCGCAATCTTGGCACACTGCAACCTCCACCTCCCGGGTTCAAGCAATTCTCCTGCCTCAGCCTCCCGAATAGCTGGGATTACAGGCACATGCCACCACGCCAGGCTAATTTTTTGTATTTTTAGTAGAAACAGGGTTTCACCATGTTAGCCAGGTTAGTCTCAAATTCCTGACGTCAGGTGATCTGCCCACCTCGGCCTCCTAAAGTGCTGGGATTACAGGTGTGAGCCACCGCACCTGGCCTAGTTATTGCTATCTCTTACTTTACTGATCAATAAACAGTTCAGAGCAGTTAAAATCACAGGATGAGGAAGTGAACCTGAGTTTGTCCAAAGTCCATCTTTTCTCTTCATTCCTGCTATCTTAGCCCAGGTGGAGACATTAAAGAGAAGGCTGTGTTGAGGACAGTGACAAGCAGAGGGTGGGGAGGGGACCAGTGGGCAGTGGATGCTGGTCATGGCCAGGCTATGAAAGGGCCTCCAAGTACTAACGCTCGTAAAATATGTCAGTCCCACTACTTTGCTCATGATATTTAGCTCTAAGAATTGCTGAAGCTGAACATTCCCTTTGGAATGCACAGAATAAGACAAGCTCTGTGTAAGACATTTTTGGTCTTGCTAAGGTCAATGTGGTGGGTTTGTTGCTGAGGAAGAGTTCTGACAATTACTATGGAGACACTACATAAGCAAAGGTAAGCAAAAATGTTTGTCTTTCAGAAGCAAAATTAGAGGGAAGCACAGTAATCAAGATTCCATACATAACAAGTTTTGTGAATAAACACCAATTCAAACAGAAGGTTCAGAAAATTATGTTGAAATTGAACAAGTCCTTAAAGAAGACTCACTCACACTCTTTTCCCCAGATTGTTGGATTGCTTGCAAATGAGGACATTTACTTTCATCATCCTATGGCCTCTTTATTTTGAGAAATATAAATAAATAGAAAATTTACCTTTGATCTCTATTACACCGTTGAAAACATCATATGATTTAAAGTGAAGGAGCAGGGTGCTATTTGTACTCTACTGGGGGAAGAAGAATATTATTTCCACCTAGCTTTTTAAATAATACATTTGGTATTGATTTTAATATAACAGAAAATGCATTAGCATTGAGTTTCCATTAAGAACAATTCAAGAACATTATCAATACCTATTTAATCTGATATATTTTAAAGTATAACTTAGATGAAAGCAAACCAAAAGAGGTGTTTTTTTTTGTTTTGTTTTTTTCATGCAGAGTCTTGCTCTGTCACCCAGGCTGGATTGCAGTGACAGGATCTCAGCTCACTGCACCCTCTGACTCCTGGGTTCAAGCCATTCTCCTGCCAAAGGCTCCCAAGTAGCTGGGATTATAGGCGTGCACCACCACACCCGGCTAATTTTTGCATTTTTAGTAGAGACAGAGTTTCACCATGTTGGCAAGGCTCGTCTCGAACTCCTGACCTCAAGTGATCCACCTGCCTCGGCCTCTCAAAGTGCTGGGATTACAGGCATGAGCCACCATGCCCAGCCAAAAGAGGTCATTTTAATAGCGTATCTTCTTGTTCCCATAATAAAAACGTACACGTTTTCTGCCAATGTTATTTACTTATTTAATCAGTTTTTACTGAGGATTTACTCTGTACCTAGCTTGGTGTCAGGCACTAAGAATGCAGTCATGATAAAGGCAAACACAGTCCCTGCACTGGTGGAGTTTACAGTCTGATAATACCAGAAAATTATACCAAAGTGTTCAAGTTAGACATTTTAATCATTACATTGCAATAGGTTTGCACTGGTGAGTGCATAGAGCAGTGCTTCTCAAAGTTTACTGTGCATGTGAATCACCTGGGGATCTTATTAAAATGTAGAGTCTGATGCAATGGGTCTGGGGTGGAGCTGATATTCTGTATTTAAATAAGCTGTCAGGTAATGCTGACGCTGCTGGTCCATGGATCACACTTCGTAGCAAGGGCATACAATATTAATATGAAAGATGGTAAGATGTAATACTAAGATGTAAGGCATAGAGTAAGATTAGTAATTTTTCTTTTCTGGAGGTATGGAGCACTTGGTAATATTTCGGTGAATGACATGCATCTACGGACAATTGTACCAGACAAGTGTGAAATGTTCACAAGGGGAGGTAGAAAGTGGCATAGGGGCTAAAGAGAGGAGAAACAGGATTTAGGTTGGGGAGAAGAGGGGGTTCAGGAGATGCTTCCTAAGGAAGGCAGAGTCTCTAATTGAGCCAGGAAGATGTGGAGGATGGTGCTCCAGGCTGAGGGCTGAGCACTGGTGTTGGTGTTTTTTGTTTTTGTTTGTTTTTGTTTTGGGGTTTTTTGTTTTTTTTTTTTTTTTTTTGAGATGGAGTCTCGCTCTGTCGCCAGGCTGGAGTGCAGTGGCAAGATCTCGGCTCACTGCAACCTCTGCCTCCCGAGTTCAAGCGATTCTCCTGCCTCAGCCTTCTGAGTAGCTGGGAATACAGGCGTGCGCCACCACGCCCAGTTAATTTTTGTATTTTTAATAGAGATGGGGTTTCACTATGTTGGCCAGGACGGTCTCGATCTCCTGACCTTGTGATCTGCCTGCCTTGGCCTCCCAAAGTGCTAGGATTACAGGCGTGAGCCACCGGTCCTGGCTGTTGTTGGAGTTTTTGTAGGTCAGCACAGAGAATGGCTAGTGGTCCTGTTTGGCAGCTCTTCCATTCAGGGAAGCAGGAAAGATAAGGCCATAAAGTAGAGAACCCCCAGCAAGGCCAACCTCAGCATTCCGAACCATGAACCCAAAACCTGTCATTTTCTCTGAATACATAACGGGCAATACCTTGCTTTATTGCTCAGTGCTCTGTGTGGTGTCCAGTTCAGGCATCTCTGTGTTTCAGCTCCTCTGGCTACTGTCTGATACCTGCGTACCCCTATTATTTCCCAGTACAGCGCTTTTCTCCTTTTTTCTATCATGGCACTTTTTGGGGCAGGATATCTGCTAATAGACTTATTTGCATTGGCCCCAAGAACCTTTTTGTGACCTGTTGCTTTGGGTACTCTGTTGAGTTCTGCTGTCATCACCAGAATTCTTGTCAAGACTGGTCCCAGGCCAGGTGTGGTGGTTCACACCTGTAATCCCAATACCTTGGGAGGCAGAGGTGGGAGGATCACTTAAGCCCAGGAGCTCAAGGCTGCAGTGAGCTATGATCATGCCACTGCCCTCCAACCTGAGCAACAAAGCAAGACCCTGTCTCTAAAAAGAAAAAAAAAAAGAAAGAAAGAAAATTGAAAAGAAAAACCTGGTTCCACATTCCTGCAGCAACTGACTTGCTGCTGCCCTTCTCAAATGGGCGTCAGCTCTCCCGTTCACCTGATCTTCCCATTTCCTCATTGTCTTGCTCAGTTATATTATCTTGGTCCTTGAAGGCATTTGAGGTTGCAGTCTGATTGAAATGGGGGACAAAGCAAACAAGGAGTCAAAGATAGAGTAGTAAGGAGGAGCCATTAGGAGCTATGTCTGCTTTATTCACTTCTGTATCCCCTGTGCCTCAGACAGTACCTAATCCATAACAGGAGTTCAACAAATCTCAGCTGGCTTTTAAATGCAGACTTTGTATAATTGTATTTCACTGATTTTTAAGACATTATTAATTCAGAAAAGCACTCTGTTTAGGAAATTTCTTAGGTTGAAGAACTTTCTCAACTGACAAATTTTGAAGGTAGGTGAGACAATGTTTGTGGTAGATGGACTTCTAAAATGATCCCCAACAATCCTCATCCTTCTGACTGTGGGTGGAACCTGAGAATATAATGAGATATCACCACTACCATTATGCTATGTTGTGTGAAGATTATTTTGGATGGGCCTAACATACACATATGAAACCTTTAAAAGCAGAGAATTTTCTCTAGATGGTTGCAGACGACAAAGCCGGTATTCAAAGCACAAGAGGGATTCAGTGTACCGTTACTGACTTGAAGATGGAGGGGCCACGTGGAAAGAACCCAAGAGTGGCTGCTGGGAGCTGAGAGCCAGCAAGAAAATGGTAACTTCAGTCCCACAACCACGAGGAAGTGAATTCTGCCAGCAACTTGAGTGAGCATGGGAACAGATTATTCTCCAGAACGTCCAGATAAGAGCCTGCCTTAGGCCACACCTTGATTTTGGCTTTGTGAGACCCTAACCAGAAACCTATTTGACCTAGCCTAGGCAGAACTGTCAGCTAATAAGTGGATGCTGTTATCAAGCTGCTAAATTTGTAGTAATTTCATATGAGGCAATAGAAAACTAATATAATGTTTTATACCTCAGGGAAGTTTACAGTGTGTATGTACACATGTATACATATGTATTTATCATGTGTTCACATGATATGTGCATTTAACTTGTCTGTATTCTACTATATGTACTAGAGGAAAAGAAAGGAGAGAACAATAATTTAAATAGCATGAACAATAACCTTACCTTGATTATCCCATTCAATAAGCTATCAGCAATATCTGACAGAATGCACTCTCTTCTTGTAACACATTCTTCACGTTGCCTAATGAAAAGCCTCCTTTTTTGGTTCTCCCACCTCACTGGACACTTCTTTTCACGCCTTTGCAGATTTCTCTTTATGTTTCCTAATTCTAAACATTCCTACATACACTACACATACACATTACCTGACATGGTGGCATAAACAAAATATATATACAGTTCTTTACAGGCAATTAAAAGCTATTCAAAGGGCCAGGTGCAGTGGCTCATGCCTGTAAATCTCAGCACCTTGGGAGGCTGAGGCGGGCAGACCACTTGAGGTCAAGAATTTGAGACCACAGACTGGCCAACATGATGAAACCCCATCTCTACTAAAAATACAAAAATTAGCAGGCATGGTTGCACACACCTGTAATCCCAGCTACTCAGGAGGCTGAGGCAGGAGAATCCCTTGAACCCAGGAGGTAGAGGTTGCAGTGAGCCAAGATAGCACCAGTGCACTCCAGCCTGGGCAACAGAGCAAGACTCCATCTCAAAAAATAAATAAATAAAAAGCTATTCAAAGGTAATTTTTTGACTATTCCTTGCTTAAGAAGAAACTTTAGTTTATTAGTTTTTCTCATCTAAAATTGGGAGGCACCCAGCTATTTCAGTATGAGGTCAAGAGGAGTAGTGAATTAACCTTGCCTTCAAATTGGATTTCTGCACTAGCTCTGAACCTGTGCTGTCCAATATGGTAGCCATCAGTCACATGTAGGGATTTAAATTTAAATTTTAATTAATTAAAAATAAATGAAATTTAAAATTTAGCACTTCAGCTGCACTAGCCACATTTCAAGTGTCCAATAGTAAATGTGCTCCTTGCTACCACATTAGACAACACAGATATAGAGCATTGCCATCATCACAGGAAGTTCTATTGGACAATGAAAAGACCTATACCTTTAATTGCCATTTGGTCTGCTCCACTTAAATATCCCAAACTCTTTGCTGTCCCCCAGAGGAGATTTTGCAAAGAAGTGATGTGAAAAGTGCCTTCTTTGGGATCAAATTGTCTGAGTTTGAATCCAGCTCTATTGTTTGCAGGCTCTGTGTCCTTAGGAGGGTTACTTGACTTCTCTGTGCCTCAGTTTCCTTTTCTGCAAAGTGGGAATAATCACAGGAACTATCCCTTAAAGTTGCTGTGAAGATTAAATGATATAATTTATGTAATGTACTTAAAATAGTACCTAACTCTTAAGTATTGAATAAATTTAGCTATTGTGTTTTGTATTAGCATTATTTTAGAGACCAAATTGAGATTCATCGCACTTCATTTATCTGAAGATTCATGACATTTATTAATTCTGGACCATTTTCAGTCATTATGTTTTCAAATGTTGCCTTTCCTCAGTTCTTTTCTCTTTTCCGTTCTAGAATTCTGGTTGGACATTCATTGTATCTTATCATTATATCTCTATAACTCTTATGTCAGTTTTCTTTTCTGTAAGATGATGATACAAACAGTATCTACCTCATGGAGTTTTTGTTAGGATTAAGTGAGTTGAGCTATGTAAAACACTTAGAATGGCATCATATGTGTGCCAGCTATTATTGACACTCTGGTTTAGCTCCTTATTTATTTTTGGCCCTTGGAGATTTCCCTCAATTCATTAGAGATATTTTGTAATAATTTAGTCCACTCTATAAGACCGAAAGTTATTCTAGACTCTTTTTTTTTTTTTTTAAAGACAGAGTCTTGCTCTGTCTCCAGGCTGAAGTGCAGTGGCGTGATCTCAGCTCCCTGCAACCTCCGCCTCCCAGGTTCAGGCGATTCCCCTGCCTCAGTCTCCCGCGTAGCTGGGACTACAGACGTGCGCCACCACTCCTGGCTAATTTTTTGTATTTTAGTAGAGATGGGGTTTCACCCCATCTGCTAGGTTGGCCAGGATGATCTTGATCTCCTGACCTTGTGATCTGCCCGCATTGGCCTCCCAAAGTGCTGGGATTACAGGCGTGAGCCACTGTGCCCGGCCCAGATTCTCTTTTTGTTGCAAGCGTGACATACACGGTTTCTATTGTTTGGTACACTTTCTTTCCCTCTTAGCTCCCTTCATGTCTGTTTAAAACAGAATTTAATGTCTGTATTACTTTGAATTATATTAAGTATGTAACAGAAAACACAAAATAACCATATCTTTAAAAAGTAGAAGTTTCTTTTTTTCCCCCATAAATGAAGTCTAGAAGTATGAGGTCCATAGCAGATATGCCTTCTCCATAATCATCAAGAGTCCAGTCTTTTTTCAGTTTCTCAACATTTGGCCTTCTTCTTGTGATCCAAGATGACTGCTCTGGTTCCAGCCATTACATCCAAATTCTAGTCAACAGAGGAAAGAGCTAAAGAAGGAATGCCTCTTCCCTTCAATACATTCTTGTAAAGTCATATGTACCATTTCCTACTGGCCAGAACATAATCCCATGGCCGTGCATAATGCCATGGGACACTGGAGAATGTCGTCTCTATTCTTGACCGCCAAATGCCAAGGAGAAAACAGATATTGGGGGAAACTAGCAGTTTTTGCCACAATGCCTCTTCTGTGTTCCCTCTAAGAGTATATCCTCCCTATCTTGTTCACCTCTGGGGTGAATGACTTGGCCTGGTTTACCTGGGGCTTTTATGGAGTTAGCACTGAAAGTCTTGTGTCTCAAAACCTCCCAAACACACATCAGTCTTGGACAAACTGGGATGGTTGGTCACCCTGCATCTACCATGGATCTTATCCATGGTAGATCTTAAGGACAGATCTGTGTCTATTCACTGTTATATCTTTAGTATCTCACACAGGGCTGCACGTACAGGATGTATTCAATAAATAGCAAATACTTACGTGGTGCTTTTATATGCCAGGAGCTGTTCTAAGGGATTTATGTATATATCATGAGTTGAATTTTGTTCCCCCAATATTCCTATGTTAATGTCCCAGTACTTCAGAAGGTGACCCTATTTGGTATAGGGTTGCTGCCAATGTGATTATTTAGGATAAAGTCATACTGAAATAGGGTGGGGCCCTAGTCCCATATGACTGGTGTCTATATAAACAGGTGAAATTTGGATGCAGAGACAAGCATGCAGGGAGAACGTCATGTGAAGATTTGAGTTATGCTGCCAAAAGACAAGGACCTACCAGAAGCTGGAAGAGAAGCCTGGAACAGATCCTTCCCCAGAGACTTCAGAGGGAACAGGACCCTCCCAGCACATTGATCTTGGACGTGTAGTCTCCAGAACTATGAGACAATAAATATCAGTTGTTTAAGCCACTCAGTTAGTGGTACTTTTTTTATGGCAGCCTCAGCAAACCAATACAGTATATTAACTCATTTTAATCTTTACAATTTTCTTGTGAGATAGCTATTATTATTATTATCATCCTCATTTTACAGATGAAGAAATTGAGGCACACAGCAGTTAAGAAAACCAAAGAGTGCCAAGGAGGCATAAAGAGAAAGTGGTAAAGGCAAACTGAAAGGAAGGGAAGAAGAAAGGGGAAAATCTTGAAGTTAAAAGATGGACAGGAATAAAGAGAAAGAAAGAAAAATAGTGAAAGAAAAGGATTAAAACTTGACCTGACATGACTTTCTAAGAACGTTAGAAGCTCTAGGTCACTATATAAACCATTAACATTTTTTTTTTCAGATGTGTCATTAACATTTTCTTTTTTAGATGAGTCTGAATAACTCTTCAAAATGAAGGAATAAGGAAATGCTCCCTCGTTTTTGACATTTGCAGGTGTTTTATTATATTTAGAACCTGAAGCTACAGCTCTTAAGAGTCCTCGTCTTGATTTTGCAATATACTGTTCATTTTTATTTGAGGGGAAGGACTAATAATAACTGGTTTTATGAATGTAACTTTAAGAAGTTTAGAATTTATGTTCACATGCTTTATAGATTTGCTTTTGATGGGTGAAATAACACTTACTTTAAAAAGTTTTGGCTGGGTGTGGTGGCTCATGCCTGTAATCCCAGCACTTTGGGAAGCTGAGGCAGGCAGATCATGAGGTCAAGGAGTTTGAGACCAGCCTGGCCAACATGGTGAAACTCTGTCTCTACTAAAAATACAAAAATCAGCAGGGCGTGGTGGCGTGCGCCTGTAGTCCCAGCTACTCAGGAGGTTGAGGCAGGAGAATTGCTTGA
This sequence comes from Homo sapiens, assembly GCF_000001405.40. Classification (NCBI taxonomy): domain Eukaryota; kingdom Metazoa; phylum Chordata; class Mammalia; order Primates; family Hominidae; genus Homo; species Homo sapiens. Next base: position 269,628 of record NW_025791772.1, on the reverse strand, counting down.
ACCTGGGAAGTGGAGGTTGCAGTGAGCCAAGACCGTGCCACTGCACTCCAGCCTGGGCAACAGAGTGAGATTCCATCTCAAAAAAAAAATGTTTTATATGTTGTACTTCTTACCTCTAGTTTATATATGTGTATTCCTGCTGAAGACATAAATGAAATGCAAAGTCAGAGGCAATACCCTGAGAATATGGAGCTTAATCTTCCAGAATGCAGTATACACATTGTATCAGAGACCTTTACATGGTGCTGTATCTCCAATCAGAATCTGTAAATCTGGAATCAGAGGGGTGGACCCAGGATTGGCTGCAGTTACAATCACTCCCAATGGCCTACTGGGGACGTCTTGCTTCCGGGGCTCCATAAGGTTAGAGGTCCTGTTGCCAGCAGGGGCACATGCTCACCAGAGGATGCAGCTAAGGTCCAATTGATTACAAATTATGGATGCCCTCTGGGCACTGAGTTTCTTGTGGCTAGGGGCCAGCAGGTAAGAAGACTTACCATCTTGGCAGAAATAATAACTCTGATCAACAGTGGAAGACTGATCTTACACAACGGGAACAGGAGACATGTGTGTGGAACTCAAGATGACCCATTTGGGTGCTTCTTGGTTGTTGGTTCTCCCTTGATAGATCATAACTGTGAACAGACAAGTGAAGCAACTCCCACCTGAGAAGGATATGATCACTAGGGGCTAAGAAAACTCAATAATGAATGTTTGAGTCATACCACTAGATAAGCCACCAAGACCAGCAGAGGTGGTGGCTGGGGGGCAAGAGGAATTTAGATGGAGTGTGGAGAAGGGAGACTATACTGGAGGCCCTGAGACCAACTGTGGTGATGGAGGGTAACCTGAGCTATTTCCTGAACATGTATGGAAAAGTAGATTTTCATGATACAAGGAACAGATCTGCACGACAGCTGAGGCAGACACTGAAGCTAGGGACTGTCAGCATACTGACATAGCATACCATATCCAGCATACCTGGGCAGCAAGGCTTTGTTGGAGGGAGATTTGAGTGGCACATCTCTTTGTGTCTCCCACAGTGTCTGCCTCAGCTTTCATGCAGTCTAAGTCAATGACTCAGCAAGGTGGTGATTCAAGGGCCCACCCATTTACATTAAAAGTGGAATTCTGATCTTTATTCTAGAGCTTCCTGTTGGACTAGCAGAGGCTTTGTCAGGTCTGCATAGTGGTATGACAGTTCCCCTTGACCAATCTTTCTGTCTCCCTTGCTCCTTTCACAGGTGTTAACCCTCTAAACTTTTGTACTAGAACTCTCTTTCAGCCCACTGATTCCTGGAGAATCCCAAACCAGCACATGCTGCATAGCAAACAATCACATAACCTCACTGATATAAAACAGTAAGCACTTCTTACCACATACAAGTTTACAGGCCAGGTGGCAGTGGTTTTAGTCTTAGTTGGGTCATGTGTCTGTGGTCATTTGTTGGTTAGATAAGCATTTCTGTTGATCTTAACTGGGTTCTTTCACATGTTTGGGGGTTGGTTGGCTGCATGCTGGTCTAAATGGCCTCAGCTGGGACAACTGGCCTTTCCTTCATGTAGTGTTGCATTCTTTAGTTGGCTCATGTTGGCTTGATCACATGGTGGTAGAAGGTATCTGATATGGTTTGGCTCTGTGTCCCACCCAAATCTCGTGTTAAATTGTAATCCCCAATGTTGGGGGAAGGACCTGGTGGGAGGTGATTGGATCATGGGGGCAGATTTCCCCCTTGCTGTTCTCATGATAGTGAGTTCTCATGAGATTTGGTTGTTTGAAAGTGTGTAGCACTTCCCTCTTCATCCATCTCTCTCTCTCTCTGTCTCTCTCTCTTTCTCTCTCTCTATCTCCCTCTCCTGCTGGCCATGTGAAGATATACTTGCTTCCCCTTCACCTTCTGCCATGATTTTAAGTTTCCTGGGGTCTTCCCAGCCATGCTTCCTGCACAGCCTGCAGAACTGTGAGTCAATTAAACCTCTTTTCTTATAAATTATGCAGTCTCAGTAGTTCCTTATAGCAATGTAAGAGAACAGACTAATACATCATCCAAGAGAACAAACTGAAGCAAACAAGGCCTCTTGAGGTCTAGACTTGGAATTCACACACTGTCTTTTCTGCCATATTCTAGTCGGCCAAAGCAAATGCCAGGGCTAGCTTGGCTTCATGGATACAGGGAACCCTGTTTTTTTGTGTTTACTTTTTAGAGTCAGGGTCTCACTCAGCTACCTAGGCTAGAGTGCAGTGGTAAAATCATAGCTCACTGCAGCCTCAAACTCCTGGGCTCAAGTGATCCTCCTGCCTCAGCCTCCTGAGTAGCTGGAATTTGGAACCACTTCTTGATGAAGAAGATGCAAATGTACATTAGAAATGTATAAATAGAGGGAGGCATAAAGATTTTGGAACAGTTTTGCAATAATCTGCCACAGGGAGAATTTCCTAAAGTGGACAGACAGAACTATAGTGGACAAGCAGAAACTATGGACAAACAGCACTGGACAAACAGAAACTATAGCTATCTCAATCTATTATACTGTACTTTTAGCTTTTCCTTTATTTTTATTTTTATTTTTAATATAGGTTCTCAGTCTGTCACCCAGGCTGGAGTGCAGTGGCATAATTAGCTCATTGCAGCCTCCAACTCCTGGGCTCAAGCAGTCAGTCTCCCAACTCAGCCTCCTGAGTAGTTGGGACTACAAGCACATGTCATCAGGCCCAACTAATTTTTTCTTTTTTAAATAGAGATGGGATCTCTCTATGATGCCCAGTCTGGCCTTGAACTCCTGCCCTTAAGCATGAGCCATGGAACCCAGCCTGCTTTTATTTTTTTTGAAATGAAAAATTAAAAGCAAATAGAAAATATGGAGAATAACATAATAACCACTCATGGACTCACTCTTCTACTTTAATATATCTTAAAATTCTGTTACGTGAAGAGCTAAAACTTTGGAGATGCTGTAGTTTTAAAATCCATTGTATATCCCTGTTCTTCCTTCTTATTTCTCCATTGAAGTCTTCAACTGAAAACTTTTAACTCCAGATAGTTACTTTTTAAGTGTAAAGCCTTGCGACTCATGCCTTCTGGTGATTCAGCAAGAGAAAATTGGAATTATATTCATTCAGTCATTAAACAAATATTTATTGTGCTTCTATTTGCTAAACACTGCATCACGTATATATTTATATAGTATATTCTTATTTTTTGTAGTGTTCTATTTGCAGACCATTTTGCTTCATGTAAGATTATATATCTAAAGTGAGAAACCAAGAACATTGTCTTTTAAAATGGGGGCCCTTTTTCAATATCTCTTAAAAAAAATTTTTATACCTTCAAGTTTTGAGGGTGAATCTTGTTTTACTCTTAGGATGTAAATTTTCATTCCAAGTTTCTTATCACTTTCCTTCTATGGGTTTGGCTCTTGTTGTGTCACTTGGGTGGGTAGGATGTTTGAGCATGTTTATTTAGTTACTAGTTGGCCGCACCTTTGGTTTGCTTTCATATAATTACATTGTTCTGGCTTGTAACTTCTATCTGGTTTGTCTTCCTCAATATGATGACTTCAGAGTGCAGTCCTCTCCCTGGTTTGTTTTCTGTGCTTTTGTAGTGAGCTAGTTATATTTTTTTAAAAAACAGCTTTATTGAGATATAATTCATGTACCAAAAATGTATCCCTTATATTTACAAAATTGTGCAACCACCACCACTTCTGATTTTAGGATATTCTGATCACCTCAAAAAGAAACCTTATACCCATTGGCCATCACTCCCCATTCTCCCCTCCCCTGGCAACCACTAACCTACATTTTGTTTCCATAGATTAGCCTATTCTAGACATTTCATATAAACAAGATCATAGGAATCTTTTGTCTCTGGCTTCTTTAACTTGACATAATGTTTTCAAAGTTCATCTTTTTTTTTTTTTTTTTTTTTTTTTTGAGACAGAGTTTCACTCTTGTTGCCCAGGCTGGAGTGCAATGGCGGGATCTCAGCTCACTGCAACCTCCACCTCCCGGGTTCAAGTGATTCTCCTACCTCAGCCTCCTGAGTAGCTGGGATTACAGGCATGCGTCACCGTGCCTGGCTAATTTTTTGTATTTTTAGTAGAGATGGGGTTTCACCATGTTGGCCATGGTTGGCCAGGCAGGTCTGGAACTCCTGACCTCCTGAACTCCTGGCCAGGCAGGTCTGGAACTCCTGATCCACCCGCCACAGCCTCCCAAAGTGCTAGGATTACAGACGTGAGCCACTGTACCCGGCCTAATTGGGTTTTTAAACAACTATTGTTGTTTTTTATATGTTCTGAATATAAGGTCCTTATTAGATATATGATTTGAAAGTATGTTCTCCCCTTCTGTCTTTTCACTTTAATAATCGTGTCCTTTGAAACACGAAAGTTTTAAATTTTGCTAAGTCCAATTTATTTTTTCTTCTGATATTTATGTATTTTGGTATCACATCCAAAAAATTATTTTTTCAACCATGGTCACAGAGATCTAATCCTATGTTTTCTTCGAAGAGTTTTATAGTTCTAGTTCTTACATTTAGGTCTATGATCCATTTTGAGTTAATTTTTGCATATGGAATGAAATAGGGGCTCAAATTCATTCATGTGCATGTGGATATCCAGTTGTAAAGACAATTCCTTCCCTGTTGAATTATGTTGGCACCCTGTCCAAAGTTATATCTTTATTGAAGAACTTACCAAGTTTTGTCTCGTTTTGTGTAAACTGTATAGACCTTCCTCTCTCATTGGAGGACAGGGAACATGTTTTGTTCTTTTGCAATGAGAAGACATATGTGAAAAGCACCTACCATAGGATGTGATCATGGATATTTCTTTCCTTCTTTTGAGTCTCCCCACAGCACCTAGAGTGGTACTTGGCACACAACAGTTACCATAAATGTTTGCTAATTGTAGAGTGGGCTTGGGCATGCACCACCCACCCACCACAAAAATGTGGATTCCCGAAGCTCTAATTGGCTGGGAAACCCAGAACAACTTTCACGCCTTTCCAAATTAAGATTCAATGGCTGGGCTCAGTGGCTCACGCCTGTAATCCAGCGCTTTGGGAGGCTGAGGTGGGTGGATCACGAGGTCAGGAGTTTGAGACCAGCTTGGCCAACATGGTAAAACCCCGTCTCTACTAAAAATACAAAAATTAGCCGGGCGTGGTGGTGCATGCCTGTAATCCCAGCTACTCGGGAGGCTGAGGTAGGAGAATCCCTTGAACCCGGCAGGCGTAGGTTGCAGTGAGCCGATATCGTGCCACTGCACTCCAGCCTCGGCAATAGAGTGACTCTAGTCTCAAAAAAAAAAAAAAAAAAAAAAAATTAAGACTCAATGACAGTAGAAACTGACTCCAATGGCTTAATGAAATGGTACTGTTGGTCAAGGTAGGGATTTTTAAATTATTCATCCTTGAAGGGAAGTGACAAATAAGGTTTCACTTACCAAACATTTAAAACAACCCTAAAGGTCCAGAACCTTTGTTTTATTGTTGTTGGCTTAATTTCCAGTTCTCTAAGTGTCTACTTATTTAATCGCTTATGCAGTAATAAAGTTTTAACTTGTGGATTTGACCTCAATTCCACAGAATCGATTGTGGTTCTTATCTGCTTAAAAGCGGAAAGATTTTCTCAGGCGGCAACAGCCACTATTGAAAAGGCAAAGAAACAGCACTCAGGTGTGGCAGGCAATTCTATTTTCAGTGACCCTTTTCTCCCTTTCTTTTTCTCTCCTACTTGCTGAACATTAGGAGCTCTTGGTAATCTCTCAGAAATAGAGCAAGACGCCAAAGATAAAGGCCTGTTCATCGCACTCAGGAATTTCCTAAGGTTTCATGTCCAGGTAATATTTCTGCCTGCTACTTGGGTATCTTTTGGTGAAATTCCAGAATCTTTTCCTCTCTGTGTGAAAGTAAGTACGTGCACCTACTGAACCTAAGATGTGTATTGTGCAGGTACACACAACTTTGGTTACACGGTTCTTTCCAGCTTTGAAAAACTTTCTTAGGGGTAGCTCACACAGCTAAGTGCTTCAAATTACAGTTTCTGACTCCAGAGCCAGTGGTCTCTCCACTTCCCCTAGTTGCCTCTCTACAAATAATCACGTATGGGTCTCTTTAACACATTTCTTCCTGTTCTTCTAGGAATTGTAGCCATATCCTAGCCCTAAATGAACTGGAATACAGTGAGGCTTGATTTATTATTAAACATTTTTATTAGACTTTTTTTTTTTTTCGAGAAGGACTCTCGCTCTGTTGCCCAGGCTGGAGTGCAGTGGTGCGATCTCCGTTCACTGCAAGCTCTGCCTCCTGGGTTCAGGCCAGTCTCTTGCCTCAGCCTCCCGAGTAGCTGGGACTACAGGCGCCCGCCACCACGCCTGGCTATTTTTTTTTTTTTTTGTATTTTTAGTAAAGACGGGGTTTCACCGTGTTAGCCAGGATGGTCTCGATATCCTGACCTCGTGATCTGCCCGCCTCGACCTCCCAAAGGGCTGGGATTACAGGCATGAGCCACCGCTTCCAGTCTTACTAGACTATTTTTAAGAACAGTTTTAGGTTCACAGCAAAATTGAGCTAAAGGTACAGAGATTTCCCATGTACCCCCTGCTCCCACACATGCATAGCCTCCCCCATTATCAACATCCCCCACCAGAGTGCCACAGTTGCTACAATTGATGAACCCACATTGACACCTCATAATCACCCAAAGTCTATAGTTTACATTGCGGTTCACTCTTGGTTTTGTACATTCTTTGGGCTTGGACAAAGGCATCCGCTATTACAGAATCATACGCATAGTAGTTTCACTGCCCTAAAAATCCTCTGTGCTCCCGCAAGTCTAGGTTTTTAAGGGCGAAAAGAGAGGGAAAGAAAAAAGTGTGCATTGCAGAGGCTCGACCCAACTCCAAGCCAAGTTTGTTCCAAAGTTCAGCAGCTCCCAGCTGTCCCATCTCTCCCAGTTCGGCCCCGGTCGGGTTCCTCCTCTTTTTGTTTAAGTGTCAAACAAATGGGTTTCCTGTTGACACTGGAATATCGTGAAAAGGCAGGAAGAGGCCAGGCCACCTCCTCTTTCCCCTCTTCCTATCCCGTTTATTTATTTTGCACACGTTTGTTTGGGTCGAGCTGGTGTTTCCAGCGTGTGTGGCTGTGGGGCGGCCTTAGGGGCCGATAACCCCTCCCTGAGGAGGCGAGGCCAGCCCCGAACCCGCCCGATCCGCGGTGGAGCTCTACGGGGCGGGGAAGGCAAAGAGGAAGGGGGAAGAGAGCGGGAGTGGGAGTGGGAAAGGCCAGGGATTAAGAGGCCGCCGGGACGCCGCAAGGAGGCGGGGAATCGGCTCGGCCCGCGCCCTGCCGCTGCCCGGCCGGCTGCAGGTGGAGTTCGCGGAGGTGGCCATTTCCACAGCCGCCGCCGACGCCTCCTCTCCGGGAGCCGCCTTCCCCCCGGCCCGAGGGCGGTGGCGTGGGGCGCCGGGTGCAGGCGTTCTGGGGCGCCGGGGCCGCAGCTCGCTGGCCATCCCGCGGCTGCGCCCCGCGCCTCGCCCATGGCTGAGGGCCGGCGGCGGGAGGACGAGGAGGAAGAGCTACGCGAGCGCCGCGAACTTGGTGGCCAGCGCCGCGCCCGGGGCCGTGCGCTCTCGGGCCACTCGGCCGCAGGTGAGAGGCGCGGGGGACGGGGCGGCGGGGACCCAGAGCTGCGCGCTCTGGGGCCGCTCGGGTCCTGCCCCACACAGCGGCAGCTCCTTCACGCGCCGGGATGGGACCGGCTTCTTTAACTCTCAGAGGCCAGACTCGGGGAGGGTGGCATTTCCATCGCCATCCTCACTTTCCGGCCGAGCCCGAGGAAATTCAGACCCGTCTTTAACTGCTAGTGGTCGTACAGCTGAAACTCAAATTTTCCGTGCACACTAAATCCAGGAGCTGCTGGCTTGGGACTTGTGGCCTGGTTGATGACTTATCTCTGGATGAGTCAGAGGTCAATGGCCGTCTCGGTGGACAACGACACCTTCCGAGGGGTTTGCCTGCGCCGCCGCAGCCAGGTCAGAGCACGTGCTCATAACTGAGGCAAGTCCTGTTTCGGCGTCCCTTGCACTTCGGACCTGTGACCCCCCTCCCTCCCTCCCCCAGCCGCCGAGCTCACCAGTTTTCTGTAGGACTTGTTTTCGTTAGTTGTGAGACCCTCCCCCACGCAAAGAGAAGTCCAGAATATAGCATTCCAAAAGGCCATTCATTTGGGCTGAGAATCATTTTCGGGCCTGTAATTACTTTTATGATACTGTGTTTTGGGTACACAAAAGCGGCACGGATCAAATAGTTTGGCACATTAGTGAAAGAGTGAATAAGTGTAGATCCACACCCCTTCCCTCTTCCGGGCGGCTTTTCAATCAAACATAATAGAGAGGACATTCTTTGGCCTTTGGTTCCAACTGGGTAATCCGAGTTATCTGAAAACAAGAGGGAAGAACAAACCTAGGGGGACTGGCAACAAAAGGGAGATAGGGAAGTGAGAGAGTCGGAGGAGAACGATTCACTGAGAGCCTCATTATAAAGTGGAATATAGCGAATATTCCATGAAGTGGAGAAGCTTTTCTGTGTGACTCCCTTAACCACTAAGAGAAAGTTGGAAAAATAGAGAAGATATTGTATCTGTGCGGAACAAATGGAGGGTAGAAAGTAGGATGAAAGGAAAACTTGAGAAGAACATCTTGAAGAAATAGTCAATTTAATGCCTTTGGTAGAATCTTGGAACATAAAAATAATTCTCCATGCTCATTATTACAACTTTTCATCAAAATAAGGCATTTGGCTGTCTATATGAACACCAGTTTTGAACATAATTGGTAATTTTGTTCAGTGTAAACCCAAACCTTGTGAAATAATGAATAGTTGCTGGATATAAGTGAATATTTCTTGCAAGAGTACAATGAAAAAACTTTACAAAGATATACCGCCATGCCTGACCTATGGATTTAAACAGGGTAGGCCACCTTAGATTCCTGTTACCTTCAGCAGAAAGCTTCATTCTCACAAGAGACTGTACAGTGAAGACCTGTTTTGGAGTTCAGACTAGATGTGATCCAGATGTGTGTTTATCATTTAGTTGCAATATGTGTATTTATTCCAAAGCTGGTGGAAATGACATTTTGTAATTAGTTTTCACCAGTTCCCTAATTTCTCAAGGTTGACAAAGGCTTTTCTAGGTTCTTTGATAATATTTTGCTGAGACATGACATTGTGTACTTTTTGCATTCAGTAATTGGTGTTTGTAGTTTTCTAACCATTTATATGCCCTTTTTCCATTAAAGGGTGTGAGGACGATGTAATGGAATGAGTAAGAGGGTTAAACTTGCGATTTTTGGATTTATTTCTTTTAGAAGAAATTATTTAATAGTTTACATTTCTTTACAAGCTGAGCTCCACTTTCCCCTTATTAGTTAACATGTTTTTCAGACACTAACACATTCCTTACCAAGCTTGGGCATTTGTTAGTTATGTCTGTGCTAGATGTTGCTCTCCTCCAAGTGAGAGGGTATGAACTGACGCAGAAGCTTCATGTTTTTTCTGCATCACCTTTTCAGTTTTTCACTTTTCCTGTTCTCAGTGCTCCCTCCTTCCCTTATCATTTTACAATCTAAAGAGTTTCCTTTTCTCTGATTTCACCTAGCTTGATAACCATAAACCTGGGGTTTATGGACTTAAGGTAGTCTGTGAACTCTTCCTTCTCTCCCTGATAAATTTTGGAGTGGTTGTGTAAGTGCATTTATTTATTTTTGTAACTTACATACAGAAGAACATATGAAATTTGTAAATTATAAAGTAAAAACTCTTGTAACTCATGCTCAAGTCAAGAAATAGGATATAGTCAGTTCCTTAGAAATGGATTCCCATCCCTCCTAGACTTAGCCTCCTCTCTCCCCTAGATGTAACCATTTTTTTAACCTTTGTGGTTATTATTTCCTTTTCATTCTGTACAGTTTTACCATACACATATGCATCTCTATAAAATATTGTTTAGTTTTACCTTTTTAAGATCATTTAAGTGGAATTGTCCTGTATTTTATCAACCCAGCAGAAAGCAAGTAATGACTTGAGATTATGAAATGTCTGGAATGAGTTCTTTTCATTCAAAGGCCAAGAGCCCCAGGCAGGTTCTGAGCACAGGACAGTCCTTGTAGGGCATCCTTAGGAAATAAATGTGTGTGTGTTTTTAAAATGATGTTAAGAAAATTGGGTTTGATTAATCACAGTTTTATTTTACAACAAAGGATGATAGTTGATCTGGTGCCCAACTTCTTTATAAAATGTATTTATGTTTCCCAGCTTTTAAAGTAATAAAATATCTTCAGCATGATTCTAAAATAAATAAAAAGCTCAGTTGAATTTTTTTTTTTTTTTTGGCAGAATTATAGGCAATCAAGTACTGAGGTCAATTCAGGAAAGGTTTTTTTTTTTTTTTTTTTTTTTTAGGCAGAGTCTTGCTCTGTCGCCCAGGCTGGAGTCTAGTGGCGTGGTCATGGCTCACTGCAACCTTCACCTCCCAGGTTCAAGTGATTCTCATGCCTCAGCCTACAGAGTGGCTGGGATTACAAGTGTGCACCACCATGCCTGGCTAATTTTTCTATTTTTAGTGGAGACGGGGTTTCACCATGTTGGCCAGGGTGATCTCGAACTCCTCCCACCTCAGCCTCCCAAAGTGCTGGAATTACAGGTGTGAGCCACTGCACCTGGCCAGTGAGGGTTAATTCTGTAGTAGCTCATGATGCATGAGATTAATAAGCAGTTATAGGAAAGTAAATGGGGAGCAGAGAGTATTCCATTGTTTGGGTTTCATGTGCTGAGGCTAAGGTGTCGTAAATCTGGCACTATGTGAAATATTTACTGTTGATGGTGGTATCCAAGATCCTTAATTGCCTGACCTGACAGAGAGTGGTAATATGAAAGCTAGACACAACACCTGAATTCTTGGGGGTGTCTCACTAATCCACCAAATGCCCATTACAAACAAGGAAGAGAGGATGTGGGTACACTAATCCAGTGGTTCTCAAACTTTTGCCACATGTATCTGAATTGCCTGAAGGCCTTGTACACGCTCAGTATCTGATCACTTGGTCTGGGATAGGGCCTGATAATTTTCATTTTTGACACATTCCCAGATAACATTTATGTTGCTGGTTCAAAAGGATGATGCACTTTGCAAACTCCATGTAATTAAGAGAGAAATCACACCCCAACACAGATTGTTAAATTCTAAGAAATAGTTCCTTTGGCTAATTTGTCCTTTTTAGTAGATCAGATGAAAACCCATGAGATAAACATGGAGATTTCCACAGGCTAACTTATAGGACTTAGTTTCCATTGTGGGTTTTCTCGGTAGCTTAAAGGATTTCATGGTTGATTTATACAGCCTGGCATTTATGATCAACTTCATTTTTGTTTCTTGGTTTTTTTCTTTCTGTTATTGATTGCATATTCTTCATCTCTATCTGCACAACTGAGATTGGTGTGTTAGTGCCACTGTGTTAGTGTTAGTTAGTGCTAGCCAAGGGCAAGAAGTGGAGGGTGGGGGGAATAGGCGGACGAGATTGGGTGACCAACTCTTCCCAGTTTCCCAGGACTTTTCCAGCTTTTAAAACTGAAAGTCCCCCATTCATGGAAACTCCTCAGTCCCAGGCAAATCAAGGATAGTCACCCTAGAGGAAGGATAGCTTGGGTGGGGGAAGAAGGGAGGATAAAGGCTACTGATAATGTTATTTATACTAACATCCCTGCTTTAGTCCAGGTGCTTTTTTCACTCAACATTAAGTTTGTAAGATTTATTTGTATTGTTACATGTAGCTGTGGGTTTTTGTTTGTTTTGAGACAGAGTCTTGCTCTGTTGCCCAGGCTGGAGTGCTGTGGTGTAATCTCAGCACACTGCAACCTCTGCCTCCCAGATTCAAGTGATTTCTCCTGCCTCAGCCTCCCAAGTAGATGGGACTACAGGTGCATGCCACCATGCCCAGCTAATTTTTGTATTTTTAGTAGAGGCGGGGTTTTGCCATGTTGCCCAGGCTGGTCTTGAACTCCTGACCTCAGGTGACCCGCCTGCCTTGGCCTCCCAAAGTGCTGGAATTACAGGCGTGAGCCACTGTGCCCGGTTCTGTTTTTTTTGTTTGTTTGTTTTCATTGTATAAATATATACCACAGCATTTTGCCTATTATTTTTTATTGATTTATTGGAGTTCTTTGTTTACCCAGGAATCTCAACTTTTGTTGGTTATGTGTGTTACAAATATCTTCTTCCACCTCCACTCTGGCTTACTTTTTCATTTTCTCTATGGTTTCTTTCGATGTGGAAATTCTTCATTTCAGTATAGATGAATTTATGAATCTTTTCCTTTATAATTTGTGTCTCTTCCCCCCTCACCCCCTTTAAGAACATGATTTCTATCCAAGGTCATGAAAATATTCTCCTATATTTCCTTTATTGTCCCCTAAAAGCTTTGTAGCTTTCCTTGGGGAGAAATGCCATAGCTTTCATCAGATTCTCAAACAGATTTGAGAATCTCTGCCTGACATACAACATTTTAATATTATTTCTCCAAAGGGAGGATATACAAGATTCTGGATCCTCCTCCCAACATCTGGAAGAGTAGTAGGCACATAATAGGGCTTACTAAATGCTAACTAAATTTACTCTTTCTATATTTTGATGTGTTTATGGTAAACCCTGGAAGGACTGATATAACTGTTGTCTGTTGTGCTTTGAGTAAAATAACTTTAATATCATCAGTATGAGGGCACAGAAGAACATTCACTGTGTTCACGGTGTACCAGGTGCTTCTTTATGTTATCACCTGTGAGGTAGGTATTATTTTCTTCATTTTATCATTGAAAAGACTGAGGCTCACAAACATTTAAGCAACTTATCCACAGTCCCTCAGCTAGTAAATACTGGAATGGTGATTTGAATGCAGGTTTTTTTTGAAGTGGAAGTCCATGTTTTTCCAGGTGATCACACTGACTGCTCATATAAGTCAGTTACTATTGATGCTCCACGCATTTATACCTGTATGCTGCTTGCTGTATTCTAGAAGTACTTTACATTTATGTGGTGCTTTTCTATTTATGAAGGGCTTTCACAACTGCATTCATTTGGATTCTTACAACAAACTGAGAGGGAAGAGGGTAAGTTTTTTGTTCCCATTTTAAAGATGAGTAAACTGAGACTCAGAAATGTTAGAAGGTTTTATCTAAAATTACACAACTAGGTATAGCTGAACCTCAGTCACCTCTATTGTGTGTTGCAAGTTGTAGAGGTTTTTTTAGTTGATTCATATAAGATGTCAGGTCATATCCTCTCAGAGTCTGTGGCTTTGTCTACTAAGTTAGATAGTTTTGAAAACTGCATTAGTTCTCTGGACCACCAGCTTACTGTTTTTTGTTATTAGAATTCCAAAGTTGTCTAATTTATTTTGAGAAAGTTATTTTAAGTTCCATGGAAACTATGAGTAGATTTACATGTTGTTTAAAAATCCTGTACTCATCACATTGTTTAAGAAGACCTGGGCCAGGTACAGTGGCTTACGCCTGTAATCCCAGCACTTTGGGAGGCCAATGCGGGTGGACTACCTGAGGTCAGGAGTTCGAGACCAGCCTGGCCAACATGATGATACCCCATATCTACCAAAAATACAAAAAATTAGCCAGATGTGGTGGTGGGCACCTGTAATCCCAGCTACTCGGGAGCCTGAGGCAGGAGAATCGCTTGCTAGGGAGGTGGATGTTGCAGTGAACTGAGATCACACCACTGCACTCCAGCCTGGACAACAAGAGTGAAACTCTGTCTCAAAAAGAAATAAAAGACCTGTCTAGTTATCCCCATCAATATAATGTATGCAAAATGGTGCCTAAAATACTGGCAATACAAAGAGATATATAAAATAGGCTCCCTGCTTTTAAAGACTATGCCATAGAATTAGGGAAGGTAAGACTGTTACACTTTAAAGAAGATAATTAAGAATATAAAGAATATAAAGTAGTCCATGGTGGGTATCAGTTTGACATGAGAGAATCAGACTGTCTTGGTTCATTTTTTGGCTGACCACTGGCTGTGTGACCTTGGACAAGTTACGTAACCTCTCTGCTTCTATTCTTTATTTATATTTCTAAATTTGAATAATAGTAAATCCTATTGCATTGGGTTTGAAGACTAAATGAGTTAATGTATATAATGTCCTTAGAACATGGCCAAGCCCATAGTAAATACCTATAAAATTATTAGCACTTATTTTATGTCTCCTTTTTCTTATTATTGATAAAATATTTCACAGTTGAGTCTGCATTTTCTTCACTTGGGAATAGTTATGAATTCATGTTGTCAGAGGAAAAAGAAGGTAAATCTGCAGTGTCATCATTTAATAATCAAATGTAGTTGCTTTTCTTTGGCATTCATGTATCTCTTGGAAATATCTTAATTCTAGAGGACTCCCAAAGACTGAGGCTAGTTCTTCCTTTGGTATTTCTTAAGCCATATGAATTACTTTAACATGGCCTGGTAATAATGCTCAGCTTTTCTTTTCTTTTTCTTTCTTTCTTTTTTTTTTTTTTTTTTTTTGAGTCAGAGTCTCACTCTGTCGCCTAGGCTGGAGTGCAGTGGCGCGATCTTGGCTCACTGCAACCTCTGCCTCCCAGGTTCAAGCAATTCTCCTGCCTCGGCCTCCCAAGGAGCTAGGACTACAGGCACGTGCCACCATGCCCGGCTAATTTTTTTTTTGTATTTTTATTAGAGACAGGGTTTCACCATATTGGCCAGGTTGGTCTTGAACTCCTGACCTCGTGACCTGCCCACCTCAGCCTCCCAAAGTGCTGGGATTACAGGCATGAGCCACTGCACCCGGCCTATCTTTTATTTTCTTTTTTTTTTTAAGAAACAGCCTCGCTCTGTTGCCCAGGCTGGAGTGCAGTGGCACAATCTCAGCTCACTACAACCTCCACCTCCCAGGTTCAAGCGATTCTCCTGCGTCAGCCTCCCAAGTAGTCTCATCCTCCCAAGTAGCTGGGATTACAGGTGCCTGCGACCACGTTGGCTGATTTTTGTATTGTTAGTAGAGACAGGGTTTTGCAGAGTTGGCCTGGCTGGTCTCGAACTCCTGACCTCAGGTGATGTGCCTGCCTCGGCTTCCCATAGTGCTGGGATTATAGGTGTGAGCCACTGTGCCCAGCCAACGTTCAGCTTTTCTTTATTGTCCACTGAAAGCTCATTATTGTGACATAAGCAATTATGTTCAAAGTGATCTCAGCAAATCAGAGGTGAGTTGATCAGCCTATGACCTATTTTTAACCAGAGTGCATCCCTTCGTTCTGTTTTCTTTCCCTCTCTCACACTAGTCATCCAGCAGTTCTATAACTTCACTGGCATATTATATTCTGAGGACAGCATATT
Source organism: Homo sapiens (assembly GCF_000001405.40). NCBI lineage: Eukaryota > Metazoa > Chordata > Mammalia > Primates > Hominidae > Homo > Homo sapiens. The sequence continues at coordinate 254,203 of NW_025791772.1, read as the reverse complement.
CACTGTTTTCCCTTAGGTCATTTCAGCTTTTCATCCAATGGTGCTTAGAGACTAATCCTTTGAACACTTGGTTCTAATCCCATCTGTCAATTAGCTTTGTAGCATCCAGCAATTTATAGCATCTTTCTGGGCCTTAGCTTTTGGTGTATTAATTGAAAGGATGAGGCTTCCAACTTTACATTTTATGATATTAGGAGATGAGCAGAAAAATAACTTCCGACATAGTTTACAGCAGTTTGCCCATGTACTAAGTTAGATCTTGGAGAGTTTCTCCCAGGCTCCTTGTGAACTGCTCCACTGGTGTGGGAGAAGCCAAAGGGGCAAAGCTCAAGACGGTGTCTCCCTGGTGAGGGCAGTTACATTGGCATAAGTTGTCTAGCATAACTTGTCATGCCGACCCCTTTTCAAGATAGCAGCTTCATTCACTGATAATGTGGCAGTGTTCCCCTTCATCAGTGGAAGACATGGGATGTGTTCTAGGGGAATTTATAGTACTTGACATGTATGAGGGAAATTCTACTATCAATTAAGTACAAGAGGAAAATACGTGTCAGGTAGTTTCAGGGCATAGGGCAGGGTAAAGGTTGAGGAGGAAGCTTGGATAGCTTGACACAGGGCAGGAAGGAGAAGGCTCTGGCAGAGGCCTGGCCCCCTTGTTTAGAAGCAGCTGGAACGAGTCCTTGCTCCTCAGCAGCTGTTGGCCTCACCTTCAGGAACTGTAAGCTTGTCCTTGTGGTGGGGATGGGCTCATGGGGGTGAGGGTAGGAGCTGTGGACCATTATTTTCCTTTTTTTTCTTTTTAAAAATAAAATTTGTTCCAAGTTATACCAAGGGAAAAAAAATTTGTTCCAAGTTATACCAAGGGAAAAAAAATGAATTAAGAAAAAAATAAAAAAATTAAATGTTTTTTAGAATATTTTTTGAGTAACAGAAAAATTGTGAAGATAGTACAAAGAGCTCCCATATACCCCACACCCTGATTATTAGCATCTTAGTATGGTAGATTCATCACAATTAATGAACTAATATTGATGTATGATTAAACTCCATGCTTGATTCAGATTTCCTTAGTTTTTGCTTAGTGTCCTTTTTTGTGTTGCAGTATTCCGTATAGGAGACTGTATTACATTTAGTTGTCATATCTCCTGAGGCTCCCCTTGGCTATGACAGTTTCTTAGATTTTCCTTGTTTTTGATGACCCTGACGGTTTTGAAGAGTACTGGTCACATTTTTGTATGTTGTTCCCCTGTTGAGATTTGTCTGATGTTTTTCTCATGATCAAACTGGCTTACGGGTGTTTGAGAGGAAGATCACAGAGGTAAAGTGCCATTTTTATCACAATTCAAGGGTATATATTATTATCATGACTTTTCTACTGACCTTGATTACCTGGCAGAGGTAGTGCTTGTGAAGTTTCTCTGCTTGAAAGTTACTCTTTTTGGCATTGGCGTCCACTCTCCCTCCCCAACTGCAAGACCCCATTGCAGTAGTCCTTCAAAAGAAATTTTTTTAAAAAGTTAAGCCTTTTTCCTCTCTTTCCATACTGTAGAAAGTGAAGGAAGTCACTATGAAGTAAGAGTTATGCTACACTTAAGGAGTAAAGAATTATGCTATACCTCTTTAAGGGTAAAGTATCTACATACTTTTTTAGAAATTATTTTGCATGAAAGAGACCTTTTTTTTTGTAGAAATGGGGTCTTGCTGTGTTGTTCAGGCTGTACTCAGACTCCTGGGCTCGAGGGATCTTCTTGCCTCTGCCTCCCAAGTAGATGGGATTGCAGCCACACACCACTGCACCAGCCTAAATTCTTTAATACTCCCTTAGTTTGTTTGGTCTCTCCAAAGATCTGATTAGGATTGTCTCTAGGCCCCACCTGTTGGAGAATGTAAGCTCAATTTCTCCATCCTAATTCTGTCCAAAATATCTGATCTGTATGGATGTCTGGGAGATAATTTCATTGTATAATTAGAAAGGAAAGGCATGAAATACATTTGTCTGATTGAGGTGACCTATGACTAAGACTCATTTACACTAGAGTCCTCTGTCAGCAGGTACAAATGACTAATATAAATTCCTTTCCAATTTTGGAAATGGAGGGGAAGTTAGAGTAGGAAAGGAATTTGGAAAGCACTGGGCTAAGATAATCAAATAACAAGTTAATATTTATTGTGCACTGGGTGCCGAGACAATTCCAGTTGTTTTCAGTGTGTTTTTCTCATTTAGTCCTGGTACCAATCCTATGCAGTAGGTGTGATTGTTTCCTTCATTTAACAGATGAGGAACCTGAGGCCTAGAAAGGGTGAATAATCTCCTCAAGGTCACACAGCAAGGGAGTGACAGAATAGGATTCTGTAGCATGGACTCCTGGTTGCCTCCTTTTTTCCTCATTTCCTCCTTTTTTGGTGAATGGAATCCCTGTATTTCTGGATGTGGCAATGTACCCACCTATGAAGCTACTTCTTCCAGCCTGTTAATGAGATACAAGTAAAAGTTGTTGAATGGGGTTGCCAGGAAAGTTCTTTAAAGGGGGTTCACTCAACTGCACAGAATACCCTTTTCCCCTTACCATCTTCCTCCCACCTCCTGCCAGGAACAAGGCTGTGTAGCTCACAGTAGCCACCCTGGGCCATGAGGTTACTTTGAGGTTGGAACCGAAGCACTGAGAATAGTGGAGCAGAAAAATAGATGGCCCTGCAGTCCCTGCTGATTAGATAGAGTCACCACATGGGTTTTGATTGCCTGCCTCCTCCTTTACTTAGAAGGAAGGAATAAGAAACTCTACCTTGTTTAAGCCACTGTTATCATAGGCCTCAGCTGGCAGCTGAAGGCAGTTCCTAACTGATAGATTCTAACTTGATCTTATTGTTTCCTTCCTCTTACCACCAAGCTGTAATACATTTTGTTATAAGATACCTAGATTCTTGTTGCTATTTTGTACTTTACTGTAGTGTGACCTTGGACATGTTAGTTAGGTTTTATGAGGCCCCCACTCCACCGTTTTTTTACATCTTTGGAATAGGAATTATTCATGCCCTAACTACTCTGCAGGCTCATTATGGGGAACATGCTTGTAAACTTCAAGTGTTCATGTGTGATGTGTAGTTTTTGAAGTGGTTGTGGCCATCCTTGGGCAAGTGGAAGGGTACCAAAATGGAAGCCTTTAGAATCTGAATATAGTTTTCTGGTTTTGTTATTTTGCCTAGTGCCAACTTCATTCAGAATAAATAAATAGAAGCTGTGAAGGGAGGTGATGTTGTCCCTGCTCTGATGCATTTGAGTAGATTAACAATTGCATTGCTGATGAGCCCTAGAATGCATGCCAGGGCTGCTGCATGGGACTGAGAGTTCATTTGTTTTCAATATGGCTGCCTTCATTATACTGGAGCTTTGTTTCCAGAAGATACGTTAATCAAGGAATCATTATACTGGATGATAGTTAACTGCTTTTTCTCTGAGAGCTGGCCAAGAACAAAGGGCTCAGAAGAAAATGTTTGTACAAGATGTGGAGAATTAGTTTTTCTGGCAATAAATGTCACTATTTCCAAATAGTCCTTTGAAACTAGTGTAGAGGTGTTCACATAACACTCGAAGGCCCCCAGCATATCACCCATGTAAATGATCCTGTCTTATCTTGCTACCACACCCTTTGTTTCTTCATTCCTTCACAAAGATTCCCCTCAACATATAGGCTAGCTCAGTGGAGACTACTGGAGCTACCTGGAGATTACAAGGTAGATTGGTTACTCTCAGTGAAAGTGTAACTATTGCCAGTGGAGGGTGCGTCTGGAAGTGGGATTCATTTGGAATAAGGAATGTTATTGTAGGTTTTAAAATGTGCACAGCCTGGGCAACAAAGCAAGACCCCGACTTTATAAAAAATAAAATACGTTAGGTGGGCGCAGTGGTGTGTGCCTGTAGTCCCAGCTACTCAGGAGAGTGAGGGAGGAGGATCGCTTGAGCCCAGGTGTTTGAGGCTGCAGTGAGTCATGATTGCACCACTGCACTCCAGCCTGGGTGACAGAGTGAGACCTTATCTCTAAAATAAATAAATAAATAAATAAATAAATACATAAAATATGCAGACTTCTATTTGAATATTACTCTTAATTAGATGCTTAATAATGTGACATTCCTTTATATCACAAGTAACTTTTTATCTCTCACCTTGTTCCTTTCGTATTTCTCCTTCATGGAAAGTTTCATGAGGTATTCAACTTTATAACGTGGTTTGGTATTTCTTACACCTCTGTAGCAATGGGAACTCTAAAGAGTGCTTCTCAGACTTTGTTCTGCCTACAGATCACCTGGAGATCTTGTTCAAATGCAGATATGATGTAGTAGGTTTTGGGTAGAGCTGCAACTCTGCATTTTTTTTTTTTTTTTTGAGACAGAGTCTCGCTCATTGCCCAGGCTGGAGTACAGTGACATGATCCCGGCTCAGTGCAACCTCCCCCTCCCAGGGTCAAGTGATTCCCATACCTCAGCCTCCCAAGTAGCTGGGATTACAGGCACTCACCACCACACCCGGCTAATTTATTTATTTATTTATTTTATTTATTTTTTTTTTTTTTGAGATGGAGTCTTGCTCTGTCACCCAGGCTGGAGTGCAGTGGTGCAATCTTGGCTCACTGCAACCTTCGCCTCCCGGGTTCACACCATTCTCCTGCCTCAGCCTCCCCAGTAGCTGGGACTACAGGTGCCCACCACCAGGCCCAGCTAATATTTTTGTATTTTTAGTAGAGACGGGGTTCTTCCATGTTGGCCAGGCTGATCTCAAACTCCTGACCTGATGTGATCTGCCTACCTGGGCCTCCCAAAGTGCCGTGATTACAGGTGTGAGCCACCATGCCTGGCCGACTCTGCATTTCTAACAAGGTCCTGGTGATGCCACTGCTGGTGGTCCCTGGGCCACATTTTGAGCAACAAGGCCCTCAGTTATCTCTACTGTAGGGCCAGGCTTCTCAACTCTTGGCAGGACATCAGAATCAACTTTGAAACTTTAAAGAAAACATGTGCTCATGACCCCACCCTCAGATTTCCAGATTCATTACTTCCGGAATAGTTGCTGAGGAACTGGATTTTTAAAGTTGTATGTAAGGTGAGAATCACTGCCTTAGTATCCTATTTAAAAATATGATGTTGATTGGTTTCAGTGTGATTTCTTATAATTTGAACTGTTATGTTTTTCCATCTTAAGTAATTCATGTTGTGATAACTTTTATTCAAACAGAATAAACAGAATCCATCATGCATTTTTCTTTTTTCCCCCTTTTTCAGCTTTGTGGAGGTATAATTCACTAATGAAAATTGAATATATTCAAGATGTACAACATGATGTTTTTATATATGTATACATTGTGAAATAATTACCACAATCAAGCTAATTAAAGGATCCATCACCTCACATAGCTACCTTTTTTTTTGTTTCTTATAGTGAGAATACTTAAGTTCTCTCAGCAAATTTCAAATATAATACATTATTATTAATTATAGTCACCATGCGATATACTTGGTCTCCAGAACTTATTCATCTTATGACTAAAAGTTTAGACCTTTGAATAATACCTCCCCATTTCCCCTACCCTCACAACTCCTGGTAACCACCCTTCTGCTCTCTGGTTCTTTTATTTTTGAGACAGGGTCTCACTCTGTTGCCCAGGCCATAATGCAGTGGTGCAATCACGGCTCACTGAAGCCTTGACCTCCCGGGCTCAAATGGTCTTCCCACCTCAGCCTCCTGAGTAGCTGAGACTGCAGGGACATGCCCTGCTAATTTTTTCTTTTAAAAAATTTTTTGTAGAGATAGGGTCTTGCTCTTTTGCCCAGGCTGGCCTCAAATTCCTGGTCCCAAGTGATCCTCCCACTTTGGCCTCCCAAAGTGCTGAGATTACAGGCGTGAGGCACTATGCCCAGCCTATTCTCTGCTTCCATGAGTTTGACTTTTTTAGATTCCACATACAAGTGAGATCACACAGTATTAGTCTTTCTGTGTCTGGCTTATTTCACTTAGCATAATGTCCTCCAGGTTCATCCATGTGGTCGCAAGTGGCAGGATTTCCTCCTTCTTTTTTTTCTCTAAACAGGGTCTTGCTGTGTCACCCAGGCTGGAGTGCAGTGGCATGATCATGGCTCACTGCATCCTTGACCTCCTGGGCTCAAGTGATCCTACTTTCTCAGCATCTCAAGAAGCTGGGACTACAGGTGCTCACCACCATGCCAAGCTAATTATTATTATAATAATTTTTTGTAGAGATGCAGTCTCACTGTGTTGCCCAGGCTGGATTTCCTTCTTTTTAAAGGCTGAATAAAATTCCACTGTGTGTGTATACATATATACATGTATATATGTATACATACATATATATCTCCCTATCTCAAAGAGATATCTGCACTCCCATGTTCACTGCAGCATTATTCACAATAGCCAAGATACATAAGCAACCTAAGTGTATACATATATAATATGTATACACACACACCACATTTTGTTTATCCGTTCATTCGTCATCAGACTTAGGTTGTTTATGTATCTTGGCTATTGTGAATAATGCTGCAGTGAACATGGGAGTGCAGATATCTCTTTGAGATAGGGATTTATTGGCCAGGCATGGTGAATCATACCTGTAATCCCAGCACTTTTGGGAGGCCGAGGTGGGTGGATCGCTTAAGGTCAGGAGTTCGAGACCAGCCTGGTCAACATGGTGAAACCCCGTCTCTACTAAAAATACAAAAATTAGCCAGGTGTTGTGGTGTGCACCTGTAGTCCCAGCTACTCAGCAGGCCAAGGCATGAGAATCACTTGAACCCGGGAGGTGGAGGTTGCAGTGAGCCGAGATCCTACCACTGCACTCCAGCCTGGGCAACAGAGCAAGAGTCTAAAAAAAAAAAAAAGAGAGAGAGAGAGTGATTTATTTCCTTTGGATATATACCCAGAAGTGGCATGGCTGAATGGTAGTTCTATTTTTAATTTTTTTGAGGAACCTCTGTACTGTTTTCCATAATGGCTATACCAGTGCACCGATCAACAACATACAAGAGTTTCCTTTTCTTCACATCCTTGCCAACACATATCTTTTGATTTTTTTTTCTTTGTTTGGTGCAACAGGGTCTTGCTGTGTTGTCCAGGCTGGAGTGTGGTGGTGTGATCATAGCTCACTGCAGCCTTAAACCACTAGGCTCAAGCAATCCTCTTGCTTCAGCCTCCCGAGTAGCTGGGACTACAGGTGTGCACCACCAGTAATTTTTTTTTTTTTTTTTTTTTGTAAAGACAGAGTTTCGCTGTGTTAACCAGGCTGGTCTCAAACTCCTGGCCTCAAGTTATCCTCCTGCCTCAGGCTCCCAAAGTGCTGGGATTACAGGCGTGAGCCACCATGCTCAACTGACTTTCTTTTTGAGACAGGGTCTTAGTTATCCTCCTGCCTCAGCCTCCCAAAGTGCTGGGATTACAGGCATGAGCCACCATGCTCAGCTGACTTTCTTTTTGAGACAGGGTCTTGCTATGTCACCCAGGCTGGAGGGCAGCGGTGTCATCTCTGCTCACTATAGCCTTGACCTCCCGGGCTCAAGAAATCCTCCCACCTCAGCCTTCCAGGTAGCTGGGACTACAAGTATGTGCCACCATACCCAGCCAATTTTTAAATTTTTTGTAGAGACTGGGTCTCAATGTGTTGCCCAGGCTGGCCTAGAACTTCTGGACTCAAGTGATCCTCCTGCCTTGGCCTCCCAAAGTGCTGGGATTACAGGAGTGAGCTGTCATGCCCAGCCTCTGGCTGACTTTTTGATAATACCCATCCTAGCAGATGTGAGATGGTATCTAATTGTGGTTTTGATTTACATTTCCCTGATGGTTAGTAATGAGTACCTTTTCGTGTACCCATTGGGTGTTTGTATACCTTCTTTGAAAAAACATCTATTCATCTTTTGCCCATTTTAAAATCTGGGGTTTCTTTTGCTATTAATACGAGTTCCTAATATATTTTGGATATTAACCCCTTATCAGATATATGGTTTGCAAATATTTTTTCCTGTTCCATGGGTTTCCTTTTATTTTTTCCTTTGCTTTGCAGAAACTTTTTAGTCCCGCCATGAATTTTATACATGGATTTTAGTCAACTCCTGTATCGTTTTATAGTCTAAGTAGGCTCCACATAAAGAACAGTGTGGTGAGTTATCATTGAAGTAACTGGAAAGCACTGTATGTGTTCATTATGTTCTTTCAGCTTGCAAGAAATGGGCATGCTCACCTTAGCTGATGGAGGCTTATTGGAAGGATATACATGTAAGTTGAAAGACATGGAAAATATCTCTGGGCCCGGTGGCTCACGCCTGTTATCCCAGTACTTTGGGACACCAAGGCGGGTGAATCACTTGAGGTCAGGAGTTCAAGACGAGCCTGGCCAACATGGCGAAACCCCATCTCTACTAAAAATACAAAAATTAGTTGGGCATGGTGGTGTGCACCTGTAATCCCAGCTACTCGGGAGGGTGGAGCATGAGAATTGTTGAACCCAGGAGGTGGGGGCTGCAGTAAGCCAAGATTGCGCCACCGCACTCTAGTCCCGGTGGGTGACAGAGCAAGACGTCTAAAAAAATAAAAGAAAAAAGAAAGACGCAGGAAGCAGTTTCAGAAGGTATTTGAAAATGAGAGTAACTCTAAAAAACTGATAGCAAATAGCTACTCTGGAGAACATTTTTTAATAAGTTGGAATGACTTTGTTGCTCCTTATGGTTAGTGACACTACAGTTTATTGATGTCTGCTTCCATGGCTTCTAAGGTACTAAATAATTGGCTGTCTTTTGTTTTTCTCACAGTCAGCCTCCCCAAGAAAGAGGCTCTAAGTAGGTTGGTCAGCCACAATTCTGCACAGGATGGCCTTTTGCAGCAGGGTTCTTATGCCCATTTACCTTGGAGGTGTATGGCAAACCCATAGAGAGCTGCCTTTTCAAACCCATCCCAGGTCCCTTTGGGGCAAGATGGCAGAGTCTTGTGGTACCCACATGGCTCACCTAGAAATGCCTGCAATTGCTTTTGTCTGATGGGACCTAGGGCCTGTGGGGGGTACCTTAAGGTTTCTCAGAATGGAAAGAGGGTAAAGTTGGTAGGCTCCAGGAATAAACTGACCACTCTGACTTTCAGCAATGTGAGATTCCTGAGGGAAGAGGCTTACTTTGTTCATATCCCTCATAACTCAGAACAGTGCTTGACACATGTGCTCAGTACATAGCTGTCAAATAGGACAGTCTTGAGTTTTTTAAAAGATGTTTTAGGCTGGGCATGGTGGCTCATGCTTGTAATCCCAGCACTTTGGGAGGCCGAGGTGGGTGGATCACTTGAGGTCAGGAGTTCAAGACCAGCCTGGCCAACATGGTGAAACCCCATCTCTACTAAAAATACAAAAATTAGCTGGGTGTGGTGGCCCGTGCCTGTAATCCCAGCTATTCGGGAGGCTGAGGCAGGAAAATCACTTGAACCCGGGAGGTGGAGGTTGCAGTGAGATCGCACCATTGCACTCCAGCCTGGGCAGTAACAGCAAAACACTGTCTGAAAAAATAATAATAAAATAAATAAAGATGGTTTAACGTAGTCTTTATTTTTAGTTCGATTACATTTCATTCTAACTGGAACTCTTATGTACACAAGGTTGGAAGGCAAATCCCTCTTCTGCTCATGGCTCACCCTGTGGAGGGGAAACCACGCATGCTAATATGCAAAACTTCACGTTTTCCTGTTTCTTTGTTAGTCCTGAGCGCTTTAGATGTTTGCCGTTTGGTGTCAATACAACTGACCCAGGCTTTGAGCTGCTGCACAGTTCATGGATGTCAAATCCAGGCCCAAAGGCCTTCCCAACTATCCTCAGAGACAGCAAAGGGGCCTCGCAAGGCCTCAAACTCCTGAACGTGATGCCCTTTGTCAGGCCCTGCGGGCACACACCTGCCTGACGGGTCTAGCACCAGGAACTCTGGGAAGGCAGAGCCTAAGGGTTGGCGCCCAGACGCGAGTGGCTTTTTGGGCTCACGAGGGCTGCGCCACCTTGGGTCCTGATTAATTTGGCTTTTGAAGCTTAAATGTAGATTTGGATATTTGGCCAAAGAAGGCTCATGTTGTTCAGGTAAGAAGGGAGACACTAAAAAGATAGAAGTCATCATTAGGGGCCGGGCGCAGTGGCTCACGCCTGTAATCCCAGCACTTTGGGAGGCCGAGGCGGGCGGATCACGAGGTCAGGAGATCGAGACCATCCCGGCTAAAACGGTGAAACCCCGTCTCTACTAAAAATAAAAAAAAAAAATTAGCCGGGCGTAGTGGCGGGCGCCTGTAGTCCCAGCTACTTGGGAGGCTGAGGCAGGAGAATGGCGTGAACCTGGGAGGCGGAGCTTGCAGTGAGCCGAGATCCCGCCACTGCACTCCAGCCTGGGCGACAGAGCGAGACTCCGTCTCAAAAAAAAAAAAAAAAAAAGAAGTCATCATTAGGAGTGATTGCAGCAGCTGCTGCTTTTTAAAACCCCAAACCCTGAAAATTGTAAGGAATGATGCGGGAGAGTGGATGATAAAGATATTTGAGAAGGAATCTACTGAGTTAGTGACATGGGATGCAGAGCCTGAACATGAGGGACAAGTCCAGTGTTGCTGACGTTTCATGAGTTGGAAAAAGGTGGTTACCATTTGACAGCCTCTTCAGGAAAGGGACAGTGACACTGAACATTTAGTATTAAACCTTAATTACAGCGCGTTTGCTATTAGTGTTAAATTTAATGATGAGTACTTACATAGCATTTAGAACAAACCTTTCAATAGCTCCTTGAGCACATGGGTTTTGCAAACCTTGTAGAATGTAATTTGGTATTGCTCACCTCATAGGTTTCCAATGAATGTTTAATGAAGTTAATGAAGAATTGGGGTTTTAATTCCAATATTCTTTTTTCCCCTGTTTTAGTTGAGTCTCCAGCTTTCTTACTTATTCCTGTAGTAGACTTTTTTAAAAAGTACCAACTTTTTAGCATATCTGAATAAAATATTCATCAATCATTTATTTATACTAAATATGTGTCAGGAACTCCTGTAATTCTCCTAACAATCCTGGAAGGCAGGTTCTTTTGTCATCCTGTTATTAAAATAAGAAAAATGACGTAAACAGAAGTTAAGTGCAGCTGAGATTTGAATCCCTGTAGTCTTTTCTTCTTTAATTTTTAAATGTACATACAGTAAAATTGGCTTCTTTTTGGTGAACAGTTCTATGAATTTTATTACACATGTAGTTTCTTGTGGCAACTACCATAGTCACCATACAGAACAGTTCCATCACCTGGAAATTCCCTGGGCTGACTTTGTAGTCAGACCTGTGCACGCCTTTCCACTGGCAACCAATGATCTGCTCCCTGTCTGTATAATTTTGCCTTTCCTAGAATATTAAATAAATGAATTCATAAAGTATTAATATATAACCTCTGAGACGGGCTTCTTTTACTCAGGAGAATGCCTTGGACATTGATTCATTTTGTTACTATATCAATAGTTTGATCTGTTTTACTGCCAAGTAGTAGTCTATTGTGTGAGTGTACCAGTTTGTTTATGCTGGTACACAATATCCTGATGAAGGATATTTAGATTGTTTTCAGTATTTGATGATTATGAATAAGCTGCTGTAAACATTTGTGTACAGGTTTGCTGGATCATATGGTAAATATAAATTTAACTTTATAATAAATTTCCAAACTGTTTTCCAGAGTGGCTATCCTGTTATGTGTTATCACCAGCAATGTATGAGAGTTCTCATTGTTCTGCATTCTCACCAGCACTTGATGCTGCTAGATTTTTTCTAGTTTTTATTTGTTTGTTTTTAGCCATTTTAATAGAGGTGTAGTGATATTTCATTGTAATTTTAATTTACATTTTCCTTTTGGCTAATGATATTGACCATCTGTTCATATGGTTAATTGCTATCCATATGTCATCTTTGGGGAAGAATGTTCAAATCTTTGCACATTTAAAAATTGGGTTGTTTAAATATGTTCAAAGAGCTAAAGACACTGTTAAATAGAATAAAAAGATAAGCTACAGACTAGGAGAAAATATTTTCAAATCATATATCCAACAAAAGATTTGAATGTAGAATACATAAAGAGCTCCCCAAACAATAATACAGAAGTATAAAGTCTTTGTCTAGTAAATCCAGCATCTGGGCTTCCTCAGAAAGAACAGTTTGTATTGATTACTTTTTTTTCTGTGTATGGGCCATATTTCTTATTTCTTTGCATACCTTGTATTTACAAGTTGAAAACTGAACATTTTGAATATTATAATGTAACAGCTCTGGAAATCAGATTCTTCTCCCTTCCCAGGGTTTGTTATTGCTGCTTGTTATGGTTGTGGTTGTTTGTTTAGTGACTTCTCTGAACTAATTTTGTAAATCCTATATTCTTTGTCATGCATGACACTGAATTTTCAGTTTCATTAGCTTAGTGGTCAGCTAGTGATTGGACAGAGGTTTTTGTTTTGTTTTGTTTTGTTTTGTTTTATGCCTAGAACCAAAAAGAACCTCCCAGCTTATGCAGATGGGCTCTTGTGTTTTGACACACCTTCAGTACTCAGACAGGCAGTTTACAAGTCTGCTTTGCCTTTACTTCTTTGTGCATATTCTGACAGTCAGCCAGAGGTGGCAGCTTAGGGCCTTCTCAGGTCTTTTCTGAGCATATGCCCATCCTGGTAATACAGTTGGCCTTCTAGATTCCCAGGAATATGTGGGAGCTATTCAAAGCCTGTATTCCTCAAACCATCTCATTCTCTAGCCTATCTTCCCAACCTTTTTGGTTAGCTTATTGTTTGCCCCAACTGTTATCCTTGTGCAGCAGCAACTAATATATTTGCTTGTCAGTGTTTTCAGCAAGTGCCCTCTAGCTAGCCACTTTTGCACTGATAATTCCAAATTAGGTAAGGTAAAAGAAAGTCTTCTCCAGGGAGAAACCAGACAGGTCAAGACAAATTATTACAGTTCTTTGTGAATAAGGTTGGTTTTGTTCTCTCTAGTCCTGATATTGGTACCAGGAATGCAGGCTAACATTTTTAAGGTTCCCACTGAGCTGGGAAGAGGGAAGGGACCAGGGTAAGTTAAAAATGCCACAAAGCTCAATATTCTAACCACAATCCAGCTAGTTTTTCTGGATTCAGTGTTTCATTAGTTGCTACAAGCTTTTGGTTGGTTTCTAGAGTTCTGAAAAGTTGATTCTGCCAGTTTCTATCAGGTTTTTATTGCTTTTATGGAGGGATAGACTTTTGGAGGTCTTAACTCTGCCATTTTTTCTGATGTCACTCAGATATGTCAAATATGGCTTAAAGAAAAAAACTGATTAAGATAATCAGAGCTGGGTTGGGTAGTATGTGCCTCTAGTCCCAGCTACTCAGGATACTTAAGTGGGAAGATTGCTTGAGCCTACGAGTTTGAATCCAGCCTGGGCAACAGAGTGAGGACCCTATCTCTTAAAAAAAAAAAAATCTGCTTTTATGAGTAAACCAGCCCAAGTTTAAAAAAAAAAATGAGAGAGCAAGAGAAGGTAGGGATACTCTTAACCCATTTTTAAGTTTTTCTACATTCTACAGTAGCATTATCAAGGTGTTTTTATAAAGAGGAGCCTCACTCAGCTGGTTACAGTGCTGGGCTCAAACCCCTCATTCAGACCTTGAATGGGCAGCTTACTTTTCTCATTTCTAGGCCATATACCACCCCAAACCCCTTTGTTACTTTTCAAAACATGATATCCAAGGGATATCTGGCCAGGGGAACTCTATATTCCTCTTTGTTGTTAAAGTAGCTCAGAGGAAGTAGCTTTACTGCACCGTTCTGAACAAATCAGTCATGTTAAAACATAATGTATGGCTAATACTCTGGGGAGTGGAATCGAGGAGGGCCTGGAGTGTGTCACTTTATACTTCTGTATTGTTTCAGTTACTTACAATGAATGTTTATTACTTTCAAAATTAAAGAAAAATAAATTTAAAATACTGTGAGAAATAATTGGCTGCTGGTCCAGTATATTTCTTGCTCATATTATGGTATTTTTAAAAACCTATTTTTCCCTAAAATGAATTACTGTAATAATCATAGCAAATGCCATCCTGTTAATAAAAGAAATGATTGATAATCTATTCAAGAAAATGGTGGTTGGAAGGAGTGTATAATTGTGTTTCCTCTGAAGATCATTTTTCAAAACACTGGCTAATTTATCATTTGTTTACCTGTTTGGTCTCATGACATTTACTTCTTTTCGTGAAAGCTATAATCACTCGAAAAGCAAATCCTCATTTATAACCAAACTGTTGAAAGCTGTTTAACATAATCAAAACCTATCTTTAGCATTCCCTGCTTTATTTATTGTGTGTATTTCATCTCCATCTTGTGACCCAACAGAACCTGTTCTAGAGGACTAGATTCAGAAGACATGCATTCTTTTTTTCTTTTTTCTTCTTATACTTTAAGTTCTGGGGTACATGTGCACAACATGCAGGTTTGTTATATATGTATACATGTGCCATGTTGGTGGCTGCACCCATTAACTCGTCATTTACATTAGGTATATCTCCTAATGCTATCCCTCCCCCCTTCCCCCACCCCACGACAGGCCCCGGTGTGTGATGTTCCCCACCCTGTGTCCAAGTGTTCTCATTGTTCAGTTCCCACCTATGAACATGCGGTATTTGGTTTTCAGAAGACATGCATTCTAATGCTCAGCCTCCCACTAGCCCGCTATATGACCTTGATTTAATCTCTCAGATTCTTCATTGACAGTATGAAAGATTTAGACCCAGAGCCCAGGCTCACTGACTGTTTTTGTGAATAAAGTTTCATTGTCTATAGTCGTTTTTTCCTACATCTGCAGAGTTGAGTCATTGCAACAAAGTCCACGTGGTCTGCAAGCCTAAAATACTTACTATCTCACTCTTTACAGAAAAAGTTTGCTAACTCCTACCAAGTTTCTTTTCAGGTTCAAAATTCTTTGTTCTAGTTTTGGAATACTTGGGCCAACTATTTTTTTCATCAGGTTTCTTCTTAGCAAATCACCAGAAAAATTTGACTTGAAGAGGGGAAACACCAATAAGTCATACATTCTTATTTGTTAGACACCAGTACCTGTCATATTTTGTTGTTAATGCTGTGATTACAAACAACCTCTAGAGCTCAGTATTGTGTAACAGTTATATTCAACTGGTGAGATGTAGCTCAGCCTCACCTGTGGTGCTCATTCTGGGATCCTGGCCGAAGGAGCAATCCCTATCTGGGAAAAAGATAGCAAAGCATGTACCAGTGTTTATAACGATGCTCAGAAGTGACATGTATCACTTCTACTCACTTCTTTGGTTAACCTGACATTAATGGTGTGGGGGTCCTGCAAGTTACATGGTACCTTGAGTGGCTGGATAATCTTTTTACACAGAGGGCAGTGAATCATTGGGAACAACAAAGTCATTTACCACAGCCTTCTTAAGGGCTTGCTAGTTTGAGCAGACCAAAACTCATGGCAAAAAACTTGGTTTTGGACCTCTTTGTGTGTTATTCTTCATAAACTCCTTGCAAATAATAGTCACTAGAAATTAGCCCAGGGAGCTTTTGGAATATATTGTAGTTCTCTCAGTTTGCTTATTTAATGCTCAATGTAAGAATGTAATGTGCCTTTGGGTTTCCTTTTTGTAGAGTCTTGATATCTTTAACTTATTGTATTGGTCCATTCTCACCCTGTTATACAGAAATAACTGAAACTGGGTAATTTCTTTTAAAAAGAGGTTTAATTGGTTCATGATTCTGCAGGCTGTACAGGAAGCATGGCTGGGGAGGCCTCAGGGAGGTTTCAATCATGGCAGAAGGCGAAGTTGGGAAGCAGGCACATCTTCACATGGCGAGAGCAAGAGGAAGAGAGAGAGCGGGGAGTGCCACACACCTTTAAAACAAGCAGATCTCTGGCCAGGCGCGGTGGCTCACGCTTGTAATCCCAGCACTTTGGGAGGCTGAGGCGGGCGGATCACCTGAGGTTGGGAGTTGGTGATGAGCCTGACCAACATGGAGAAATCCTGTCTCTACTAAAAATACAAAATTAGCTGGGTGTGGTGGCACATGTCTGTAATCCCAGCTACTCAGGAGGCTGAGGCAGGAGAATTGCTTGAACCTGGGAGGTGGAGGTTGTGGTGAGCCGAGATTGCGCCATTGCGCTCCAGCCTGGGCAACAAGAGCAAAACTCTGTCTCAAATAAATAAATAAAAACAAGCAGATCTCACGAGAACTCTGTTGTGAGAACAGCCCCAATGGGGGATGGTGTTAAACCATGGAGAAGCTACTCCCATGATCCAATCACCCCCCATCAGGCCCCATTTCCAGCTTGAGGATTACAATTTGACATGAGATTTGGGTGGGGACACAGATCCAAACCGTATCACTTACATTTCTTACCTCTAAACTATTTCTGTGCCAAGGTTCTATATCTCATTGAATGACAGACACCACAAGTTGCCCAAGCCAGAAAGCTGGGTGAAGTACTTAACTTCTTCCCTCACCACAATTGCCTACATATAGTCAGTCAATTACCAGATTCTATTAAATCTATCTCTGATGTAGGTCCTGATTCTGTCTACTTGTCTCCATCTTCATTGCCACTGTCCTGTTCCAGGTACCTCTGGCTGTTTGCAACAGACTTCAAACTGGCCATTCTGTGTCCTGACTTGTTTCTCTAATCCATTCTCTATACAACCACCAAAGCAATTTTTATAAAACACAAACTGATCATGTTATTTCCCTGAATTAAAACATTTCAGTGGTTTGTACATTATACCTCCGCCTAAAAGCTCAAATTTCTTAACATGGCCATACACCTTAAAAAAAAAAAAATGGAATGCTTGATGAATTTGCATGTCACCCTTGCCATGCTAATCTCGGTATCTTTCCAATTTTAGTATACGTGTTGCTGACGTGAGCACATGGCCATACTACCTTTTATTCCCTTTATTTTTTTTTAGTATTCCTAGTTCTGTCCATTTACACTCAGCTTACATGGCTTTAAAAATATAATCTTCTAGAAATTTTTTCCCTAGAGCATATTTTATGAACTCAGTATTTGCTAAATGTTTTTTTCATTTGTAGAGACTCAAACACTTGATTTAAAAAAAATTGTGCAAAGCTGATGTGTATAGTATCACGCATAGTCCAATGCACAATGCTCCCATCCTGCTGCTCAATAGGTTGTTCCTTCTCAGAAGGGCTGTAAAGAAAGCTAGGTTGACATTTTTTTTTTTTGAGATAGAGTTTCACTCTTGTTGCCCAGGCTGGAGTGCAATAGCATGATGTCGGCTCACTGCAACCTCCGCCTCCTGGGTTCAAGCAATTCTCCTGCCTCAGCCTCCCGAGTAGCTGGGATTACAGGCATGCACCACCACGCCTGGCTAATTTTGTATTTTTAGTAGACATGGGGTTTCTCCGTGTTGGTCAGGCTGGTCTCGAACTCCCGACCTCAGGTGATCTGCCCGCCTTGGCCTCCCAAAGTGCTAGGATTACAGGCGTGAGCCACCACACCCGGCCGACATTGGTTTTATTTCTTTCGCTGCAACCTGTTTTTAGAAGTTTAAAATAGGGCTATTTTGGAACTAGTTGTTTATTGGACCTCTTTAAATGGGTTAGCGTATTTTTCCTTGTATGACACTTAACTCAGCAGCCTCTGGATAAAAAGAATGTGAGACACAAGTGCATTTTTTTTCTTGTTTATGGTACTGTCTCCTTGAGGTCTTTCATATTAGCCCTCTGTTCCAGAAATTAAAATAACTTCATTGAACTCATAAGGGAATAGGAGATTTGTCCTAAAATCCAAACTTGGCTTTGAAGATGCTACAGTGATTTTAATTTTTTTTTTTTTTTTTTTTTGAGACGGAGTTTCGCTCTTGTTGCCCAGGCTGGAGTGCAGTGGCGCAATCTCGGCTCACCGCAACCTCCGCCTCCGAGGTTCAAGCGATTCTCCTGTCTCAGCCTTCCCAGTAGCTGGGATTACAGGCATGCGCCACCACGCCAGGCTAATTTTGTATTTTTAGTGGAGACGGGGTTTCTCCATGTTGGTCAGGCTGGTCTCGAACTCCTGACCTCAGGTGATCCGCCCGCCTCGGCCTCCCAAAGTGCTGGGATTACAGGCGTGAGCCACTGCGCCCAGCCATGATTTTAATTTTTTAAGGCCACAATGTTTTCATTATTTAAAATGTGTTGATACAGATTTCTTTGATCAACCAATTGCTATTTTTTGTTTTTATCTAACCTAGTAGTATGGAATTTTTAATAAAATTAATCAAACCTGTGAACTCTGAAGCTTTGCAGTAGTTGCAACCATAGCTTTCTGTTATCATAAACTAATTTTAAAAAGCAAGCTTAATTTTAACAAGCAAGATTTTAAACATTTAAAAAGGAATCAGTGGCATATTGACCATGACCAAATCCTTAAGTATGAGAAGAAAGGTTAGAGGGTGATGGTGAGGAACACTACGATTATGTGGGGGATTTGAACTTTTTATGTAAGGTATTTCTGTGACATTTTGTTTTTTGTTTTGATAAGTAGAAGTGGAAAAGGGGTTTTTAAGTTTTTTGAAGTGAAATGATATTCAGTTTCTTCCTCCGTAGGGAGGCAGCAATCTTACTGGGGTTAGAATAGGCTGCTTCGTGATTATATATAATGTTCTGGGAGTTCTATGAATATAGGGAATTCTTGAACATCTTGAAATTATATAAAAAATATTGTAAATGTGCATGAGTGCTTTCTTGGATGCAGTGTTAAAGGTGATGTGGAGAAGAGGGTCCATGATTCAAACAGATTGTGCTTTTATTTCTCTAGTCCTGCCCTCTCTTCTGAACTCTAGACTGCCTATTCAGCATCTTTACTTCGACATCTAATAGGCCTCTCAAATCTAAAATGTCTGCATTTAGTTTCCTATTGCTGTTATAACAAATTAGCTACAAATTTAATGGCTTAAAACAACGTGAATTTGGCTGGGCGCGGTGGCTCACGCCTGTAATTCCAGCACTTTGGGAGGCCGAGGCGGGAGGATCACGAGATCAGGAGATTGAGACCATCCTAGCCAACATGGTGAAACTTCCTCTTTACTAAAAATACAAAAATTAGCTGGGCATGGCGGCGGGTGCCTGTAGTCCCAGCTACTCAGGAGGCTGAGACAGGAGAATCTCTTGAACCTGGGAGGCGGAGGTTGCAGTGTGCCGAGCTACACTCCAGCCTGGTGACAGAGCGAGACTCCGTCTCAAAAAAAAAAAAAAAAAAAAAAAATTTATTATTCTGTAATTCTGGAGGTCTAAAGTCTGAAATCAATTTCACTGAGCTAAAATCAAGGTGCTGGCAGGACTGCATTCCGTCTGTAGACTCTAGGGGAGAATCCTGTTTTTGCCTTTTCTAGCTCCTAGTGGCCACCTGTATTGCCTGGCTCATGGCCCCTTGCTCTATCTTCAAAGCCAACAGTGTAGCATCTTCATTCCTCTCTTCTTTCTGCTTCCATCCTTCTGTCTTCTGCATACTCTCATTAGTATACCTGGCCCTGATCCTCCTATCTTACTCTTATAAGAAGCCATGTGATTGATTACATTGGTCCCACCAGATAATACAGATGATGTCCCCATCTCAGGATACTTAATCATATGTGCAAAATCCCCTTTACTACGTGTAGTAACATATTCACAGATTCTGGGGATTAGAACATGGACGTCCTTAGAGGGGCTATTGTTTAGCCTACCATTTGATTTCTCTGCTTGGCAAATCTATTCCTCCTCTAGCCTTCCTCATTTTATTTAATGGTACAACATTCTCAGGCCAGTAACCTATGGTCATTCTTGATTTCTCTTTGTCTTTATTTTTTCCTTCTACCATCTACATCCAATTCATTAAATTACATCCAAATCCAAACAATATGTTATCTTGCTTCTACTACCCAACTGTCTCTAGATTTGTCTTCTTCTCACTAATTTTCACTAAAAGCAGAGTAGCATTAGCATTCTGGAGCCATAGGCCCTCATCCTATCCTATTCTTTTCACTCCTTGGTGTTCAGAGATAATTATAGCACAAGGCTATGTGGGCTAAGTGTCATAAGAATGGCACACAAAGTGCCACAGGACTAGATTCCAATTACTTTATCCAACTACATGGAGATGGAAAGTGAAGGCTTACATAGTAGTAGACAGTGGAGAGAATTTAGGTTGGTTGAGGATAATTATCCTGGAAGGCAAATAGAATTTCCATTAAAGATTTCTATCTTTTTTATTCTTCAGACAGTGAATGTTTCTTCTCAATTATTAATAGCCGAGAATACATTAATCTGATTTCTGATTATTTTGAATGACTCCTCCCCTTCCTCCTTTTCCTGAAGCAATATATTTTAAAAAGTTCTCAGGGAGCTGATTTCTAGTGTGTGGATAGACTATACACAGTTGGGCAGGAAGAATGAAGTGAAACATTTGAAAAGAAAACATTCACTGTCGAAATAATATCAAAATATAGCTTTGACATTTTATTATTCTGAATCCTTTTTCTGTAATGTCCTCACATTTTTGGGGTAACATTACAGTTTAGTGGAATATAGGGAAAAAATGGGTCATTATTTGAACTAGTCTATTGAAAAAGATCTGGAAATAACTAAATTTACAAATCTTCCCCACATTTAGGAAAAAAATTGCTCATAGGATTTTTAGCAACCTTTATTTGTTAAAATCTCACCTTAATTAAAATTTCTCAAGATGTGTGAAATGAAAATTGAAGCATATTAAAATCAGATATTCCACAGAATAAAATATTCTGCAAATTTATATTCATTTTTAAGGCAGAAATGCTGTATTGAGCCCCATAAAAGTAAAGGTGTCCCTATTATTTCCTCCTCATTTGTGGTGTTACTGATTAAATTAGTTACCAGTAAATAATAAGTTTGTTTTGTGAATGCATATGTTTATTGTGTGTTTATTTATTTATTTATTTTCTGCAGGGGACAGGCTCTTAAGTGTACACTGGGTGGCCGCCTGCCAACTCCGAGTGGCTCCCTCCCCCACACAAATGTTTATTGATCTTTTTCCCTCCAGTAATGTGTTACCAGGTGCTGTATCTCATGTTTGGGGTTGAACTTTTCATTTTATGTCTTAGCAATTGAAACAAAATGTACATAGGTAGGTTGAGCTTTTCTTTGAAATAGAATCACAGAAATCGTTTAGATCTGTGAAGAGCCCTAAATATATTACAAATGAGGAATTATTTGTATACTTGAAGCAGGAGAGAAACTCCCTGTTCATGTTTTAAAAATAGCTTCAATGAGTTATAAATCGCATACCATACAGTTTACCTATTCCCTGTTAATTTTTTTAAAATTCTCTTTTTTTCCCTATTACTCTTAAAAACGATTTTCTTTCTTTCTTTCTTTCTTTCTTTTTTTTTTTTTGAGACGGAGCCTTGCTCTGTCGCCAGGCTGGAGTGCAGTGGT
Organism: Homo sapiens; assembly: GCF_000001405.40. NCBI lineage: Eukaryota > Metazoa > Chordata > Mammalia > Primates > Hominidae > Homo > Homo sapiens. Next base: position 232,723 of record NW_025791772.1, on the reverse strand, counting down.
ACGATCTCAGCTCACTGCAACCTCCGCCTCCTGGGTTCAAGTGATTCCCCTGCCTCAGCCTCCTGAGTAGCTGGGACTACAGGCTCATGCCATCATGCCTGGCTAAATTCTTGTGTTTTAGTAGAGACAGGGTTTCACCATGTTGGCCAGGATGGTCTTGATCTCCTGACCTCGTGATCCGCCCGCCTCAGCCTCCCAAAGTGCTGGGATTATAGGCGTAAGCCACTGCACCCGGCCTAAAAACCGTTTTCTAGGGTTCTTTTAATGTGTTTTTTAGATATTCACTGCCTCCTTTTCTAATCAGTGGGCAGAAATAAGTGGGTTGAGGTATCAAAAGAAAGGTATTCCAGGTGTAGAGGACAGAGGAAATAAAGCCTTGAGGTGGAAATGGAATGAAGAAATCAGAACACTTGTCTGAATAAGAAGAAAACAAACAGGAAGTGAGTTAGCTGTTTTGGTGATGAATTCCGAAGTCAAAGGTAAGAAACTTGGGCTGTACCTTTCTCAAGTCACTTGGTAAATAGGGCCTTACTCTAAGGACAGTGCAGATAAAGAATAGGGGACGGTAAGACAGCACATAGCCTCATGTGGAAACTCACTGATATTCAGGATACAGCAGTCCTTGTTTCACTCAGCTCTACTTCAGTGCCTTGGTGTCTGATTCTTTCTCTCTGCTTTTTGTTCTGACTCTGCTACCATCTGACTGCCCTCTTTGCCATCCTGGCCCCCTCCTGGCCTCTGCATATTCCCATGAGCAGTGGTGTGGGATTCTCTACTCTTCTGTTCTTTCATCATTCCCTTGCTCTCACTTCACCAGTGGCTTCTCATGTCACTGAGAATGAAATTCAGAGTCCTTACTGAGGCCTAGTAGCTTCTGCAGGACCTGGCCCCTGCTCCCTTTCTTTCTGGTCTCAGTTCATACACCTTTCCACCTTTGCTCACAGTGTCCCAGCCACATTGACCGGCCTGTTCTTCCTCACACCCACCTAAACTCAGAACCTTTGTACTCGCTGTTTACTCGACCGCACCTTCTCTCCTTTTTTAGTCCTTGCTTCCCTCCTCTGTTTAGGCCTCTATCAAATGTCACCTCCTCAGAGAACCTTCCCTGACCACCCTAAGGTGGGATTTCCCATCCTGATACTCTTATCTGCTTCTCTTATTTTATTATCAGGCTTTCTTGTACATGACATTATTATAATATGAATTTATTTTGCATTTGGTTATTGTCTGTCTTCCACTGCAATGTAAACTACTTGAAGCCCAGCTTGATTTGTTATATTTACTGTAGTGTCCTCCATGCCTGGAATGGTACCTGGTACATGGTGGGCACTTAATACTGTTGAATGCACGTAGACATACTGTATGACTGACATTTGGATTTCTCCAGAGGAGGGTCTGTTGTGTTGTCCAACACTGAGTGCATCTGTTGGGTAACATGCTGGGCTAACTGCCCCACCACCCCCTGGGCAACTGTTGTGTTAGGTGCCTACCCTTGGTGCATCCACCCAGTAGTGATGAAGATAGTGAGATCATGTCTTATTCTCTTGATATTCCTTTTTTTGCAGTTGCATGGCCTGGTCCTTCCTTTAAGTTTCAACTCCTTGTTAATGAGAAAAATGTTGCCAGATCCTATGCTGTGGAACAGTTACTTCCAATTTCAAACTAACTTGTATTTAACTGATATTTGAAAACCTACTTTGTGCGAAACATTGTGTCAGGTTCTGGGCTACCTCCATAAACAATATCCAGGTTCTCACAGTACAGTTAGGGAGACAAGCTGAATATTACTCATTGATTTTTTTCAACAAATTATTGAGACTAGGATACAGTGGTGGATAAAAACAAAAATTCTTACGTGGACTTACAGTTTGATAAGATAGACATATGTTAATTAGACAACTACATAAATGAATGTTCAATTATAGCTATGTTGAGTTCTATAAAGGAGGGCTTCATAGTGCTATGAGAATTAGGAGGACCTGTCCTGGTTAGGAGAGATGGGGATAGCTTCCTTGAGGAAGTGAAGGGTAAATTGAGATCTGAAGGCACAGTAAGAATTAACTAGACAAGGGCAGCAGGGGAGAGGGAATAGTAGATGCAGAAGTCTGGTGCTGAAAGGGTGCTTAGAATGTTTGAAGAAGTTTAAGCATAGAGAATAGGCTGGAAAGTGAGCCAAATGAGGCTGAAGAGACAGGCTGGGGTCAGATTGGCCGGACTTTGTAGGCCACAATAAGGGATTTTGTCCTTACTCTGTGAGCAGCAGGAGGATGCCTTTGAAGTGCTATAAGCAGGGGGAAAAGAGGAGCAGTATAAACAGTACTTTTATTTTTAAAACACTAATCTGAATGCTGTGGAGGAGAATAAATGGAGTTGGGTGTAAATGGAAGGCATAAGAAAGGATGTGGAAATGCTAGTTAGGAGGCTGTAATGGCAATCCAGATGCTACTAACCCAGGTGGGGTTAATAAGGGTTAGCAAGAATTTTAAGTTTCCAAATCTACCCTTACTTTTTTTTTTTTTGGAGACGGAGTCTTGCTCTGTCGCCCAGGCTGGAGTGCAGTGGCGCAATCTCGGCTCACAGCAAGCTCCGTCTCCCAGGTTCACGCCATTCTCCTGCCTCAGCCTCCCGAGTAGCTGGGACTACAGGTGCCCGCCACCATGCCCGGCTAATTTTTTTTTGTATTTTTAGTAGAGACGGGGTTTCACCGTGTTAGCCAGGATGGTCTTGATCTCCTGACCTCGTGATCTGCCCGCCTCGGCCTCCCAAAGTGCTGGGATTACAGGCGTGAGCCACCACACCCGGCCAGTCTACCCTTATTTTCTATTAAATGTATTTCCATTAAATGTACTTTATATTTTATTTTATTTTATTTTGAGACAGAGTCTGGCTCTCTCGCCCAGGCTGGAGTGCAGTGATGGGATCTTGGCTCACTGCAACCTCCAACTCCTGAGTTCAAGTGATTCTCCTGCCTCAGCCTCCTGAGTAGCTGGGATTACAGGCACCCGCCACCATGCCTGGCTAATTTTTGTATTTTTGGTAGAGACAGGGTTTCACCATGTTGGTCAGGCTGGTCTTGAACTCCTGACCTTAAGTGATCCACCCTCCTTGGCCTCCCAAAGTGCTGGGATTACAGGTGTGAGCCACCTGTAGCTTAAAGCTTAAAGTAAGCCAAAATGTACTTACTTTAAGTCAACTTTCAGAAACAAAGTTTTTTTTATAAAAGGATCCGTATCTTGTAAAAGACACAGATGCAATAAAACTTAAGTTCATTTAAATGAGAAATAAAGGATGACTTAAAGAAGTATGAATGGAATTATACCAGAAAATCTGTGGTGAAGATAATGATTGTAATTGAGTTCAAAAGTTAGCTCTGAGTTTCTGGCAGCCTAGGTATAGAAGGGAATAGGATAGGTTGTGTGATTGTTTAACAAAGGAAGCATGGGATATAATGCTCTTTTCTATAATGTCCTTTGTTCCAAATATTTAAAGTGTTTTTTTATAGATGTGAAGTTAAACCACTTAGATAGGTCCAGATTGTTGAAACCCAAGACCTCAGCTCTTGAGATCATAGCATTAATCCATTGTTCGTAGTAGGTCACACTGGTATTTTAAAAAGTAAAAACTTAAGAAAAATATAGGGCTGAACTACATATATGCATTTCCTTCCTTCTTTTCTTTTCCTTTTTTTTTTTTAAAGACAGGGTCTTGCTCTGTTGCCCAGTCTGGAGTGCAGTGATGTGATCATAGCTCACTGCAGCCTCGAACTCCTGGTCTCAAGCTATCCTTCCACCACAGCTTCCCAAGTAGCTGAGACCACAGGCACATGCCACCATTCTTGGCTAATTTCTTATTTCTTTTGTAGAGACAGGGGCTGTGTTGCCCAGGCTGGTCTTCATCCCCTGGCCACAAGTGATCCTTGGCCTCCCAAAGTGTTGGGATTACAGGTGTGAGCCAACATGCCTGACCCATGTTTGCATCTCTTTTTTTTTCTTCTTTTTTTACTGCTCCTTATGGAACAGGGCTAGCTAATCTGTAGGCAGTGTGCTTGGAATTGGCTTTATATGAATTTTTTATTAGCCCTCTTGTTACAGTTGAGGAGTAAAGGGAGGGTTAGAAGGGAAGTTAAAGATAATAGAGAAGGTGAGAAATAATAGACTAAAATCCCATGATGCAACCCATGGGCACGAGGTAGACCCTTATTATATTTTCCTGTGTCATCACAGATACTTGCCTGCCTCTGTAGTAGCTATTTAATTTGTGTCTACAAATACTTATTCATAGAGGACATCTTCCTGCCTTGGAAGACACATTAGTCTTATAGCTATTTAATTTGTGTCTACAAATGCTTATTCATAGAGGACATCCTTCCTGTCTTGGAAGATGCATTAGTCAAGGACAAAGAATGTACAGAAGTGACAGTTTTATTTCTTAACTCTTCACATTCCAACCCCAAAACTTCCAAAATCAAAAACCTTAAAAACAAAATCATTTCAAATTGTAAATAAAGTCACCCAGGGTTAGCAGTGGCTCTCCTGTGAGTTCTCTGCCCCTGGGACTAAATCTCCATGCATTCTCTTCCCAGCCCTGTATGCAAGCAACAGCTTCAGCTACAGTGCCTACTCTGTGTATAGTGTTAGGTCCAAAGGCACAGGAGGGACGCAGGAGAGCCAGAGAGAGTAGGACAATAGGGAACAAGAAGTCAGAGAAGTCTAGATTGTTGGCTCTTGAAATAGTGGCATTAATCCATTTTTGGTAGTAGATTACATTGGTGTAGACTCCAGGAAGAGATTTACCACATTCTAATCCCCAGCTTACTACTCCTGTCTGGATCCATACACCATCAATGTGACACGACAGAGGCCCTCCAGAATCACCCTAAGGAAGAAATGAAAGGTAATGAGCATAGTGAAAAGAGGCATAAAGAAGAGAGTAGTAATAAGGGGTGGAGAATTCTTTAAAACTGGGCCATGAGACCCATGGAGCTGTGGAACCCTGCAGGGGGCTGGACTAATCACTGCTTTAGGGAGATATCACAGGAATTTTAGAATCATAGAATTGAAATTGTCAGAGACCTTAGTGAAATATATTAGTAATTTCAAAATATTTGTCTGTGATAAAAAGAGAAATAAAACTAATGAGATGATTTTTTCACTAAAGATAAATTTATTCAAATGAATGAACTGCCTTAATTTCCTGTTCTTACTGCTCTTGTTTAGTGTTAAGTAATCCATTCTTACCTAAAATGATAGTGATAGTTGTTGGTAGTAGTCTTCTAGTCTTGTTCTCTTTCTTTTTTGTAACAGCTTTACTGTCATATAATTCACATACTACACAATTCAGTGGTTTTTAGTATATTTACAGTGTTGTACAACCATCACCACAACCCATTTTAGAACATTTTTATCACCCTAAAAAGAAACCTCATACCCATTTGTAATTATCCCCATTTCTTCCCAACCCTCCCAGCTAGGCCAACCAGTAGTCCACTCTCTGCCTCTATGGATTTGCCTATTTTAGACATTTCATATAAATGGAATCATGTAATATCTGACCTTTTGTGTCTGGCATGTTTCAGTTAGCACATTCTTTTCAAGGTTCCTTCATGTTGTATCAGTACTCCACTCCTTTTAGGGCTGAATAATATTCCATTGTATGGATGTACCACTTGGTGTTTCTGCATTCATCACCTAATGGACATTGTGATTGCTTCCATTATTTGGGCTATTATATTATAAATAATGCTTCTATGGCCCAGCATGATGGTTCGTGTCTGTAATCCTAGTGCCTTGAGAGGCCAAGGCAGGAGGATCAGGCCAGGCATTTGAGACCAACCTGGGCAACCTAGTGGAACCCTGTCTCTTCAAAACAAATAAATAAGTAAATAGCTGCTATGGTGGCATATGCCTGTCATCCCAACCACTCGGGAAGCTGAGGCAGAAGTATTGCTTGAGCCATGTTTACAATGAACTATGATCCTACCACTGCACTTCAACCTGGGTGACAGAGCAAGACCCTGTTTCTAAAATAATAATCATGCTGCTGTGAACACTTGTGTACCGGTTTTTTCTTTGTTTATTTAGAGATGGGGTCTCCCTGTTTTGCCCAGGCTGGTCTTGAACTCTTGGGCTGAAGCGATCCTTCTGCCACAGCCTTCTGAGTAGTTGAGATTACAGGTGGAAGCCACTGTGCCCAGCTCACGTGCAAGTTTTTGTATGGACATATTTTTATCTTTCTTGGTCATATACCTAGGAGTGGAATTTCTGGGTCATATGGTAATTCTATGTTTAACCTGTGAGGAACTGCCAAACAGTTTTTCAAAGAGGCTGCACCATTTTATATTACCACCAACAGTGTTAGAAGGCTCCAATTTCTCTACATTTGCATATCTTTATACCAGTTGGACATTTGTATATCTTTAGAAAAATATCTATTCAGATGCTTTGCTCTTTTAAAAACTGTGCTCTTTTTATGATCGAGTTACAAGTGTTCTTTTTTCTAGATACAGATCCCTTACATATATGATTTGCAAATATTTTCTTCCGTTTCATAGGCTACCTTTTTACTTTGTTGATGGTGTCCATTGAAGCATAAAAGTTCTGAATTTTGAAGAACTCTAATCTACTTTTTTTGTTGCTGCTTATGCTTTTGATAACATATCTAAGAAAATGTTGCCTAATCAAGGTCACAAAGACCTACCTATATGTTTTTTCCTAAAGGTGCTATAGTTTAGCTCTTATATTTAGGTCTTAGATCCATTTTGAGTTAATTTGTTATATGGCGAGGTCAGGGTCCAAGTTCATTCTTTTGCATGTGGTTGTCTACTTGTCCCAGCATCATTTGTTGAAATGACTATTATTTGTTCATTGAACTGATTCAATACCAATGTTTAAAAATAATTGACCATAAATATAAGGGTTTATTTCTGTACACTCAATCCTATTTCATTGATCTATAGATGTCTCTCCTTATGCTAGTACCACACTGGCTTGATTACTGTTAGTTTTGAAATATGAAAAATGTGAGTCCTTCAACTTGTTTCTTGTTTTTCAAGATTGTTTTGGGCCCCTTGAATTTCCATATGCAGTTTAGGATCAGCTTGCCAATTTCTGCAAAGAAACCAGCTGGGTTTTCATAGGGATTACATTGAATCTGTAGATCCATTTGGAGAATACTGCAATTTAAGCAATATTAACTTTATTCCTATTTTATTCTTTTTAAAACTATTATAAATGGAATATTGTTTTCTTAAATGTTTCCTTAGATTATTCATTGCAACTGCATGGAAATACAGTTGCTTTTTTCTTTTTTCTTTTTTTTTTAAGACAGAGTCTCGCTTCGTTGCCCCGCCCAGGCTGGAGTGCAGTGGCGAGATCTCAGCTCACTACGCCCAGCAAGTTTTTGTATTTTTAGTAGAGACGAGGTTTCACCATGTTGGTCAGGCTGGTCTCGAACTCCTGAACTCAAGGAATCCACCTGCCTTGGCCTCCCAAAGTGCTGAGATTACAGGCCTGAGCCACTGCCCCCAGCCTACAGTTGCTTTTAGTATATTGTCCCTATATCCTTCAGTTTTGCTGAATGTGTTTATTAGTTCTAATTTTTTGGGGGTGGCATTCCTTTAGATTTTCTATTTATAAAATCATGTCATCTGTGACTAGAGATAGTTTTACTGTTTCTTTGCAATCTGGATGTCTTTTTATTTGTCTCTTGCTTATTAATTCTGGCTAGAACCTCCAGTACAGTGTTGCATAGAAATGACAAGAATAGACATCCTTGTCTCTTTCCTGACCTTATGGCAAAAGCATATAGTATTTTACCACGAAGTATTTTAGCTGTGGGTTTTTTTGTAGTTGCACTTGATCGAGTTGAAAAACTCCACTCATCTCATTGTTGAGTGTTTTGTTTTTTTTTTAACGTGAAGCGTTGTTGGATTTTTGTCAAATTTTTTTCCATATTTATTGACATGATCATATGGTTTTTGCTCTTTATTCTAAGAACATGGTATATTAACATTGATTGATTTCTGGATTTTAAACCAACCTAAGTTTCCTGGGATAAATCCCAGTTGTTTATGGTATATCCTTTTTATTTTTTATTTTTTGAAAAATAAAAAAAGAGAGAGGGGTCTCACTTTGTCTCCCAGGCTGGAATGTGGTGGCACAAACACTGCTCACTGTGGCCTCGACCTCCCGGTCTCAAGTGATCATCCCACCGCAGCCTACCGAGTAGCTGAGACTACAGGTGGCTAATATTTAAAATATTTTGTAGAAACGAGGTCTCACTATGTTGCCCAGTCTAGTCTTGAACTCCTGACCTCAAGTGATCCTCCCGTCTTGGCCTCTCAAAGTGCTGGGATTACAAGGCTTGAGTCACCACATCCTAAAAAGAACCCACATACCCATTTGTAATTACCCCCAGTTTGGATTTTGAGGTCAGCCAACTTGACTTCCTGTTGAAACATGAAATCGGCATTCCGGTATATATAGTCCTTTTTATATGTTGTTGGATTTGGTTCATTGAGGATTTTTACACCTCTGTTCATAAAAGATACTGGTCTATAGCTTCCTTGTGATGCCTTTGTCAGGTTTTGGTCTCAGTAATACTGATCTCGAATGAGTTGGGAAGTGTTCCCTCTTTTTTTTTTTTTTTTTTTTGGAGACAGAGTCTTGCTCTGTAACCGAGGCTGGAGTACAGTGGCATGATCTTGACTTACTGAAACCTCTGCCTCCCGGGTTCAAGTGATTCTCCTCCCTCAGCCTCCTCAGTAGCTGGGATTACAGGCATGAGCCACCACACCCAGCTAATTTTTGTATTTTTAATAGAGACAAGGATTTACCATGTAGGCCAGGCTGGTCCCAAACTCCTGACATCAGGTGATCTGCCTGCCTCGGCCTCCCAAAGTGCTGGGATTACAGGTGTGAGCCACTGTGCCCAGTCCCCTCTTTTATTTTTCAAAAGAACTTGTGTAGAATTGGTATTAATTACTATTATTATTATTATTATTATTATTATTTTTGAGACAGAATCTCACTCTGTCACCCAGGCTGGAGTGCAGTGGCGCGATCTCGGCTCACTGTAACCTCTACCTCCCAGATTCAAGTGATTCTCATGCCTCAGCCTCCCGAGTAGCTGGGAATACAGGCACATGCCACCATGCCTGGCTAATTTTTGTATTTTTTGTAGAGATGGGGTTTTGCCACATTTGCTAGGCTCGTCTCGAACTCCTGGCCTCAATTGACCTGTCCGCCTTGGCCTCCTAAAGTACTGGGGTTACAGGTATGAGCCACTGCCTGTGGCCAGAATTGGGATTAATTATTTAAATGTTTGGTAGAATTCATCAATGAATTCTATCTGGACCTGGTCTTTTATTTCTTCGTAGTTTTTTTTTTTTTTTTAATCACAAATGCAATCTCTTTACTTTTTATTAGGTTTATTCAGACCATCTATTTCTTCTTAGGTAAGTTATGGTAGTTTGTGTGTTTCTAGGAATTTGTCCATATCATCTTAGTTATCTAATTTTTTGGCATACTGTTATTCATAGTAGTGTGTTACAAATTCTTTTTATTTCTGTAAGGTTGGTAGTAATGTCCCAGTTTTATTTTTAACTTTAGTAATTTCAGTCTTTTTTTTTTCTTGCTCAGTTTAGCTAAAGTTTTTTTTCAATTTTATTGATCTTTTTAAAAACCAACTTTTGCTTTTGTTTATTTTCTCTATTGTCTTTCTGTTCTCTATTTCAGTAATTTCCACTATATCCCTTATTTCCTTCTTTGTATTTTCTTTAGGTTTAGTTGTTTTTTTTTTTTTTTTTTTTCTTTAAGACAGGGTCTCACTGTGTCACCCAGCCTGGAGCACAGTGGTGCAAATATAGCTCACTGCAGCCTTGAACTCCTGGGCTCTAGCAATCCTCCCAAGTAGCTGGGACCACAAGTGTACCACCATGCCTGGCTGATTTTTTTTTTTTTTTTAGAGATAGGGTCTCACTGTATTGCTCAGGCTGGTCTCGAACTCCTGGGCTGAAAAAAAATCTCCTACCTTATCCTCCCAAAGTGCTGCGATTACAGGTATGTGCCATCACACCCAGCCTTTTTTTTAGTTTTATTTATGTATATATATATTTTTAAGAGACAGAGCCACAGAGTCTTGCTCTGTTGTCCTGGCTGGAGTGCAGTGGTGTGATCATAGCTCACTACATATGTGAACTTCTGGGCTCAAGGGATCCTCCTGCCCCAGTCTCCTAAGTAGCTGGGACTACAGGCTTGTGCACCATACCCAGCTAACTTTTTAAATTTTTAGTAGAGACAAGGTCTCACTATGTTGCCCAGGCTGGTCTTGAACTTCTTTTTCCAGTGTCTTGTATGGAAGATTAGGTTACTGATTTGAGATATATTGTTTAACGTAGGCATTTACAGATATAAATTTCTCTCTAAGCACTGCTTTAGCTGCTTCCATAAGATTTGATATGTTGTTTCTTCATTTTTATTCATCTCAAAATATTTCCTAATTTAGCAGTGTGTTACTTTCCACATATTTGTGAATTTCCATATTTCTCTCTTATTTACTTCTAATTTCATTCCATTGTGATTAGAAAATATAATTTGTATAATTTTAATCCTTCCAACTTTATTGAGGCTTGTTTTACAGCTTAGCATATGGTTTATTCTGGAGAATGTTCCATGGGCACTTAAGAGGAAAGTATATTCCGCTCTTCTTAGGACTCTTTCTGTTTTTAAAATTTCTTATGGGAGTGACTTGTCTCTGACAAACTCTGCTTCGGGTAACAGTTATAAATTGTGGACAGCATATAAAAGGCTACTCTCTGAAGGCAGTGGAGAGTGGCCAATAGCAGGCAGAAACTAGAGTCAATCCTTGGAAGAAAGGAATGACACTCTTTTTTTTAAAAAGTGGCTTTTCCCTTAAAGCAGGCCCCAGTCATTATCATGCATAGTGGCTGGTAAAAGAAACCCACAGTCTTACTGACTTGAGGAATTAGAGGATAGAGTTCAGAGCTACCTTAGCAGTTGGAAAGTGCAGGGAAATATACCAGAAAGGAGAGAGCCACAGAGCGAGAGTCCCAAGTTCTGCATATAAACTCTGCTCAAATTTCTGAATACACCCTGAATTACATACATGTGCAGGTTAGACTCCAAGCAGCTCAGCTAAGGCTAAAATAACTGCTGATGCCTATCACAGGAGAGATCCAGTTTGGATTTTGAGGTCAGCCAAGTTGACTTCCCGTTGAAACAGGAAATCAACATTCTTTAGAGAAGCATAACAATCTGTACTCCCTACACCATGCTATTGACATTGTCCAGGATATATTCCAAAATGATTAGATATTAAAGTAAACAAAACAACAGGAAAACGTTTTCCAAGATAAACTGGAAAATGCTACTCATGAGAAAAAGCAATTGTTGGAGAATATCCCTGAGATAACTCAGATTGATTTTGGAATTAGCAGATAAGGATTTAAAGCAACTATTATAACTGTGATCAACACATGTAAAGGAAAATATTTATAATATACAGCTAGAAAATCTTGGCAGAGATGTAGAAAGTATATGTGGATGAGAGGAGAGAATAAAACCAAATGGTCATTCTATAACTAAAAAATAAAATGTCTGAAATAAAAACTTCACTAGATGGACTTAAAATGTAAATGACAGCAGAAAGAGGCAGTGATCTTCAATACAGATCAATTTAAAAATATCCAATTTGAAGAACAGAGAGAAAAACATAAAAATAAAATGGACTTGTGTGAAAATACCAAAAGGTATAACTTAACAAGTTTATGGTTTCATCTAGAAGGGGAGGAGAGAGAAATGAGGCAGAATAGTTTTTGAAGAAATCATTACTGAAAAATTTCCAAGTGTTGGTGAAATATGTTAAAGAATAGATTTAAAAAACCAAAAACTCAGTGAACCCCAAATAGGATAAATGCAAAGAAAACCACACCTAGTACATCATATTCAAACTGCTGACAATCAAAGGTAAAGAAAAAATACTGAAAGCAGCCAGAGCAAAACAACACATTACACTCCATGGAATGACGATGCAAATAATGGCTGATTTTTCATCAGTTATGACCAGGAGACAATAGAACGACATCTTTTAGGTATAGAGTGAAATGTTCTTACTTGAAAAAATTTAAAAGTTGGCAATTCTGCTTCAACCTCATAATATACTTATGAAAATATACAGGTCTATAAAAGTCTAGCAACCCAAGGAGGAAGGATTGCTTGAGGCCAGGAATTTGGGATCAGCCTGGGCAACATAGTGAGACCTCATCTCTACAAAAAAATGAAAAAAGTATGTGGGCCTGGTGAGGTGTGAGCTTGTAGTCCCAGCTACTCAGGAGGCTGAAGTGGGAGGATGACTGATTGAACCCAGGAGCTGGAGGCTGTAGTAAGCTATGATCATGCCACTGTACTCAAGCCTGGGTGACAGAGCAAGGCTCTGTCTCTAATTTAAAAAAAAAAAAAAAAAAAAAGTCCAATGACCAGTCGTTAGTATTGGTCTAGATCAATAGTCTTATAGTTGAAGAAACTGATTTCACAGATAGAAGTTAAGTGATTTGTCCAGGGTAACATAAGAGTTATTCTTAGAACCCTCATCTCCTGACTCCCAATCCACTGTTATTTACAGATAGGAAAACCTGGATCCAAATTAAGATCTCATGTTTAAAAAAAAATTCTCTAGAGCAAACCCTGACCTTGCAACTATCCTTCATGTTTTGAGTATCACCAGCACAAATCTTGTCTTCCTTGATGACTGGCTCCAGTGCTGGCAAGAAGATACCGATGGGATTGTAGAGCTGTTCACAAGCCTGGCGGTCAATAATGGGTACTTCTGCTTCCTGAAGGGCAGAATGGTAATCTCTATCTGTGGAGGAAGACAGGAACAAAAGATTAAAGCAACCTAGAAAAGTGCAGGGGCAGCATTCAGTCATGATGTGCAGAAGTCTCTGAATGGGAATCCAAAAGCAGCTTACAATGCCTTTCCAATCATATTTGCTTATGGGTGGATCTTTTGGTACACTTAAATCTAAAACTCAGTAATTCTAAATTATTTCTGCTTCTTTGAGGTTTTTTTTTAATTGAGCCATTGTTCTAAATAATGAGTACTTCCGATAAATTCTGATTGAGTAAAGGTATGACTATTCTAAAGGATTCTAAAACTTCTTCCTTTCCCATGTTTTTTGCTTCTAGATCAGTTCTTGTCTTGTGTCTACTCCAACCTGGGAAAGAGTTGACGTAAAACTTGAAAAACAGTTAAAAAACACTAGACGCTCTCCAAACTTTAAATCAGTCTTATTAACCTCTGTTTGAGAGAGGTAGTTATGTGTTTAAATTGTTAGTATCTGCTCTTCCAGCTATAGCTAGACTCTGCAAGATGCAAGAGTAAATAACATAAAAATATAAATGTCAAAAAAGATATTTTATTTAAAAACTTATAGATAATATCATTAGATTGATCTGGTTTTGTTGAAAAATATTTTCCATGGTAAGGATATGCCTAGAATATGAATGTTCTGGAGTACAAGAGGATGACATATGAAACAACCCTTCTCTCTGCCCATTCTCACCTGAACTTTCCTTAACTTTTCCCCATCCGGTCACCCAACAAAAGGGTGGAATTGCCAACTGCTTTGTGACACTGGGCAAGCAAATAGGCAGGATGGCAGAAGTGAAGGTGACTTGAGAGGACAGTTTCAACAAGGCGACGTCTGCCGTTGTATCTTGGTACTTGGGATGGATGACGATTTTGGACACGTAGTACTTCACACGTTTCCTTGAGTCACCTACTGTAATCGATCCTAGCCACACAGTATATGAAAAAGTAGTCCAGGTCCTATGGGGAAAAGAAAGGAGGCCTGCTTATGGCCTGCAGCTGGGTCAGAACAGGCTGCCTATATGTAGCACTAAGTCTCTACTCAAGAAAGGAGGGTAGCCAACTGGGAATTAACCATGGTGCTTCCAACTTCAACTAGGGTTGATTTGTCTCCTTCTTTCCTCTCTTTCTCCCCGTCCTTCCCTGACCACTCTTTCTGTGGTCTCTTCCTAGAGGCTTGTGGCTTGAGTTTTGCCCTGTGTTTTCTCTCCGGTTCTCTCATTTACCTCTCCCATTCTCCATGGTTTCAGCCATCACCTGTATGCTTAATAGACATTGCTGTTTATTGTCCATACTAATTTCTGTTCTGAGCACTAGACCTTCATTTCTGAATAAAATTTTAAAGCAAAATATAACCACAGTTACACATATACACAGTTAAAATGCCAGGTAATTTGATAAGATGTACAAAATAAATAAATAAATAAATAAATAAATAACAAGTTCTCTGCCCCACCACCCTCAGTTCAAACTATTTAGAGGCAATGACTTTCAACTCTTTTAGCTCTTAGTAATTTTCAAGTGTTTTCAAGAAATCCTATATATAGCTGTTTCTTGATTTTTCTTTTTCAGTTTTAGAATCCTGAGTTCCTAGTGTGGAAGGTGAGGATTGAGCTTTCTTACACATCGCTGTCTACCCCCCACCTCCCACTTCCATTCCACCCATCCTCCTAGCCAGTGTTATCATAACTTTTCGTTAGATCAGTATTTAATGCGTTTGTTCTTGTGACTATGTAAACATTGTTCACTACTGGGTCCTATTGGGTGATTACATTTCTTATAAAACGTTTTGCTTCTCCTGGAGTTGATAAGTGGGCTCACTTTGGTTTTTTGTTTTTATCTTTATACCCATCACCAGTCTCATTCCCCAGGCTCTCCACCAGAAGTGTAAATCTCCTCTCATTTTGTTCAAACTTGTCAGGCATTCTATCAATACTATCTTTTTTTTGGAGCCCTCTGCTCTCTTGTTCTAATCTGGGCTGCTGCACAGCCATCATCTTGGCACTTTCTTTATCCTTTATGACTTTCTTAGGGATTCTCTTCTGTGTTTTATTCCCCTTTTGTCTGGATCCTGTGTTTTCCTGTTTTTCCCCCTTTATTTTGGTGGAGCAGATTCTCCTATGGCTTCTTGAGAAAATGTGCATGAGAGGTAACATTTTTGCTGCTTTGTGTATGTGAAAATGTTTTACTTCTATCCCACATTTGATTGATAGTTTGCATATGGGTAGAATTCTAAGTTGGAAATAAATTTTTTTTAGCATTTTGAAGTTATTACTCTATTTTCTTTGAGTTTTTTTTTAAACTTAATTTTTTTTTTAGAGA
This sequence comes from Homo sapiens, assembly GCF_000001405.40. Lineage (NCBI taxonomy): Eukaryota > Metazoa > Chordata > Mammalia > Primates > Hominidae > Homo > Homo sapiens. Next base: position 217,516 of record NW_025791772.1, on the reverse strand, counting down.
CAGGGTCTCACTCTGTCGCCCAGGCTGGAATGTGTGGTACAATCATAGGTCACTGCAGCCTTGAACTCCTAGGCTCAAGTGATCCTTCTACCTCAGCCTCATGAGTAGCTGGGATTACAGGTGCAAGCTGCCACACCTGGCTTATTTTCATTGAACTTTCAGTGTTGTTATTGAAGAGTCCTGGAATTTTAATTTCTGTTGTGTATTAGTTATCAATTGTTGCATAATAAGTTATAAAGCTTAGTGGCTTAAAACAACAAATATTTATCTCATAGTTTTTATGGGTCAGGAATCAGGTGTGACTTAGTTGAGTACCATTGACTCAAGGTTTCTCATGTGGCTGCAATCAAGGTGAGCTGCAGCTGCAATCAAGGTGAGCTGCAGTCATCTTACTGGGGAGGATCTGTGTCCAAACTCACGTTGGTAGGCTTTGGGTCTTCTCGCTGTTGACTAGAGATGCGGGTTCCACATGGGCCTCTCCATAGGGACACTCACCACATGACAAGTTGCTTCTCTCACAGCAGTGGCTCTTAGAGCTCAGATTGTGTTTATGACCCAAAAACACGACAAAAATCTCCTGACTGGTATTTAGAAGGTGATTTGGCAAAAAATAAGAAAAGTCTTTAATATAGTGCCTGTCTCCAACTTTCCTTTTTCTACTTCTATGCCCTGTCTCTAGTTGTTTCGGGTTTGATAGTCTGACATGACCTGGGTTTCCTTCCGCCCTGCCTATTTTACCACTTTCATTTGTCTTTTGGTTCATTCATGAAGTGATGCAAATATTCACTGAGAACCTGTCTGTGTGTTAGCTGCCAGCTAGAACTCACGGTTGTATGCAGTGTGCTGCTGTCAGTATCAACCTCTCACTGACGAGGGAACCTCCACAGATAAAGTTGTGGTCAAAGTGTAGGCTGACCTGCCAAGGCCAGCGCCCTGCAGCAGCATCCTGGCCACCTACAACGCGGCTGGAGTATACAGGTTGCCCACACACTAGAGAAAGAGAAGAAAGGGAAATGTGGAAACCTAGGAGTCCTGTTTCTCTGGTCCCCACCTTATCATCATTCCCAAACTCCCATCTATTCCTAGGACCTGAACCCTCCCTAGACACCATACTCCATCCTATTCTGGTTCCACACCCAGCAGTCTTGGGCTCAAAATGGAGACCACTCCCCTGATTGTAGCTCTTTCTTTTTGGGAAAAGAGTGTAAGCAAGAACCTAAGGAAGAAATAGGGTATCATTAACACATAGTAACACATCTAATATCTAGATTCACTGAACAGAGAACCTTCCTTTATATTTAAATTTTCCAGATTGGTGTTAAAGGCCAAAATTTTCAAATGCCTTCTACCTATTAGTGGGAATCTTCACAAACATACTTACCTGCCTTCTTTAGCAGCACACATGGAATATCATTTAACTTAAAATTTTTTTTTTAAACCAGGGATAGTGGCTCATGCCTGTAATCCTGGTGCTTTGGGAGGATGAGGTGGGAGAACTGCTTGAGGCCTGGGCAATATAGTGAAACCAGGTCTCTAAAAAAAAAATTGAAAAAGAAAAAGATTTCCACATTTCTCTTTCTCTTCTTTCTCTAGTGTGCTGGTGACCTGTATACTCAAGACGTGTTGTAGATGGCCAAGATGCTGCTGCAGGGTGCTGGCCTTGGCAGGTCAGCCTATACTTGGGCCACAGCTTTATCTGTGGATGTTCCCTGGTCAGTGAGAGGTGGATACTGACAACAGCACACTACATACAAGTGTGAGCTCTAGCTGGTAGCTAGCACACAGACAGGTTCTCAGTGAATATTTGCATGACTACATAAATGAACCAATAGACAAATGAAAGTGGTAAGATTGACTGGGCACAGTGACTCACGCCTATAACCCCAGCACTTTGGGAGGCTGAGGTGGGTGGATTGCTCAAGTCCAGGAGTTCAAAACCAGCCTGGGCAACATGGCCAAACACCGTCTCTACAAAAAATATAAAGAAATTAGCCTGACATGATGGTGCATGCCTGTAGTCCCAGCTACTTGGGAGGCTGAAGCAGGAGGATTGCTTGAGCCCGGGAGGTGGAGGATGCGGTGAGTTTAGATCATGCCACTGCACTCCAGCCTGGGCGAGAGAGTGAGACCCTGTCTGAAAAGAAAAGGAAAAAAATGTGGTGAGATAGGCAGGGCAGAAGGAAACCCTAGGTCACATGGGACTCTCAAACTAGGGATGACCAGAGATAAGGCACAGAAGTAGAAAAAGGAATGTTGGAGACAGGTGCTATATTAGAGACTTTTCTTACTTTTCACAAATCACTTCCTAAATACTAGTCAGGGTTTTTTTTTTCTTCTTTTGGGCCACAAACACAACAGGTGTGGTTCAACCACACCTGTAGTCCCAGCTACTAGGGAGGCTGAGTGGGAGGATTGCTTGAACCCAGGAGTCTGAGGTTGCAGTGGGCTATGATTGCACCACTGCACTCTAACCTGGGTGACAGAGTGAGACTCTGTCTCTTAAAAAAAAAATGCTCTATGAAGATTCAAATTTAGCTTTTACTTGATTCAAGGTCACCATCAGGAATATGAAGTATGTTAGTTTATAAATACAATGATGCCCTCAGATGCGGTTGAGGTTGCAAGCTGTTTACTTTTGTGCTATTTGGTTTAACTGAATTGGCATTTTGCAGTATTTGTGTATCTTTCTTCTTTGCTACCTGTTAAGTTTTTTGCTCTCTCAGCATACCCTTTCTGTTTTTTGGGGGGACGGGGTCTTACTCTGTCGCTAAGGCTGGAGTGCAGTGGCGCTATCTCGGCTTACTGCAACCTCCACTTTCCAGGCTCAAGCACTTCTCCTGCCTCAGTCTATTGAGTAGCTGGGACTACAGGTGCCCGCCACCACGCCCGGCTAATTTTTGTATTTTTTGTAGAGATGGGGTTTCACCATGTTGCCCAGGCTGGTCTTGAACTCCTGATCTCAGGTGATCTGCCCGCCTTGGCATCCCAAAGTGCTGGGATTACAGGCGTGAGCTGCTGTGCCTGGCCAGTATACCCTTCCTTTAAATCCCTGTGGACCAGAAAAATAAATGAACAAGCATATACCTGAAATCATAGAATAGTGTTTGCTCTTCCAGTTCCCTCTGCTTGAGATGCTCTTTTCCTGGATCCTCTTACTTAATTTAGTTATCCCCTTCAGTTCTGCTCAAATGACTCCTTCTTAGTGAGGCCTTCTTTAACTACCCTTCTAAAGATTGCAACACTCCTGCCCCTGTACTTCAGATGCCCCTTTCCTTTCATAGTACTTATTACCTTCTAACAAGCCTTATAATTTACACATTTAATATGTGCATTGATTATAAGTCCCACGAAGATAGGGATCTTGTGGGTGTGTGTGTGTACTGCTATTTCCAATCGGGAGCATTGGAATGGTGCTGGGTATATAGTAGCCTCTCAGGACCTTCTCAGGCTGTGCTACTCATAACTAACATCCCATGGGTGAAGTGTCACATTGTTCTATGTGATGCCCTCTTTAGTAAAAATCCTCTGCCTCTGCCTTCTCAACCCCACCCTGGCGCTCACCTGAGATCCCCAGCAGAAGGAGCAGCGTGAAGGCACAGCCAGCAGGGCCCATGTCTCTGTCCTCAGAGCCAGTGAGCGCTTCCTGCTTCCTGGACTCAGGCTCCCAGGAAGAGGCCAATGGGGAGCTGCCAGAACTAGCTTCTCCTAGATGGATTCCTCTGCTTCACCCCCTCCTCTCCTTTGGTCTTCACCCGCTGCCAGATCCTGAAGGGACCAGACTTCAGAAGTGCAGCTGCAGGACCCAGGGGAGGAACTGGGGTCTGTGGCGCCCCCTGCTGTCCTGGGAGAGCAGGGTTTCTGGGGTTTCTGCCTGTGGTGTTGAGGAGTGGCTGGTTGAGGGCACTGGAAGAAACAGGACCCTGTCTCTAGCAAGGAGATAGAAGGTGGACAGGATTCTCCAAAAGCAAGAAATGGAAAAGAGGAAATGAACCCAGTATCTGGTTAATTTTTCTGAGTTTTTTTGTTTGTTTGTTTTCATTTCTGTTACAGTGTTAGCTGCACTGCAAGTCAAGTTTCCTGGGAAACAGACTCTAAGACAGAGATTTGTGTGCAGGAAATTTATTTTAGAGTGGTCTCAGGATCAGCAGCTCTTGGGTGGGTAGTAGGATTGGTTAGAGGGAGAGTTGAACTGTGATGCGTTTGCAACAGAGGCCACAGCCTATCTCACAAGTTTCTCTGGAGCTGAGGTGGCCCTCAGAGACTTTCTGTACTGAGCTAAGAAGGATGCGTTCTTAGGGGTCTGCATCATTGGATGCAGGCCACCTCCTAGGAGGGGGCATTACCTTGGGTGAGGTGGCTCTGTTGGCAGTTCTTGGAATAAGACTTAGCTGTGAACTGTCAGCAGCCAACACTCCTAGCTGCTAAGGGAATGAATGCTTCAGTTCTAAAGGGGGGTCTGGATGGTACACCACAACATCTACCTCAGAAATCTTCACTCTGCCTTTTGTTTTCTGTGCCAATTGTTTGTAGGGTGCTAGGTCTGTGGAGGCAGAATTCAATGAACTATTAAAATGTTACTGCTCTCTTGCAACTTAAAATATTGGGATGCTTGAAAGAAACATATAAGCAGTTTAAAACTAATAGGCCAGGCACGGTGGCTCATGCCTGTAATCCCAGCACTTTGGGAGGCCGAGGCGGGTGGATCACCTGAGGTCAGGAGTTTGAGACCATCCTGGCCAACATGGTGAAATCCCGTCTCTACTAAAAATACAAAAATTAGCTGGGTGTAGTGGCGTGCACCTGTAGTCACAGCTACTCGGGAGGCTGAGGCAGGAGAATCGCTTGAACCCGGGAGGCGGAGGTTGCAGTGAGCCAAGATGGCGCCACTGCACTCCAGCCTGGGCGACAGAGCGAGACTCCGTCTAAAAAAAAAAAAATAATAATAATAATAATAATAATAGAAGTGGCTGGGCGTGGTAGCTTACGCCTATTATCCCAGCACTTTGAAAGGCTGAACGGGGAGGATCCCTTGAGACCAGGAGTTTGAGATCAGCCTGGGCAATACAGTGAGACCCTATATCTACAAAAATTTAAAAATTAGCCTGGTGTAGTGATGTGCACCTGAAGTCCCCAGCTACTCGGGAGGCTGAGGCAGGAGGATCACTTGAAGTCAGTAGTTCAAGGCTACATGAGCTATGACTGTACCACTGTGCTCCAGCTTGGGCGACGGAAAGAACCTGTCTCAAATAATAATGGAAGACCAGAAAATGTAGATATTTTGGTAAGAACTATTCAGTTACAGGCAACTGAGGCTCACTTAAGCTAGCTTAAATCAAGAGGAGATTATTTTAAAGCTATTGTTTTGAGCTGAATTATGTCTCCTCAAAAATGTATCTTGAGGCTGGGCATGGTGGCTCACGCCTGTAATCCCAGCACTCTGGGAGGCCGAGGCGGGTGGGTCACGAGGTCAGGAGATCGAGACCATCCTGGCTAACACAGTGAAAACCCGTCTCTACTAAAAAATACAAAAAATTAGCCGGGTGTAGTGGCGAGTGCCTGTAGTCCCAGCCACTTGGGAGGCTGAGGCAGGAGAATGGCGTGAACCCTGGAGGCAGAGCTTGCAGTGAGCCGAGATCGCGCCACTGCACTCCAGCCTGGGCGACAGAGCAAGATTCCGTCTCAAAAAAAAAAAAACGTATCTTGAAGTCCTAACCGCACTTCCATACTTCAGAGTATGACAATATTTGGAGATAAGGTCTTTAAAGAGGTAATTATATTAAAAAGAGGTCATTAGGTTGGGTTCTAATCTCATATGAGTGATGTCCTTAGAAGAGGAAATGTCATGTACGTGACATCTATAGAGGGAGAAGACAGCTATTTACAAGCCTAGGGTGCCTGAAACAAATCCTTCCCTCATGGCCCTCAGAAAGAACCAGCCATGCTGATACCTTGATCTTGGACTTCCAGCCTCCAGAACTGTGAGGAAATAAATTTCTGTTGGTTAAGTTCGTCTAGTCTGTGGTACTTTGTTACAGCAGCCCTAGCAAACTTATGTAGATGTCTATGGAATAATAAGAACAGGATAACAGGGACACCTGGAGCTGCCATAGGACAACCCTGAAGACCAGAGCTGGAAAGGAGCTCTGGATTCATGACAGCTTAAGAGCTCATAGCAGGATCTTCTCTCTGGTTCTCTGCTATTAATATGGCTCAACCGAATTCCATGTCATTTCTTTCTGTCCTACTATAAACTGCTCAAGTTGTTCCCTATTTTCAGTTCAGACTCCCAAGACGTCTTATTTGGCACAGATTATCTTTTCTAACCAGGATATAGGTTCATGGCCATGGATTAACTGTCCTTGGGGTAAGTACCCTCATATGGGAAGGTGAGAAGATGGGGATGCAGAAATATGGCCAGCTCAGTTGCAGGGGCTATTGTGGCAGGGCAGATGCCAGGTTTGCTATATCTCAGTAAAGTAGCATAAAGATGTTTACCTCTTTAAATACATTTTAAAAGATTTTAGAAGTGAACACGTGAAAAAAATCTCTCCATTTGCTTTTTTAAGCAAACACTGCAACACCATGAATTTTTACCAAATTTATGTTTTTAAAATTCATTTGTTTTCATTTGTGTCTGCTTGATGGGGATGAAAATCTACTACTACTATTACATTTGTGATAGTTTCTGAATACATTTTTAATGGTTCTTGTTTTGTGTATCCAATTTTGTTTTTGTGGTTTATGCATTCACTCTGGTTTTCTGCTACTCACTGATTTTATCATTATACAATGACTCTTAGTATTTTTCATCTTAATTTTTTCTGAAATTAACATTACAACCGGCAGTTTTCTCCAGCTCGTTTCATTGAAGAAAAAGATTTCTTATTCATAGCACAACCATCTTTGTGAATATTCCAATTAATTTATGGTATTCACAGACAATTTTAGCTATTGAGTTAACTCACTTAATATAGTTCTTTTAAAAGGTCAGACCTCAGTTTGAGATTTGCCTTCTGATCATGTTTAGAGTAAAGGTAGCTTATTATTCATTTTGCAGAGACCTGAAAGCTTTGGACAGATCTTTCTGTTGACTTACCACAGGAGCAAAAAACTTGACCAGAGAGTCCTTTCCCTCTGAGGATTTTGTGGTTGTCCCAGGTCTTTGGACTTCTTTTTTTTTTTTTTTTTTTTTTTTTGAGATGGAGTCTCGCTCTGTCGCCCAGGCTGGAGTGCAGTGGCGTAATCTCGGCTCACTGCAACCTCCGCCTCCGAGGTTCAAGCGATTCACCTGCCTCAGCCTCCCGAGTAGCTGGGACTACAGGCGCCCACCACCACGCCCAGCTAATTTTTTGTATTTTTAGTAGAGACGGGTTTTCACCATGTTAGCCAGGATGGTCTCAAACTCCTGACCTCGTGATCCACCCGCCTCGGCCTCCCAAAGTGCTGGGATTACAGGTGTGAGCTACCGTGCCTGGCTGGACTTTTATTAATACATCACTGGACAAATCGGAAGTACTGGCTTATACCCTTTATATGTTAGTTGGATTGCTCACAGAATCTCTCCTCTCCTTTGTTTAAATGTTTTGTAAATAGATATTTCAGTTTTGGTATCTGTTAAATTTAGTTGGAAATAAACTCTACATCAGTTACTGATGTAACTAAGGCACCAGTACTTTATTTTGAAAATTGGAAGGTAAAAGGAAAGAATTAAATAGTTATCCTAGTTTTCCTGTATAAAGTGTAATTCAGAGTATCAAAATAGGTTTAGTTGGTGAGAGAAGAATTCCAACTAATAAATGTAGTTGGACCAGCAGCATTAGAAAATCACCACTTACAGCCCCTCATGTAATAATTGATTCAAGGAATGACTATCAAGTCTTTAGATGAAAAGTTGATAAGAGAGCTGAGGCTGTTACCATTTGAACCCTCTGATCACTCTTAGCATCACTAAAAGTGGGACAAGGCAGACATGTGCCTCCTGATGTTACCCCCTATGAAGTATCCTTGTTAAAAAAAAAAAAAGAAAAGTGAAACCTGAATCTCTAAAGCTACTTTCACTTGCAGCAAATATAAGGGATAAAGGAGTAAGTCAGATTACAACTTAAGGAAGTAGATAGACAAATCCAGAATGTAGGACATTTTACAAAGCAGCTGACCCAGTTACTGTTGTAAGTCCATGTTGTGAAGGTAAAAAAGGGAGAGAGACTGCTCTAGATTATGACACTTAAGAGACATAAGTGTGTTTGGATCCTGATTTAACAAACCAGTTTATTGTTAATCTTGACAGGTGTGATAATGGCATTTAGCTTTGTAAGAAAATATCTATTCCTAAAGACAAAGGTGGGACCCTCTTAACCCTTTCTAAATCTAAGCTAAAATGATGTATCATTTTGGAGAAAGTTCCTCTGGTTTTCAGCCCACAGTGCTATTCTTTCGTTTTCATGGGTATGGCTGTATTACCTTATTACCTTAAGCAAGTCATCTTTTCCCTAAGGCTTTTATTTTCCCATTGTACCATGAAGGTGCTGGAATCAGTTGATGATCTCAAAGATTAAATTATGCATTGCTTGTTTATCACCGTATTTTATCTATTTATCTTTGCCTTTTGCCTACATTATCTGTCTATAAATAGTTTCTTCCTTTTTATTCAGTAATCAAGAAACATGTTGGATCTGCCATTTTACTGCTTCACTGGCTCTTATAAGGAAGTGCCAAAGAGTTGGAAGCAAGAGAGTGGGTTCTTAATGCTCACCCCAAGGACTTTCCTGAACACAGCTCTTACAGTTTCTTCCTCTCTCATCGTGCCGTGTCTTCAGGTCTTAGATTATCTGTCCCCAGATTATTACCCTATGCCATCATTAACGTTATCTTTAAATACCTCTGCCATACACAATAAATATAATAATAATTGCTGCAAAATAGGAATAATAATATCCCACAAGATTTTCATAAGAAATGAGATATTATAGAGTTAATACTTAGCTTGGGTTTGGCCTATTTAGCATGTGATAATTAATGGCAGCTGTTATTTTTATTATTGTTGTTATTGAACTCATTTCTCAGCTTTAAGTATTTAATTCTACCCAAACAGTTTATCTTGGTGATGGCTTGGATTGATGTTGATGGTACCTATTGACCAGGGCTTCTCAACCTTGGCACTATTGACATTTTGGGCCAGATGATTCTTTGTTGTGGGGTAGCTAGCCTGTTCATTGCAGGATATTAAGCAGCATCCCTAATCTCTACCTATTAAATGCCAGTAATACCTACTACACCTAGTTGTGACAACCAAAAATATCCCCAGACATTGCCAAATGTCCCCTGGGAGAACCACTGCTGTAAAGCAAAGATGCTACTTCAAGAATTCAGTCTTCTTTTGAGCACCCTGAGGATAAAACAGGGAAAACAATAGATTTGCAAGTTTTGTAGCTTTTTATCTGTATTAACAGAAAGGGCAAATGGACACCATTGTCTGTTTTCTAATTCAACCCATCAATCAGTCTACTATATTGGAAAATGAATAGCTCTCCTTATAAAACAGTCTCCTAAAGAATATCTGAGGCCACGCATAGTGGCTCATGCCTATAATCCTAGGCCTTTGGGGGGTCAAAGTGAAAGGATTGCTTGAGCTTAGGAATTCAAGACCAGCCTGGACAACATAATGAGACCCCCATCTCTACAGAAAAATTAAAAAATTAGCCAGGCGGGGTGTTGCATGTTTGTAGTCCCAGTTACTCAGGAGGCTGAGGTGGGAGGATTGCTTGAACTTGAGAGGTTGAGACTGCAGTGGGCTATGATTGGGACACTACACTCCAGCCTGGGTGACAGAGTTGAGACCCTGTCTCAAAAAAAAGAATAATTGACTTCTCTAGTACGTGTATATCAGGCCTTGGCTTTTGCCTTTGTGTACTAAAAGGTCCAGTCTAGTTTTAGTTTTTGAACTTGGACAAGAAATTTTTTGTGAAGCTTTTGTTTCACAAATCAGTAAGTGCTAGAATTAGTCCATATACAGTCATGTGCCTCATAATGACATTTCAGACCACTTATACTAGGTTGGTTCCATAAGATTATAATGGAGCTGACAAATTCCTATTGCCTAGTGACATTAGAGCTGTAGGGCAATGCATTACTCAAGTGTTCATGGTGGTGCTGTTATAAACCTACTGACTGCCAGTTGTATAAAAGCATAACATATACAATTACATACAGTACATATGTGGCAGGCCATTCTTCTATTGCTGTAAAGAAATACCTGAGACTGAGTAATTTATAAAGAAAGAGCTTTAATTGGCTCATGGTTCTGCAGGCTGCACAGGAGGCATAGCGGCATCTGCTTCTGAGAAGGCCTCAAGAAGCTTCCAATCATGGAAGAAGGCAAAGGGTGAGCAGGCACATCACATGGTGAAAGCAAGAGAGAGAGTGGGGAGGTGCCATACACTTAATGAACAGAAGTCACACACTATTTTGAGGATAGTACCAAGAGGATGGTAATAAACCATTCAGGAGAAACTCACCCCTGTGATCCAATCACCTCCCACCAGGCCCCACCTCCAACATTGGGGATTACAATTCAACATGAGATTTGAGTGGGGTCAGCATCCAAACTATATCAACATAATACCTGATAATGATAATAAATGAGTATGTTACTTCTTTATGTATTTATTATGCTATACTTTTAATCATTATTTTACAGTGTACCCTGTCTACTTTAAAAAAAAAAAAAGTTAACTGCAAAACAGCTTTAGGCAGGTCTGTCAGGAAGTATTCTGCAAAAGGCATTGTTATCATAGTAGATGACAGCTCCATACATGTTATTGCCCCTGAACACCTTCCAGTGGGACAAGATGTGGAGGTGGAAGACAGTGATACTGATGATCCTGACCCTGTGTAGGCCTAGGCTAATGTGTGTGCTTGTGTCTTAGTTTTTTTGTTTTTGTTTTTTTTTAAAGAAAAGCTTAAAAGGTAAAAATAAAAAATTTTTAAAAAGAGAAAAAAGCATATAGAATAAGGATACAAGGAAAGAAAATATTTTTGTACAACTATACAATGTGTTTGTGTTTTAAGCTAAGTGTTATTAGGAGAGTCAAAAGTTCTTAAAAATCAAAATGTTTATAAAGTAAAAAAGTTATAGTAAGCAGAGATTAATTTATTATTAAAGAAAACTTTTAAAAATACACTTAGATGGATTAAAGACTTAAACATTAGACCCAAAACCATAAAAACCCTAGAAGAAAAGCTAGGCATTACAATTCAGGACATAGGCATGGGCAAGGACTTCATGTCTAAAATATCAAAAGCAATGGCAACAAAAGCCAAAATTGACAAATGGGATCTAACTAAACTCAAGAGCTTCTGCACAGCAAAAGAAACTACCATCAGAGTGAACAGGCAACCTACAAAATGGGAGAAAATTTTCGCAACCTACTCATCTGACAAAGGGCTAATATCCAGAATCTACAATGAACTCAAACAAATTTACAAGAAAAAAAACAAACAACCCCATCAAAAAGTGGGCAAAGGACATGAACAGACACTTTTCAAAAGAAGACATTTATGCAGCCAAAAAACACATGAAAAAATGCTCACCATCACTGGCCATCAGAGAAATGCAAATCAAAACCACAATGAGATACCATCTCACATCAGTTAGAATGGCAATCATTAGAAAGTCAGGAAACAACAGGTGCTGGAGAGGATGTGGAGAAATAGGAACACTTTTCCACTGTTGGTGGGACTGTAAACTAGTTCAACCATTGTGGAAGTCAGTATGGCAATTCCTCAGGGATCTAGAACTAGAAATACCATTTGACCCAGCCATCCCATTACTGGGTATATACCCAAAGGACTATAAACCATGCTGCTATAAAGACACATGCACACATATGTTTATTGTGGCACTATTCTCAATAGCAAAGACTTGGAACCAACCCAAATGTCCAACAATGATAGACTGGATTAAGAAAATGTGGCACATATACACCATGGAATATTATGCAGCCATAAAAAATGATGAGTTCATGTCCTTTGTAGGGACATGGATGAAATTGGAAATCATCATTCTCAGTAAACTATCGCAAGAACAAAAAACCAAACACCGCATATTCTCACTCATAGGTGGGAATTGAACAATGAGAACACATGGACACAGGAAGGGGAACATCACACTCTGGGGACTGTTGTGGGGTGGGGGGAGGGGGAGGGATAGCATTAGGAGATATACCTAATGCTAAATGACGAGTTAATGGGTGCAGCACACCAGCATGGCACATGTATACATATGTAACTAACCTGCACATTGTGCACATGTACCCTAAAACTTAAAGTATAATAATAATAAAAAAATACACTTAGTGTAGCCTAAGCGTACAGTGTTTATAAAGTCTACAGTAGTGTACTATCATGTCCTAGGCGTTCACATTCACTCACTGCTCACTCACTGACTCATCCAGAGCAACTTCTATTCCCGCAAGCTCCATTCACAGTAAGTGCCCTATATAGGTGTACCAGTTTTTATCTTTTATAATATATTTTTACTGTACCTTTTCTATGTTTAGATACATAAATACGTCCCATTGTGTTATAGTTGCCTACAGTGTTCAGTACAGTAACTTGCTGCACAGGTTTGTAGCCTATGAGCAATAGACTATAGCATGTAACCTAGGTGTGTAGTTGGCTGTATCACTGAGTTTTGTGTCATTTCACTCTACGATGTTCACACAATGACGAAATCACCTAATGACACATTTCTCAGGACGGATCTCCATCATTAAGCAACATGTCATGTACTTAGCATCTGTTATGTCAGGGCCAAGCCTTGGACAACCTTTCACAGACAATCTTCTTTCTCTTCCTGGCTGTTTGCTTTATTGACCAGTCTACAGGTTTCCCTGGACTGCACTCATCTCCTCCACAGGGACTAATCTTTCTCTGAGCACCATCCTACTTGCTTGAAACACTAATGCCCTTTAAAACCAGTCCCCCTTTACAGGGGGGACTGGTTATTTTGATCACCAACTAATGCACCTGTTCTTTTGGTCACTAACAAAATACATTTCCCTTTTTATGTTTATTCACTTCTCATACTAAAGGAATTCTTCCCTATTTTTTTGACAGCTGGCTTTCTATAGTCTATAGTTCTCATTTTGTTAATTGAAAAAAACAAGATTTGATACTTTGTTTGCAGGATACTACGTGTTGTTAGAAGGTCAAAAAGATGAATAGGACATTAGTTAATTTTCTCAAGTCTGTTTTTATCTATTCAGAAGGAAAAATAAAAGCTATGTTCACTCAAGGAACTACAAATAGAGATAAGAAGTACAAGAGGTACAAATAACTAGGGCCAAAGGGCAAGTGTTATTTTGGTGTAATGTAAGGAAAAACCTTATAGCTTTCCAACAATGAACGGAGGTAATTTGGTATAGTGGAAAGAGCCTTTTTTTTTTTCTTTGACAACAGGGTCTTGCTCTGTCGCCCAGGCTAGAGTGTAGTGGCGCAATCACAGCTCACTGTAGCCTTGACCTCCCAGGCTTAATCAATCCTCCCACCTCAGCCTCATGAGTAGCTGGGACTACAGGCACGTGCCACTATGCTAGACTAATTTATTTTATTTATTTTTTTTTTTTTTTAGAGAGAGACTGAGTCTCACCATGTTGCCCAGGATTGTTGCAAACTCCTGGCCTCAAATCATCCTTCCACCTCGGCCTCCAGAAGTGCTGGGATTACAGGCGTGAGCCACCACACCCAGCTGAAAAAGCCATATTTTTGAAGTCTGACAGCCCTGGCTAGATCTGTTAAATTAAATATTAGCTGTTTAGTCTTAGGCAGATTACTTAGCCTCTTTGAACCTCAGTTTTGTGTGTTTTTATTTCATTTGTAAACGGGGCTAAATAGTACCTTCTTGAGTTGTTAAGACAAAATAAGATAATATTTAAAGTGACCAGCATAGTACTTAACACAGAGGAGTCATAAAGTAAATATGAGTTTCTGCCATTGTTAGGAAATGAGATAGATATGTCATGTTATCCAGAGAATTCACTTAGGCAGGTCTTCCATAAGCAACATGACTTGACTCAAGTAATCTCAATCTAGTCTCTGGGTTCTTAGCTTTTTAACTTCTGGACTTCAGGCCTTGTCAGAGCACCTAGAAGAGATCAAATTCAAGGGACTGACTCACTAAACTCTGAGGCTTATGTATGAACCAGAATATTTATTCTCACTAAGGGCTATTCATTTCCATTATTCGGAATTTTCACTTTTCCCAACCAGGGCACCTCTTCTTCATATGAGTCGAGCAACTAAATGTGTTGTGGTTTAAAGAGGTTTACAATGAGAACAAATGGAGGTAGCTAATCTCCATGAGCATTTCACTTACAAAGATGAAATAGCTCATCTTTACAAAAACTGAAAGACCACTTTTCTATAACAGAACATGTTTTTCTTTAAATTTAAAGTTTATATTCATTAGACTCAGGGTCTTTCTCCCTTAACAGCTTAGAATCTGATGAACACATATAGTTAACGGACTTTTCCCTTCTTAGATTCCATGCTGACTATCCTCCGTCTTAATCCTGGTTTTCTTCAACCAGTGCATAATACTGTTGATTAGATTTAAACTTTCATCGGTACGATCTCATTCCTAGTACGTTGCCTTAAGATTATACCCAAGTCTCCAAGATTACCTTCTTCCTAAAACATGAGGTGTGTATTTACTAAAATCTTTTAGGTTTGTCCTACATGTAACTATCTCATCCATTATGTGTGTTATTTTACTTGTTAACTTTCAGTTTTAGATGATTCTTGTGGGCAAGGGGTGGGCAATACTGTGTAGTGAAAATAGTTCCCATTCCCTCATTCCCAACAATGAATAATTTTCCAAAGCTGCTGTAATAAGTATAAGGGGGCCAGGCGCTGTGGCTCACACCTGTAATCCCAGTACTTTGGAAGGCTGAGGCGGGTGGATCGCTTGAGGTCAGGAGTTCATTACCAACCTGGGCAAGGGCAACATGGAGAAACCCCATGTCTCTACAAAAAATATAAAAATTAGCTGGGTGTGGTGGTGCACACTTGTAATCCTAGCTACTCCGGAGGCTGAGGCATGAGAATTGCTTGAACCTGGGAGGTGGAGGTTGCAGTGAGCTGAGATTGTGCCACTATACTCCAGCCTGGGTGACACAGCAAGACTCTGTCTTTAAAAAAAAAAAAAAAAAAAAAAAAGAAAAGAAATAAAATAAATATAAGGATTAATTGATCATTCTATTAAAAAGCAAACTTATGCCTTGAGCTTGGAGTAGTATCGGATAATTTGTAAAGTGCCTTCCAACTGTTATATTTTGTGATTTTATAACCTCCTTTTATCTCCTTCTATTTTTTGGCTCCACTATCTAGATCCATCATCTTCTCTCACATTCTATCCTCTTTTTTTTTTTTTCAACTGATTTAGCATCCCACATGTGTAGTGAGTTTACCTTTTCTTTTGCTGAAGCATTTTCCACAGTGTCAAGTATGCCTTGTTTGAAATTCTGTGGTGTTGTCATCTGCAAAAATTCTAACAAGATGTTACTGACATAAACAGTATGCCTTTGAGAATAAATTGTAATCATTCTTTATCCTGCTTATAATTTGATAATTTTTGCATTTGGGAATTTGTTTTTTTCTGAATTCTTTTTTTATATGTATGGAAAGCTTTTTAATGGCCCACATTTAATTAATTTATTATTATGTAATTACCTTTTGTGATTATTTATGAAAATTATCATTTTTAAACAATGATTTTATTAGCATTCAATTAGAATGAGGAATATTCACTTTGCAGTTGTTCATTCCACTGTCTTGCCAAAACTCCTTCCTTATTTTTTATTCTTTATTCATCAAGTAATGTAGAGCATTGTGTCTATTATTGTATTTTAATCCGCATCCTATGAAATCCAACTCAGCTCTGGTCAGCATCAGATCCCATGTTTTTAACCATTCTTTGTATATCAGAAAAAAAGGAAAAAAAGAAAATAAGGCAGCATATTTTTCATATGAAACATGTTCTTAGACTACTCTGATTGTCTACAGGATGTTACATTTTGGAAATATCTCTAGTAAACACCTTCATTAACACCAACACACCTGAGAACACAACTATAAAATTTAATCCATGACTACTAAACACAGTCAGCCTTAGCTTCTCAGGCTCTCATTCCAGACTCTTCCTGTACTCTCTGTTTGTGAAGACAGCCTTCAAGATGGCCTCCAATGATCTTCAGCTCCTGATATTCACACCTTGTTGACTTACTACTAAAGAATAGAATACTATAAGAAATAATGAGATGTTAGGGTTTTTTTTTTGTTTGGTTTTTTTTTTTTTTTTTGAGACAGAGTCTCACTCTGTTGCCCAGGCTGGAGAGCAGTGACGGGATGTTGGCTCACCCCCAGCTCCCAGGTTCAAGCGATTCTCCCCCTACCTCAGCCTCCCGGGTGGCTGGGATTACAGGCGCCCACCACCATGCCCGGCTAATTTTTGTATTTTTAATAGAGACAACGTTTCACCATGTTGGCCAGGCTGGTCTTGAACTCCTGACCTCAGGTGATCTGCCCACCTCAGCCTCCCAAAGCTGGGATTACAGACGTGAGTGAGCCACTACACCCAGCTGAGTTGTCAGTTTTGAGATTAGGTTATAAAAAGACTGTGGCTGGCCAGGCATGGTTGCCCATGCCTGTAATCTCAGTACTTTGGGAGACGAAGGCAGGAGGATCACTTGAGCTCAGGAGTTCAAGACCACCCTGGGCAACATGACAAGACTTTGTCTCCACAAAAATTTTAAAATAGCTCAGAGTGGTGGTGTGTACCTGTGGTCTCAGCTACTCAGGAGGCTGAAGTGGGGAGGATCACTTGAGCCCAGGTGGTCGAGGCTGCAGTGAGCTGTGTTTATACCACCACACTCCAGCCTGGGCCGCAGAGTGAGACTTTGTCCAAAACAACAACAACAACAACAACAACAACAACAAAAACTGTAGCTTCCATTTTGGGTGTTCTCTATTGCTCTGTCTTGGATCATTCACTCTGGGAGAAGCCAGCTGCCAAAGGCATTCCTTCAGCGAGGCCCACATGAATGGTAACAGGCACATGAGTGAGCTTGGAAGCTGATCCTTTCCTAGTTGAGCCTTGATGACTGCAGCTGTGGCTGACACAGCAGTAGCTTTTTGAAAGATCCTAAACCATAACTAACCAGCTAAGTCTTCCAGATAACTGTCCTGCAGAAACTATGAGATAATAAATGTTCATTGTTTTAGCTACTGAGTGTTGGGGTTATTTGTTGTACTGCAATAGATAACTAATATACTGCCGGGGCTCCTCCTCCGGCCTGGCCCGTTTTATCTGAAATCTTCTAATCTTCCAAGTCCCTACTTTTTCCTCAGAATCCAGTCTAATCCCAGGGTTGGATGGTTTTCATCTTGGATTAAGTAAGTGGCAAACTAACCTCTGGACCCCAGCATCTTCACCTATAGAATGTGTTGGGCTAAGTGATGTCCAGATTCCTTTAACCCTCAAGTTCTCTGCTTCTGCACTTCCCCAGGCTCTGTCTTCAATTTCATCAAAAGAATGAATATAAGAACTAATTTGTTAGAATCAACCAAATTTTATTCACTCTGGGGATCTTGTTTACTAGGCTGACTTGTGCGGGGGAAAGGCAACAAGCAAATTAGGCTTATGGGACAGCAGAACTGCGTCTGTCTTGCTGACTCTTCAAAATCTGTCTTCAGAATCCTCAACTCTGGAATTTCCTTTTTCTCTCATTCTCAACTGTCACTTTACCCAGGGCATACTGACCTCAGCCAGTTAAGGTGGCCTCAGGAAAATCAGAGGCAGAAGCATAATAGGCAGGAGCCCAGAGAGGCCCAGACTGAGGGTAGCAGAAAACTCAGCAAGCGAGATGGGAGACTTCTCAATCCAAGACTTGTAGAAATGGATGTTTGTGTATATTCCAGGCCCACTGGTTTGGATGCAGTTTGATCCCTGGCTTACCACTCCTGCCAGGACCTAGAAATCTTCAACTTGACACATCACGGGATCTCATCTACTGCCCAGAGAGAGAGAGAGAGAGAGAGAGAGAGAGAGAGAAGAATGTTGGCTAGACAGTACATAGAGCAAAGGGAAGGAGGTGAAACTCTTCAACAGTTTAGCCAAGAACTGTACAGTTAGGCCTGTCCAGACACTCCTGGGTTCACCCAGGGTCTCTGAAGATATGAGAAGTGGAGGAAGCACACTGGGGAAGGCAAGGCCTGTGAAAGGTGCCTGAGGGGTGGATTCTTACAGTACACTGATCCATCTGCCCCACTGGGAGCTTGGAGCAGATCATAGCTTCACTGATGATGAGCTCAACTCCGTGCAGCAAGATTTCATTTTGATAGTGGTCACCGCATGTCTGGAGATCAATGAGGGGCACTTTCAGCTCCTTCAGTGTATAAGAACGCTTGATATCTGTAGGGCCAAAAAGAGTCAAAGCTGTCTTAATTAAAAAGTGACTTCTGGCCATGGATACAGATTTTGTGCCTTTGATTTTCAGATAAAGCTCTAATTTCAAATATTCTGCCCCATGTTAGATAGCATCCTGATTTCTGGTTTGGGAAACAACCTAAAGGCTGAGCTCCCTGGCGCTGAACAAGACCGTGGGCAGTTGGCTCCTGTTCACATAGCACAAATTAGTAACAGAAAAATCTTGTAATTTAGGAAAACCCAAAACAGAATGCGGATTTAAGTTGTCTTCAGAATATGTATTTATTTTTCTATAGAAATAAGGGGTAGATCTAGTAAGAAGAATTACCCAGAAATGAAGCTGTACTCTCCTAGCTAGTTTGAGTCAGGAACTTTTGCTGAGTGTCCTTACTTTCCTGAACACATCTTCATGTCTCCTTCCCCTATCCACCTACCCACACACACTCCACCCAGGTATGGAGGGAAAACTATATTACTTCTCAGACTGAACAGAACTATCCTATCTCTAAATTCATTACTCTGTCCTTTTTACTTTTAAGGTCTCAGCACTATTGCTAAACAAGAACAAAAGCAGGTATCAATAAGCAAAGAGATTATAGCAGAAGAAATATGAAAGAGGCAAAGGGTCACAGAGAATTTGAAGTCTGAAGCACCTCAGATTACTGTAGTATATCTGGTGCTCTAGGGCTAGGATAGAGAGCAGGCAGAGAGAATGTCAGTCGAAGAAGTTAGAACACAGAAAATCAATGTATCCTCACATTGGAATATTCCAGTATAGCCCCATCCAGTCACCCAGCAGGAGGTTGTATTCTTCTTCAGGTAGACTTCAGATGAGGGAAGGCAGATGAGCAGGACAACAGGGCTAACAGAAACTGGGGAGGGCAGTTCTACCACAGCGATGGCACTAGATGTGTTTGCTTGGAAATCAGGGTGGGGGGATAATCTGGGACACAGGTATTATCGTCATTTTGGAGTCTGCACAACCAAAGATCTGAGCCCACCAATACACTGTATTTCCTGGCATCCTTAGACCTGAGAAGAGAAGCAGAAGAGATACCGTGGGTTTCTTGTGACTCTGCCCTGGGTCATCATAGCAGAGCCCATTGTTCTGGATATGGCATTTTTCCTCTAGTTCTTCTGAGGCTTTCATTCCTTCAAAAAGTATTGAGCATCTCCTGGTAGTATAAATGAAATTAAAATAGATACAATCTGGCCGTCACAGGGCTATAATTTTAAGGGGTGTGTAGGGGTGTGTGTGTGTGTTGGGGCAGGGAGAGAGAGACAAGCAACAAACAAGTACAAAATTTAAAATTGTGATAAATGTTATGAAGAAAACACACAATTTTAAAGTAGAGAGTAAAGGAAGCGGGGAGAGTCTTTATTGGATGGTCAGGAAAGGTCTTGTTGAGGTAACTTTTCAACTGAGTCCCAAAAGGAAGAAGTCAGCCTTAAGATCGATAAAAGCATTCCAGACAGGGAATAGAGTATGCAAGGCCTTGAGGGTGAGAAAGAGCTTGGCAGTCTCCAGGAACTGAAAGAAAAGCTGGAGAATAGGATGAGGTTGGAAAAGTGGGCAGACACCTGGTGATTCATGGCTTGTAGGCCACAATGTGTCATTTGGGTTTTATTATAGGTGCCTGGGCAACCGCTGGGGGATTCAAAGCAGGGAGTGATGTTATCTCACCTCTAACTTTAAAAAGTCATTTTTTGGTGTGTATTGAAGGTAGTAAAACCTATTATACTATTGCAAAGGTCCAGGGGTAGCTATGTTAGAGTCAAAGTATATTTTGGAAGTAAAACTGACAAGAATGGTATATGCATTGCATGTGGAAGGTGAGGGAAAGTGAGATACAATATTTGTCTTGAGTAACTGGTTACATTGGTGAATGAAATGGGGAAGGCAGAGAGAGAAAAAGATTGGGGGACAGTGATGGTGGTAAAATTACCTTTTCTGACCATGTTACCCTTGAGATGCCAAATAGAAGTGCATCAGGACTAGTGTTTGGGGCTAGAGATGCAAGTGCGAGTGTTATCAGCAAATATATGACATTTAAACCAAGGGAAATGGAAGAGGGTGGATAATGAGAAATTACTTAATGGGTACAATGTACATTATTTGGGTGATGGATACCTTAAGAGCTCTGACATCACTGCTATGCAGTCTAGGCATATAACAGAAATTATACTTGTACTCCATAAATGCATACAAATAAAATAAAAATATTTTAAAATAAGAGGCAAGTGTAAGCACACTTTCTTTCAAAAAGGAAAAAAACAAAGATGGATGAGTTAACTTAGGGGTAGTGAAGAAGGCTCAGGATTGTGCCTCTGAAGAGTGGTATGAGGTGTAGGCATGCTGCTGTAAGGGAAGGAGCCCTTCCTGGGGGATGTCTCCTGGGTAGAGGCTTCGAATTGAGGAATGGGGTGGGAGAATGTAACTATTTTTAGGTAGTCATTTCAATCAAGATAATGTTAAATTTGAAGAAGCCTGAAGTCTGAGAGTAGTTGCACTGAACTGAGAGCTAGAGTAGGAAGTATTTGAACCCATTAATAACGCACAACATAGTGTATTGGGCAGTGCACGATAAGCCCCACCCCGGCCTCTCAGGCGGTGCAGTCACCCAGGTGCCCTGATGGGTCTCCACACAGCAGGGCCAGCACTCACGGGAAGCAGATCGCCACTGTCAGCACCCACTCCTCTGAGATGAGGGTATCTGAGCAGACGTGAATCAAGCCCTGGCGGATGCTGACCTGCCAGGGCCACTGCCCCACACTAGCCCCCCAGCCTGAGGCAATACCAGATGAGACTGTGGGCCGCCCACAGACTGCCAACAAAGGGCAAGAAGACTTGGAGGGATGCAGCCTGGAATCCTGCCCCTCCACCCTCACCCCTCCATGGTCATTTCCCAAACTCAGGTCCTCTTTCCTCCTTACACAGATTCCCTTCCCTCAGTCCATCCAGGCATGCTGCCTCTGCCTGAAGTGTCTTACTTGACTTCAAGAGATTCTCTGGTTCATCCTCATTTGTCAGTTTTGGAAGTAAAACTGACAAGAATGGTATGTGCATTGGATGTGGAAGGTGAGGGGAAGTGAGGTACAATATTTGTCTTGAGTAACTGGTTATATTGTTGAATGAAATGGGGAAGACAGAGTGAGACAAGGTCTCACTCTGTTACCTGGGCTAGAAGTACAGTGGGATGATTATAGCATACTGCAGCCTAGACCTCCTAGTGGGAGAATGGGGAATATGGGAGGCACTCTTGATGGATTCTTGCTGCTACAGAGGGTCCTCACCCATGCCCTGTGCAGCCTTTCCTAGTCTGAAGCCCCTGTCCCTACCTAGGGCTTACCCCATTCTGGGGGCTCACCCGAAATCCCCAGCAGAAGGAGCAGCGTGAATGCATAGCCAGCAGTGCCCGTGTCTCTGTCCTGAGGGCCAGCACTCCCTGCCCCTGGACTCAGGATCCCAGGGAGAGGCCAGTGGGGAACACCCAGAGAAGGGGGAGCAGAACCATCTCCTCCTAGATGGACTCCTCTGCTTCACCCCCTCCTCTCCTTTGGTCTTCACCCCCTGCCAGATCCTGAAGGGACCAGACTTCAGAAGTGCAGCTCCAGGACCCAAGGGAGGAATTGGGGGGTCTGCGGCGTCCCCTGCTGTCCTGGGAGAGCAGGGTGTCTGGGATTCAGCCTGAGGGTGGGTGATGGGAGGTAAGAAAAAGGGAAGGTTGGAGGTGGGCATTGGAAGGAGCAGGGCTCGCTCAGTGCTTAGTGACCCTGGTGTTGAACAAGTCTAAGTTCACACACTTCCCTCTGCCTAAACTGCCACATCTCAGGGACCTGCCCTGGTGTGCCCATTTAATTCTCCCCTGACCAAAGGTGAACCAATGGAGGGCAGATCCCTGATTTGGGATCTCAAATGGCTGTGCAGACTGGCCACCCTAGGTCCTTGGCCTCTAGAATGGTTCTGACAGGACTGACAGGAGAAAATAAAGGGGAAATAAACCAGTCAGTTTTCTGACCAGTGTTTTCTCTCTTTCCCTTTGTGCCTCAATCATTACCTGCTCTTAGCCTTCCTTAGGTAGCAAATATGTATTAGGTCTGCGTTGTGTTAAGGATATTGTGTTAAATGTGGAACAGGATCTATAGGGAACTGCCTGCCTTCAAGGAGTTTACATCTAGTGGGAGAGAGGTGGAATAAGGAAGTAACTCAGGAGGTTTTTACTTATAATTTATATCCTGTTCATTTGAAAAGGGGGACAAGGGACTATGGAAACTAAACAAGGGACTGTGACATGGGACTATTGACAGAGCATTTGTATGTGTGGCACAGACTATTCAGCCTCATTCCTGGCTCTCCCAAGGACTGGCTTTGTTGGTTGCTTTTTTTATTTTTAGACAGACTCTCACTCTCTTACCTAGGCTAGAAGTACAGTGGCATGATCGTAGCATACTGCAGCCTAGACCTCCCAGGCTCAAGCGATCCTCCCTCCTCAGTCTCTGGAGTAGCTGGGACTACAGGCATGCGCCACCACACCTGGCTAATTTTTTGTAGAGATAGGGTCGTGATATGTTGCCCAGGCTGTTCTCAAACTCCAGGACTCAAGCAATCCTCCCTCCCCAGGCTCCCAAAGCATTAGGATTACAGCCTTGAGCCACCGCACCCAGCCACGGTTACTATTTTTAATAGCATGATGATGATGATGATGATGATTAATAACATAATAATGATGATGAAGAAGAAGAAGAAATAGTTGTTGAGACCCTTTAATATTCCAGGCCCAGTGCCTGGCACAGGAGGGCATCATGTGTACAGTAAAAATGAACAGAGTTAGAAGGGCCATAGAAAAAACTGGGGAAGATTATACTTCCAAAAATCAAGGCTGGGATTATTATAATTATTACAATTGAGTTATCTCCTGGGCATGGTGACTCACTCCTGTAATCCCAGAACTTTGGGAGGCTAAGGCGGGTGGATCACCTGAGGTCAGGAGTTCGAGACTAGCCTGGCCAACATAGTGAAACCCCGTCTCTACTAAAAATACAAAAATTAGCCGGGCATGGTGACACGTGCCTGTAGTCCCAGCTACTTGGGAGGCTGAGGCAGGAGAACTGCTTGAACCCGGGAGGTAGAGGTTGCAGTGAGCCAAGATCATGCCATTGTACTCCAGCCTGGAAAACAGAGCAAGACTTCATCTCAAAAAATAAATAAACAAACAAACAAATAAATAAATAAATAAGAAGAAAAGAAATTAACTAGATTAGGCCAGGAAGGCTCTGTGACTCATGCCTGTAATCTCAACCCAAGGCTGAGGCAGGCAGATCACTTGAAGCCACGAATTCGAGACCAACCTAGCCAAAATGGCAAAAACCCTGTCTCTACTAAGAAAACAAAAATTAGCCAGGGATGGTGGCACATGCCTGTAATCCCAGCTACTTGGGAGGCTGAGGCAGGAGAATCGCTTGAACCCAGGAGGTAGAGGTTGCAGTGAGCTGAGATCAGCACCACTACACTCCAGCCTGGGCAATAGAGCAAGACTCTCTATCAAAATAATAATAATAATAATTAACTTGAAGCTTTCTAGAGGCCAAGCCAAAAAAAAAAAAAAACAACAAAACAAAAGTGTACCATACACCTTATATCATCAGATAATAAGAACAATACTCTTTAGTCAGGAGAAAATTTTTCCCCATTGTAAAAAGCACATTGGTTAACATAATATGCAGTTCTATAGGGGACTGAGAAACATTCCTCATTTTTTATATTGTCTCTCAATGAATGCGAACACCATCATTTTGAATCATGATTAAGGCATTTCTGTGAAGAGTGAAACTAATTTAATTGAAGTATTTATATTTATTGTTATGTAACTTGAAACAAAAGTGGAACCTAATAGAAGATGTCTCTTTCCTCTTTCAAATACTTCTGCTTCCAGCTGTGCTTTGGCAAGGCCCATGTTCTCTCAATGGCCTTTGGACTTTCTCGACATTTTACATAAACAGGAATCTGACTTGTATTTCTGCACCTGTGGGAAGGATAGTTCCAGAGCCAAAAGTATCAAAGATCTCAAGATGACAAGTCTCATATCCCCCTATTTAGAAGAGAATGGATAAGGCCTCAGGACAGAAAACAAAAATAATATTGGCCATAATGCCCAGAAGTTGATATGATATTAAAGTATACAATTTATATATAGACAATTACAAACTCTAGAGGGAGAAAGACAGTTTAAAATCTTTATTATAATTCAAGGCTCTCCCTCTCCCTCTCCCTCTCCCTCTCCCTCTCCCCCTCTCTTTCCACGGTCTCCCTCTCATGCTGAGCCAAAGCTGGACTGTACTGCTGCCATCTCAGCTCACTGCAACCTCCCTGCCTGATTCTCCTGACAGCCTGCCGAATGCCTGCGATTGCAGGCTCGCACCGCCACGCCTGACTGGTTTTGGTGGAGACGGTGTTTCGCTGTGTTGGCCAGGCCGGTCTCCAGCCCCTAACCGCAAGTGATCCGCCAGCCTCGGCCTCCCGAGGTGCCTGGATTGCAGACGGAGTCTCGTTCACTCAGTGCTCAATGGTGCCCAGGCTGGAGTGCAGTGGCGTGATCTCGGCTGGCTACAACCTCCACCTCCCAGCCGCCTGCCTTGGCCTCCCAAAGTGCCGAGATTGCAGCCTCTGCCCGGCCGCCACCCCGTCTGGGAAGTGAGGAGCGTCTCTGCCTGGCCGCCCATCGTCTGGGATGTGAGGAGCCCCTCTGCCTGGCTGCCCAGTCTGGAAAGTGAGGAGCGTCTCCGCCCGGCCGCCATCTCACCTAGGAAGTGAGAAGCACCTCTTCCCGGCCGCCATCACATCTAGGAAGTGAGGAGCGTCTCTGCCCGGCCGCCCATCCTCTGAGATGTGGGGAGTGCCTCTGCCCCGCTGCCCCGTCTGGGATGTGAGGAGCACCTCTGCCCGGCCGCGACCCTGTCTGGGAGGTGAGGAGCATCTCTGCCCGGCCGCCCCGTCTGAGAAGTGAGGAGACCCTCTGCCCGGCAACCGCCCCGTCTGAGAAGTGAGGAGCCCCTCCGCCCGGCAGCCGCCCCGTCTGAGAAGTGAGGAGCCTCTCCGCCCGGCAGCCACCCCATCTGGGAAGTGAGGAGCGTCTCCGCCCGGCAGCCACCCCGTCTGGGAGGGAGGTGGGGGGGGTCAGCCCCCCGCCAGGCCAGCCGCCCCATCCGGGAGGGAGGTGGGGGTCAGCCCCCCGCCCGGCCAGCCGCCCCGTCCGGGAGGTGAGGGGCGCCTCTGCCCGGCCGCCCCTACTGGGAAGTGAGGAGCCCCTCTGCCCAGCCAGCCGCCCCATCCGGGAGGGAGGTGGGGGCGTCAGCCCCCCGCCTGGCCAGCCGCCCCTCCCGGGAGGTGAGGGGCGCCTCTGCCCGGCCGCCCCTACTGGGAAGTGAGGAGCCCTCTGCCCGGCCACCACCCCGTCTGGGAGGTGTGCCCAACAGCTCATTGAGAACGGGCCAGGATGACAATGGCGGCTTTGTGGAATAGAAAGGCGGGAAAGGTGGGGAAAAGATTGAGAAATCGGATGGTTGCCGTGTCTGTGTAGAAAGAAGTAGACATGGGAGACTTTTCATTTTGTTCTGTACTAAGAAAACTTCTTCTGCCTTGGGATCCTGTTGATCTGTGACCTTACCCCCAACCCTGTGCTCTCTGAAACATGTGCTGTGTCCACTCAGGGTTAAATGGATTAAGGGCGGTGCAAGATGTGCTTTGTTAAACAGATGCTTGAAGGCAGCATGCTCCTTAAGAGTCATCACCACTCCCTAATCTCAAGTACCCAGGGACACAAACACTGCGGAAGGCCACAGGGTCCTCTGCCTAGGAAAACCAGAGACCTTTGTTCACTTGTTTATCTGCTGACCTTCCCTCCACTATTGTCCTATGACCCTGCCAAATCCCCCTCTGTGAGAAACACCCAAGAATTATCAATAAAAAATAAATAAATTTAAAAAATAAATAAATAAATAAATAAAAATAAAAAAAATAATAATTCAAGGTATCCTTTTGGTTTACAAAGTGACTAAATCTTCTAAGCATAAACTATTGTCTAAAAATTTTAAAGTAATTCTAAATAGTTTAACATATGTGATCAGTTACAGAAGCCTGATAGTGTTTTACATTTGCCTGACATTTTCATTCACACAGAGGGTAACGCATGTTTTCATTCCCTTTATAGATGAGGAAACTGAGGCCCTTGGAGGTTAAATGGCTTAACTAATTATACTGTGCAATAACAAAGCTGGGCGTCACTTCTATTTTCTTGTCTGTAATCATACTCAAACCCAGATCTTCTAAGTCATCATCTAGTTATCTTGCTACAGCAGCCTCCCAAGTCCAGGAAACCTCATTTGTTTGTCCAGCAATCATTTATTCAATACCCACGCCAGGGACCGTTTTCTAGAATAGAGGTATGAAAACATAGAAAAAGCCTCTGTCCTCGTAGAGGTTGTATTGTAGTTGTAAGTCAGAACATGACAAGTGCTTTTTTGTTGTTGTTGTTGTTGTTGTTTTCTTGTTTTTTTTTTTTTTTGAGACGGAGTCTCGCTCTGTCGCCCAGGCTGGAGTGCAGTGGTGCGATTTCGGCTTACTGCAAGCTCCGCTTCCCCGGTTCACACCATTCTCCTGCGTCAGCCTCCTGAGTAGCTGAGACTACAGGCACCTGCCACCACACCCAGCTAATTTTTTGTATTTTTAGTTAGAGACAGGGTTTCACTGTGTTAGCCAGGGTGGTCTCAATCTCCTGACCTCGTGATCCGCCCGCCTAGGCCTCCCGAAGTGCTGGGATTACAGGCGTGAGCCACTGTGCCCGGCCAACAAGTGCTTTGTTTAATAACAGGCTTAGATACTTAGGGATGCTGGAGTGGGGCATAACTTTTAAATAGGGTGGTCAGACAAGGCATCACTGAGGTGATTTCTGAGCAGAGACCTGAGAGGTAAGAGAGGAAATGAGCCAGGTGGATAACTGAGGGAAGAGGGGTTGAAGCATGGAGAACAGCAGTACAAAGTCCCTGAGGCAGGGGTGTGCTTGGAACGTTTAGGAAACACTATGGCCAGAGCAGAGTGAGGGGCTCCAGCGGTGAGAAATAAGGTCACACAGGGATTGGAGGCCAAATGATGTAGGCTCTTGCAGGCTATTGTGAGGACTTCGGTTTTTATTCTTAGTAGTATGGGAAGATAGTTGATCTGACTTAAATTTTAAATGAATCAAACTGGCAAGTAGATTGATAATGGTCAGGGATAAAAGCAGGGAAACCAGGCAGAAAACTATTGCAGTGAACTGGGCAGGAGGTGATGGTGGATTTGGACCAGGGATATAGAGAAGTGGTAAGAAGTGGCAGATTCCAGTTGCATTGTGAAGGTAGAACACACAGGACTTGCTGATAGATTGGATGTGGTTGTGAGAAGAAGACAGGAGCCAAGGATGACTCCATTTGGCCTGAGCCATTGGAAGAGTGGAAGTACTGTTTACTGAAATGGGGCACAGTGTAGGAGGAGAAGGTTTCTGGAGGGTAGATGAAGAGTTCATTTGTAGGCATAAGTTTAAGATGCTTGATCGATGTCTAGCTGGAGATGTCCAGTAGGCAGTTGAATATATAAATCTGGAATTTGGAGACTTGGCCCAAACTAGGGCTAGATTAGGGTGTCATCAGCATGTCATAGTATTTAAAGCCATGAGATGAGATTAGGTCCCCTATGGAGTGAGTATAAATAAAGCCCACTGTGAATGCTAAGGATTGAGCCCACCTAAGTTTCATGAGATGAATAAGAACCAATAAGAGACTGAGAGGATAGTGGTGAGGTAGGCTGAGAACTGAGAGTAGTATCCTGGAAGCTGAGAAGAGAAAGTGTATCAAGGAGGAAAGTGATAGGCTGCCAAATGCTGCAAATGGCTGAGAACTGACCATCAGATTTAGCATCATGGAACAGGCTCAAGAGAGAATAAAAGGGGAGTACTTTGAGATAGAAAAAGTAGTTTTGCTGTAAAGGGAACAGAGAAACAGCTGGCAGAAGAGGCTGGGTGGCACAGTCTTTTGTTCTTGTTGTTTTAAGATGAGAGAAATTACATCCTGTTTGTGTGCTAATGGAATTATCCAGCAAAGAGGAGGAAATTGATGACACAGAAGAGAAAGCAAATAGTGCTGCAATGGTGTCCTTGAGCAGGGGACAGATCCCAGCTCACCAATTGGAAGGTGAGAATGCTTAGATTGGAACACAGACGGATTTTCCTACACAGGAACAAAGGCAATGGGCACAGATGCCACTTGGCAGCAGGTGTGGTGGTGGAATTCCTCTGCTTATTGTTTCTGTTTCCTCAGTGAAGCATAGAAATTATCCATTGAGAAAGAGGATGGGAATGGAGGTATTGAGGACTTATGGAGAAGTGTGCTAGTCATGTAGCAGTGAGGGAGATGAATGAACTAAGAAAATAATAGTGTGACTGCGGGGCAGCTGAAAGGATCCACTTGAATTAAGTGAAATTGGCATAGTTGTGTGTTCACCAGTGCTGCTCAGCAACATGGGTAGAGGCATGGAGAGAGCAGAGAGTTGGCTGCAAGCAGGGTGAGGTTTTCAGAGGAAGGTATGAAGAAGGGTGGACAGGGGAGTGATTATAATGAGAAATCACTAACTTAAGCTGGAAAGGAGGAAAGTAAGCAATGAAGGGGGTGTAGAGAGTAAAGCGAGATAAAGTCAGTAGATTATAAATCCTGATGGAGTAGAAAATTATTGGAATTGGCCTTCTTGCTGTAAGGAGTTCAAGAAAGAACAAATGGGCCATGTGCAGTGGCTCACACCTGTAATCCCAGCACTTTGGGAGTCCAAGGCTGGTGGATTGCTTGTGATCAGGAGTTCGAGACCAGCCTGACCAACATGGTGAAACCCCTGCCTCTACTAAAAATACAAAAATTAGCTGGGCATGGTGGTATGCGCCTGTAATCCCAGCTATTTGGGAGGCTGAGGCAGGAGAATCCCTTGAACCCTGGAGGCAGAGGTTGCAGTGAGCCAAGATCACACCATTGTACTCCAGCCTGGGTGATAGAGCAAGACTCCGTCTCAGGAAAAAAAAAAAAAAAGGAAAAAAAGAAAAAGAAAGAACAAATGGGTTGGCAAGGTGGGATGCTTAAAAATGAGATTCTGGAAAGGGTGCAGGTATTGGTTATAACAAGGTCAGGAAGACCATGGAAGTAGTGCCTAAGGTCTGGTGAAAAATCATTTAATCCTAAAGGCAGATTATGATGAAAAGGCAGTGAATGGAGGAGGGATAGGTGAGGGCTTCTCAGGAGTATTCTGGGGTCTGTGCCCTCCCTCCCTGCCAGAGCCCGTGAAACTTGAGACTGGAATGGATCCATCGGCCAACAGTCTTTGTTGACTGATCCTCAGCTAACGACGTATCCAGCCAAACTGTGCTCCTTTTTGGGCCGCAGGTTTCCATTTGGTTCACAAAAGCATGCTGGGAGACTTTGTGTTAGGAATTGTGTACTGACAACCAAAGCAGAATGCTCTTTATCTCCAGCAGACTGATGGAAAGAAATCTGAGAATTAATAGCTGTTATTAAAATATTAATAGGTTTGACTCCTCTTCTTCTGGTGCCTGCTGGGCATAATATATGGTTGGGTTTTTTCTTTACAATTACTAAAAAAATTTCAACACCAGAGAAATGTATAAGGTAAAATAGAAAGTTTTCTTCCTTATTGTCTCCACTTCTAGCACCTGATGGGTTGTTTGTGAGCATCATTCCAGATCTCTCTCTCTCTCTCTTTCTTGTCTTGCTGTATATCCATATATATTTGTGTGGGGTCCATATACACATGTCTGTATATAATATATATACACACACATATATATAAATATGTATATATTTTCATCACAGGAAAACATGAGAATATTCTATATATCATTCTACATGCAACTTAACTTTTTTCAAAGTCCTTCCATGCCACTATGTACCGACCTGATTACTGTTCTTTAAAATAGCTGCATAACATTCCACATACAGAAGTAACCTAACATTAAAATCATGCCTGTGTTGATGGACACTTAGATTTTCTTTATTTTTTGCTGTTATAAATTATGCTTCAGTATATATATTCTTTACCCCTCTTTTTGAGTACTTGTGCAATTGTTTGATGTGGAAGTATTAAAGAAAAGACAATCTGCATTTAAAAATTTGACCTCTATTGCCACATTATCCTCCAAAGAGATGGCACCAATTCACAGTGATGGAGAACATCCCTTTTCCCATGTGCTCATTCACACTGATTATCTCTTCCCCCAGTCCCTACATTTTGGCCAGTTTGATGGGACCATCAGGAGAAAATATTTTAACTCAAGCATACGGCACTAATTTGGGAAGAATAACTGAAATTCAGGAATTAGAAAATAGGAATATATTTTATTCTTTTTTACGTAGAGGATTGAATATTAATATTTCTCCAAAATTTAATTTAAGACTTTACTTGAATAGATCTGGCCTTAACTAATTGCTGAAAGAGGAAAGTGATCAGGGGAAGAAAGAGAGAGTAATGAAAGTCATCAAAGCATTAAAAAGGTCAGATCTGATTTCTGTTCCTTTGTTCCTGAAAATGTTGTTTCTAAATCTTTTTTTTTTACACGAAGTTTACAAAAATTGCAAATTTTGTGCTAAACCCTTATGAGATACTGGTTTCAGATTTCATATGAGTTTAATTCTGAGTTTGTGGTGATTAAGTTGGAAAGAAGTTTTATGTCAATATTCAGGTTTTTGGGATCTTTAAACTTTGACCTATTTTGGAAAGAGGGACCTGTAATAGTATATGTTTAATACATAATAGTACAGATTTAGAGTTAATAGCATTTTTCATTTGCTCGTGCTAATTCTATACAGAATATTTTATTTATGATCTCCATCCAATTAAAAGTCACATTTCTTACTGATCACTTGATAACTTTCTAATACTTCTTTCACAGAAACATTTGAAAACAAGTCTTAAGTATGAAACTAGAAGAGCCAATTATAAATCTTTTATTGAACTAAGAAAATATTTTTAAATATTGTGACTTTTACAGATACAATCAATATATACCTAACATGAAGTGTATGGACAGACTCTGAATACGTGTATGAGTATATGTGTGTTTTGAATACCTTTATTGTGAATTTATACTTGTCAGCACAATAATTACATACCCTTGAGTGTTTTATAGTTGGGCATTCATGTAAGTACACATCTGTTTAAATCTCAAAACAATCTTGCAATATGCACTTAAATGTTTTTGAGGCTCACTTTATGTCTTTGAGTAGAAGAAGAAAAGTAACAGATGGCCAACAAGGATATTGAGTTGACAAGAGAAAAACTTAACTTAGTTACTTTAGTTCCTGAATTTAAAAAAAAATTAATCAGTATAAATTCACTCTAAGGAAATCTTGGGAGTATGTTTCCATTGAAGTGCGTTGTTTGCATTTTGTTTTGTTTTGTTTTGTTTACAAGGGGGTGCCAGGCAGGGAGGAGGGAAAGAAAGAGGTAAGAGGAAGAATATATTGGACACCTATCTAGTGGTTGTTGGACCTGAAATTTGAACCCATGTGTATGGCTTCAAAGTCCATGCGCCTTCCACTTCTCCAAGAGTTTGCTTTCTGTTGACCTTTATCAGTGGAAGAATTTCTCAATGCTGAGAGCAATTTTTCCAATACTCTTAGATCTAAAAATGCTACTGACTGGATTATTCATGTTTGAACATGTAAAAATATTTTCTTGTTAAATTAAGTTTAATCTTATACTTAAAGTTCGCTGTGTTATGGAGAGAACTTTGAAGCAAGAATCAGAAATCAAATAACACTAATGCTTCCTAATTAGAGAAATCTCTATTCAATGCAAACTAAAAATATATTGGCTGGTGTTCTAATCAGCTGTGCTTAATTCTAAGCACTAAATTCTGAACACTGTGGGTAAAACACTTTGTTCATTTCAGAAATAGCTAGACTTTTCCTAAACTCTCATTAGGAAAAATAGAAGAAATTAAGAAAATAAAGCTGGGCACGGTGACTTACACCTGTAATCCCAGCTTCTCAGGAGGTTGAGGCAGGAGGGTTGCTTAAGGCCAGGAATTCAAGACTAGTCTGGGCAACATAGCAAGATCCCATCTCTAAAAACAAAAACAAACAAACAAAAAAAAAAAAGTAAAACATTAAAAAATACCTTACAGTTTGAAAATCTGGTCAACATGAAGTAAAGAATAACAGCAATGTCATCTGTAGGCAGGGTGGTTATTGTGATCATATTTTGATATTAGCTTCCTATTGCTTGCTGCCAATGGGGCTGTAAGGAATATGTGTTTATGGAAGTCTCAGCGCTGATCATAGGAAGATGAAAACAGTCATACTGTTTGTTTTTTCCATAAGTACCAGGTAGCTTTAATGAGCTATAAGAAAATTATACTATTTGTGCAGAGTACCACATTCAATTCTTAAAGTTAAATATTTTTTATATAGTATAGTCACATTATATACAATACATCCAAGATTTATCTCCGCTATCTTATTTAATCCACATAAAATAAACATGTCTGTTTATATACATTAAAGTTATAGAGCTGAACTATTAAAATGGAGGAGCTGGTGATGGCAGCAGGGATTGACTGCAAGTGGGCACAAGCGATCTTTCTAGAGTGATGGGAATGTTCTAAAATGATCTCATTGTGATGATTGCACAACTCTGTAAATTTACTAAAAATTATCCAATTGTACATTTCAAGCAGGTAAATTTTATGGAATATAAATTATATGTAAGAATCTGTTTAATTTTTTAAAAGAAATAGAAAATATATGACTGTATCTGACTCCAGAACTCTTAGAAAATCTGAAAGAACAGTTATTATTGATGAAACAAAGAAGTTGTCATAGAGCTACCCTCCTTTCCCTCTCCTTCAGAGTTTGCAAAGAAATTCTACCAAACTTTTAAGAAACAGATTATTCTAATGCTATTTTAACTGTTCTAGAACATAGAAAATGAAGGAAGGCTTCCAGTTCGTTCCTTTTTATGAAGGTGAAATAACATTGATATTGAAACACAGAAAATATATTTCTCCTAAAAGAAGACCAGGGACCAATTTTGCATGTGAATATTGAAACAAAAATCTGAGAGAAAAATTATAAAAATTTTATCATTTTATAGAATTCAGGATCACATTTGAAAAATAATACACAAAAGAAAAATAAGAAAAGTAATACACAAAACAGCAATATGGTGTAATGCTAAAGAGTTTCAGCTCTGGAGCTGGACTGCTGGTTTGGAACCCCAGCACCGTCACTTCCTAGCTCCATGACCTTGGGCAAGTTTAAACATGGATCAATCCTATGTAAATCTTGTGCCATTCAGTATTAACTGCAGGTTCTATGGGGCCGAAAAGGAATTATTTGTAGCAGCAATGTCATTACTTCTTTACTTATGATAAGCAGAATAAATAAAACAATGAACCCATCCATTATAAGGCATGAGATATTCAGTGTTCATTTTTCACTTCTTTCTTTTCTCATCAATAAATGGGAATTCTGGGTAAGAGAACATACTTCATAGGGCTCTTGAGAAGGTCAAGTGAGTTAAGCAGTTAGGTAAGTACCTGACAATGTCGAATATGATCATAACTGTATAGTATATTTTAAAAATTATTAATGGCAAAATTTAGATTTGCTATTGTAAAGAACAGTGCCATAAATATCTTTATCTGGAAATTTATCTCACCTTTCTATTTCCTGGAGATAGCTTTTTAGAAGCTGAATGTTGGAGAAAAGGTCATAAACTTTTTAAAGGCCCAAATTACTCTCCAGAAAGATCATACCCACTCCTACCAATGGTAGCTAAGAATGGCTCTATCCTGCACTATTTGTACCAGCTTTGAACATCATCATTGCAAGGAAAATGCTAGGTAATTTGATAAGCCAGAAACAGAATTTGATCATTCTATGTTAGATGATTCAGATGTTGAAAGGATAGATACACAACCTTAATTCAGATGTTACCCTGAAATCCGTGAAACTCAGAGAAATAGAAATGTTGTCAGTACCCATCTATATATATACCAGGAATTAGGTTTTCCTTTTCAGATTCAAATTTTATGTGAGTATTTGCCTTTTGTAACTTTAGCTATTTAATCTGATGGAGAATTTTTCCTGAAAACATAAATTAAAAAATAAGATACCAGAACAAATGCCACCAGGGAAATACTTTATATTTCAGCCTTTTTTTTTTTTTTTGTATGTCTTCAATGGGGTTATAAAGTCATATATCTTTCCAATCTTACTTATTTTTCCTGCTCCAGTTAACTTCATCCCAATCTTTAAACTCTTTGGGAAATGAGAATGGGTCAAGTCCCAGTAAAAGACTCATAAACCCAGGCCGGGAGTGGTGGCTCATGCCTGTAAATCCCAGCACTTTGGGAGGCCAAGGCAGGCAGTCACTTGAGGTCAAGGAGTTCGAGACAGCCTGGCCAATATGGTGAAACCTCGTCTCTACTAAAAATATAAAAATTAGCTAGGCATGGTGGCGCGTGCCTGTAATCCCAGCTACTCAGGAGGCTGGGGCAGGAGAATCACTTGAACCTGGGAGGCGGAGGTTGCAGTGAGCCAGGACTGCGCCACTGCACACCCGCCTGGTGACAGAGTGAGACTCCATCTCAAACAAACAAACAAAAGACTCAGAAGACCACACTGGACCAATGCAAAGCCATCCAATAAATTTGAATTTAGATGACTTTTCAGCTACAGTAAACCAGGAATGTTTATGGTCTTTTACAGGGAACAGGTATGAGGAATATCTAGAAACTCTGGGCACAGTTGCCATTAAAGTCTGGAAAGTAGAAAGAACCCATCTCTATCCAGGCTTCACGCTGCTAAGGGAGGAGTCCCTTTTCCTTAATCAAGCATTGATGTGTAAATCTTGCCAGACAGTGTCTCCTCACTTTTTCCCCTAAAAAAAAAATTAACAAGGAACTGAATCAGGGAACTCAGTAGTTAGTTACACTACTTAATTAAGACTTGAACAAATTAATATATTAGTGATTTTTAAAGGCTTTAACTCAGAAAGGTCAGTAGTGATAAAGCTCCTAAGCAACTTAATTATTATTATTATTATTTTATTTTATTTTATTTTTTTGAGATGGAGTTTTGCTCTGTTGCCCAGGCTGGAGTGTAGTGGCGTGATCTCGGCTCACTGCAACCTTCGCTTCCTGGGTTCAAATGATTTTCCTGCTTCAGCCTCCCGAATAGCTGGGACTACAGGTGTGTGCCACCACACCCGGCTAATTTTTTGTATTTTTAGTAGATACGAGATTTCACCGTGTTAGCCAGGATGGTCTCTTATCTCCTGACCTCGTGATCTGCCCGCCTCGGCCTCCCAAAGTGCTGGGATTACAGGCGTGAGCCACTGCACCCAATTATTTTTATGTATATTTGAATTCTCTACAACAGAGAAATCTGTTTACCTGTCATTTTTGCTATGGCTATGTTTTAGAGATAGCTACACCCAGTGACACTTGGTTAACATTTCAATTCAATATTGGAAACATGTTTTATGTACAGATTAACTGTTTTAAATTGTTGACACAAAAGACTACCACACTTCTGAGGTACACTGGCACCTTAGGCTCTCTCAGAATGTACATTTCACTTGACTGTACACACTGTGGTCTCTGACTATAACATGATTTGGTCAGGCCCTTTCAAAATAGACCTGGATTTACATTTAAATCTCAGTTCGAATAATCTTTATTGTTTGTTTTTATTTACAAGATAATTCTGAGAAGAAGTCATTCTTTTGTGATCCTCGGGTGTAAAAAGAAACAACTTAGAAGCAAGTATTAGAATCTTCCTTTCCCGACTTCGTTGCAGATTCTCTTTTCCTTGGGTTAAATTGAATGTTAAGCTTTCCTTCTATGCCCTATCAACATTTGAACAATTTCTCTAAAATCTAAAGGCTTGTTCTCCAAATTCATATACTAAGATATCTTTGAACCAAACAAAACAAAACAAAACCAAAAACCCTTAAGCAGGGTTGGGTTTTTTTGTGTATTTGTTGTTGTTGTTGTTGTTGTTGTTGTTTGAGATGTGGGAAGATTCTGTGGTATTACAGTAAGATGTCTGTGTCTTGTTTACTATAGACTCTTAAGGGTCAAATAAACTTTTATTCCCTAGTTATTAAATTCAGGGGCTAATAGCCAACTGTTTGATCAAGTCACAGAAATAACTCAGCCTCCCTTCCAATCAACACCTGATAATGCTTTGAACAAATGTACATAAGGCTCTGGAAATTCCACAGTGAGTCTTCAAGGTCCACGGAATTTTTTACTCTTTGAAGAAGGCATGATATTTGGAGATGTACTCCTTGTTCAGTTCTTGGTCTAGCAAGAGTTTGAAAATCTCTGTTGATGGTTTGTCTCCTTTTTAGCAGCAATTCTCAAACTGCAGTACTCAGTCTTCTCTGAGCTTATATCCAAGAATAGCAATTTTCCTCAATACTCAAAAATAAGTAGTTTTTTTGGAATGTCCAGCTTTTCTCCCAACAGTTGTAATGCTTTGACTTACGGTATAGCCCTGGAGACATATGATACAGATCTAGTGTCTCATGGTCTGTTTCAGTTTTCAAAATAATAGCACTAATAATTAGCCATTTGTGTTATGAAGGACCCTCATACCCATTATCTTGCTTAATCTCTTGTCCATATAGGACTTAATTTCTGCCACTAGGCAACATAATATAAACACTTAAAACAGCTAAGAACTTCCATATTGTCAGTGACATCCTGACATGTAAGAGACAGGGATCACTTACATTCCCTCTCATTTTGTTTTGAGGGCCCATGCCAACAACTTATACAATTTCACTACCACATCTTAATGGTATTTACAGAGGGAAATAGAAAGCAAGTGACATTTCTTTTTCATTTTATAGTATAAAGGCTTAAATTTTCATTTGTTGTTTATTATACTTTTTATTGCTCATAACAGAGTACTCTCAATTTAGATATTAAATGATTTTTCTTACAAATAGTTGGACACAGATTACTTAGGAAGTATACAGATTCTTTATTGCAGCTCTATTTGCTCCAAGCTGATTAGCATCATAAAGACTGAGGACAGATAACCAGGGATAGGTCTTTCTTTTTTATTGTGCTATTTGTTTCTAGGGAAATGGAAGAAAAGTTTGGGAATGTTCTCTTCTCTGTAAATCTTTTTGCAATTTTTCTAATAGAATTAATTACCTCATAGAATTATCAGTGCACCTGTCACCTGGAGTTGTTATTGGGAAATTTCTTCTGCATATTCTCTTTTCCCTCTTGATTCATACAGCTTGGTTGTACTATCAATGCCAAATCTATGTTCAGCTTCCTATGTATATCTGGGAGATTTTCTTACAGGTTTTTATTGAAAGATCATTTATCTTTTTTATTTCCCATGTATCATATTTAGAGGTTTAGAATCTTATATCCCTTGTTAAATATAACCCCTCTATTAGTGAAGCTCTCATAACCAGATGCTTTATGTCTTAGAATATTATCATTAATTTCCTAATCAACTGTCACCCAAGGGTATAAAGAATTATATAAAGTCATATAAAAGCTGTGCTTCTAAATATACTTTCTCCTTTTCATTCCATTTCAGTTTTTCCTTTTTACAAGCAAAACTCCTACTTATTAATAAAAATGTGATGCTTTTACTTTCTTTCGCTACCTGTTTTTTAAAGATATGTCAGGAATGTGTTGCCTGAAAAGCCACCTGGATCATGGGACTGCAGTCAGGCTGAGCCAGGTTCCAGTCTCAGCTCTGCCCTTTGCTGGTTTTGTGACTCTGCGCATGTTATTTATCCCCTAAGAACTTCAGTTTCCACATTCTAAAATAGGACTCATTGTAGGACAGTGAGGATTAGAGTTGATGCATATGGCCCACAGAATGGAAGTCAATAAACACAGGTCTAATTATTACCATTACTTTTCAGTTTGGCATAGATCTTGTTGGCCAAGCCAGTATATGAAATTTGTAAGTCATTTTCATAAAGAACCAGAAATCCACTTCTAGAATGTTGTTAACTGAAAATACAAACCTTTTTTTTTTGTTTTGAGACAGGGTCTCACTCTGTTGCCCAGGCTGGAGTGCAGTGGTATGCTCCACTGGAGCCTTGACCTCCCAAGCTCAAGCAATTCTCCTGCCTCAGCCTCTTGAGTTGCTGAGACTGCAGGCTTGCACCACCATGCCTGCCAAATTTTTTGTTTTTTGTAGAGACAGGGTCTCATTTGTTGCCCAGGCTGGTCTCAAACTCCTGGGTTCAAGCAATCCTCACACCGCAGCCTCCCAAAATGCTGGGATTACAGGCATGAGCCACGGACACTGGCCAAAATATGAACTTTAAAATTTTTAATATCATACCAAATTGTATCCATTGAAAACATACTTAAGAGTTCTCATTCATATAGTCTTATACTTCTATAAGTATTAAAATGAACAGCTCAACCATTCACTCATTTAATCAGGGTTATTCTTTTTTTGGTAACAGCTTTATTAGATATAATTCATATACCATAGAGTTCACCCATTTAAAGTGTACAATTTAGCTGGGCACAGTGGCTTGCACCTGTAATCCTAACACTTTGGGAGGCCAAGTTGGGCGGATCACTTGAGCCCAGGAGTTCAAGACCAGCCTGGGCAACATAGTCCCTGTCTTAAATAAATAAATTAGATAAATAAATAAATAAATAAAGTGGTTTTTAGTGTATTCACAGAGTTGTGCAGTCATCACTATAATCAATTTTAGAACATTTTCATAATCCATAAAGAAACCCGAACGTTTTAGCCTTCACTCCTTCAACTCTAGACAACCACTAATTTATAATACTTTCTGTCTTTATAAATAGACCTATTTATTCTAGACATTTCATATAAATGAAATTATGTGACATGTGGTCTCTTGTGACTAGCTTGCTTGCTTACTTATTTATTTACGTATTTATTTATAAAGATAGGGCCTCGCTTTGTAACCCAGGCTGGAGTGCAGTGGCACAATCATAGCTCACTGCTGCCTTGAATTCCTGGGCTCAAGGAATCCTCCTGCCTCAGCCTCCCAAGTAGCTGGGACTACAGGCATGTGCCACCACGGCTGGCTAGTTTTTTAATTTTTTTTTTTTTGTAGAGATCACGTTTCACCACCTTACCCAGGCTGGTCTCAAACTCCTGGGCTAAGGCAATCCTCCCACTTCAGCCTCCCAAAGTGTTGGGATTACACCTGGCTGGCTTCTTTTACTTAATGTTTTCAAGAGTTATCATGTGTGGCATGGACCAGTACTTCGTTCCTTTTTCTTGCTAAATTACATTCCATTGTATGGCTGTACCACATTTTATCCATCACCGGTTGATGGATTTTGGAGTTGTTTCACTTTTTGGCTATTACAAATAATGCTACTATGAATATTTGTGTACAGGATTTTGTGTAGACATGTTTGTATTTCTCTTTGATATAAACCTGAGTAGAATTTCTGAGTCGTATAATAATTCCATGTTTAACCTTCTGATAATTGCTGGACTGTTTTCCAAAGCAACTGTACCATTTTACATTCCTACCAGCAGCGTATGAGGATTCTGATTTCTCAACATCTTTGCCAACATTTGTTATTAATATTAATCTGTCTTTTTCATTATACCCATCCTAGTGGGTGTGAAGTGGTATCTTATTGTGTATTCTTAGTAACTTCTTAAAATTAAATATATACAAATTATATTGCTCATGCTTTGGTGACATCTGGTCAATGGTGAGACTGAGAAATTAAGCCTCATGTGCAGTACCTTCTGCTTATGAAACACGTAGTGAAGAGAACTTCCCTTGACTTTTTTTTTTTTTAAGAGACATGTTCTTGCTTTGTCGCTCAGGCTGGAGTGCAGTAGTGCAATCATAGCTCACTGCAGCCTTGAATTCCTGGGTTTAAGGGATCCTCCTGCCTCAGCCTCCCAAGTAGCTGGGACTACAGGCTCGTGCCACTGTTCCTGGCTAATATTTTAATTTTTATTTTTTGTAAAGACCAGATCTCGCCATCTTACCCAAGCTGGTCTCAAACTCCTGGATTCAAATGATCCTTCCACCTCAGCCTCCCAAGTAGCTGGGACTACAGGCCCATAACATTGTGCCCAGCTAATTAAAAAAAATTTCTTTTGGTAGCGATAGGATCTCCGTATGTTGCCCAAGCTAGTTGCAAACTCCTAGCCTCAAGCAATCCTCCTGCCTCAGCTTCCCAAAGCACTGGGATTACAGTGTGAACAATGGCACCTGACCCAAGAGTTTTTTCCATAGCAGAATTTTAGAGCGTGTTCTACAGATAAATCTCCTCCTGGTCATTTATCCACTAAAGTCTCAGGGTACCTTATTTCATATTTATAACTTTTCAGCTGCCATACCTTTGAACATGTTACCCCCTCTATTAGCTCTATTATCTAATTTTATGCTGAATTAGCATTTCAGGAGAAGTATAAAAGAATGAATGATATGGACCTCTTGAATCTGTTTTTCTTGGCTCTTAATTTTTATGTCTTCTATCTCTGTGTTTTTGACTTGTGTTCTTTAAAATTCTGTCAACATATTTTTTAGATTACATTTATCTATGTCTGTTCCACAGAAGGGAATCCTTTGTGTAGCTTCCTATGCTTCGTCGTCGTAATTGCATTGCTTCCCACCCCTCCCAAAACAGTACATTTTTCATTACATGAATATTATGTTTTTAGTAATTCTGCAATTCTGAAGTAGCACTTCAAAATGCATTCTTTCCAAATAAAAAATTTTTGAAGCCTTGTGGTAAGCACAATACTTCTTCTCTATGAATTAATAGCATCCACCCCTAAAAAAAAACAAAAACAACACAGAGGCTTTTTAGCTCAGCTGATCTCCAGCTTGCAGAGGTGTGGAGAGGACTCATACCAGTATATTCGACAACAGACACTTATGTTGTACCTATTTTGTGTAAGGTGCTCTGCCAGGCATTTCAAGGGATATAAAGGCTCTGTCTTAAAGAACCTTATCGTAGTGGAAGCAATAAGACATAAAGAGGATTATAATGTGAGTCAAAATGTGGTAAGTGCCCATAGGTGCTAAGCACTGAATATATAGATGTCGAGGTGGAGGGCATTATTTCTGCCTGTGGAAGATCAAATAAGGCTTCAAAGTAAAGGTGACAGATGTCTCCAGGTGTCTCTTCTCACTCAAGAATTCTGTGAATCTTTAGAACTGTGAAAAATCAGAATTGGGCACTTACTTTAGAAGCATTCTACACAGTGAGTAATAGAATGAAACAATTGAACATTCTCTTTGTTTGTATTTCTGTATCATTTTGAAAGTGTTGTCTGGATGGAAGTTAATGAAGTGGAGAGGAAGGACAGGGGTGGGCTTGAATTTGCAACAGACGTTGTGTTGTACAGAGAATACATTCCCTATCCTCAGGTAGTTTGTCAAGGCCTGGCTGTGGCTTTACCTCTTCTTGATTGGAAGAAAAAGATTTTTTTTTCACTCTAATGTAGAGTGATAATTCTACATTAGAGACCAAGACTGCCCCACTGTGGATAAAAATCTCAGTTAGAAGTCACAGATCGGAAGAATCCT
The DNA here is from genome assembly GCF_000001405.40 of Homo sapiens. NCBI lineage: Eukaryota > Metazoa > Chordata > Mammalia > Primates > Hominidae > Homo > Homo sapiens. Next base: position 175,397 of record NW_025791772.1, on the reverse strand, counting down.
CATCCAAGCAGAAAATGTTGCCAGAGCTGAGTGTTCTTATACCAGAGGGAGGTGCCTGGTCTTTGGAGCCCGTGAAGGAGTCTTTTGGTTACAGCAGTTTCTGATATTTGTTCATTTTGCAGGGTCAGCTACACAAAGGTATAACTTTATGAGTTCTGTGGCACAAACAAAACTAATGGAAGAGAAGACAATAAAAAGTGGGCCTTTTGCCCTTTAAAGAAAATAAAATCTTTATTTTTACCCTTAACAGCTGAAAACCAATGTGTAGAGATGTTATCCGTCCTTTGGCACCTGAAATCATAATTTTAATTTTTGTTTTCTGTATTCTTGTCTAAGAATTCCATACTATCCTGAAATATGGGAGATTCCAGTAATTTCATAAATAGATAAAAAAATTTACATTTAATCTATCTAGTTCCTTTCTTTATGCCACTCTTTCATCCTACTCAGAAAATTCATTTGGGGACTCTTCTCTTAAGTCTTAGAAAATGACAGTGAGGACTAAAACCCACATGATGAACTAGGAATGAGGGAAGACATTAGGGAGAATGGAAGGGATGGTGATCCCTGGTTGGCACAGTTTATCTGTCTGCCTTTTAGCTCTCTTTCTCCCTCTTCTGCTTACTTTTAGGGCTTATTTATTACTTCTGCCAGAGGCTACAGTGGGAAAATGAAAATCAGATTTATTAATTTTCATTATAGCCCCTGGTTCAGAAGGGCTGGGAAGAGAAAGAAAAGGAAAAATAGGCTGAACCGTTGAATAAGGGAAGGTTTAGAAATTATTTATTAGTACATTGCTGTCCTCTTGACCAGTAATAAAAAAGAAAAATCCTGCAGATTAAGAAATCCCTGTTCGACAAAGGATAATTACCCTTTAGGTAATTCTGCCCACAATATTATGAACTTGCTAAATATTCTGTATTCCTGATACTATTATCATAATAGTAGATGTTTATTGAGCACTTACTCATAGCAAATATACTACCCTTTGTGTACCTTTATTCATTTAATCCTCATTCTGTTTGATGAGATGAGTATTGCTATTATTCCCCATTTTACAGATGTGGACACTGAAGCTTAGAGACGTCAGTTTGTTGTGGTCCTTCAGGTAATAAGTAGTGAAGAACTCAAAACAAGGCCTGTCTGACCTAGAGTTCCTGCTTTTAACATCTACCTAGATTGTCATACTGAAATATTTATTGATTTTCCACTGCAGGCACACCCCAGTAGTAGACACCTGGAGATGGTAAGCAATTGGTGCTGACCTTCTTTATGTAAGCTGTTATTCTGAGATGTACAAATTAACCTAAGCAATGCAAAATCAAAGATATATAAGTGATAGAATTAAAGAAAAAATATAATCTTAAAAGATCTTAAAAGGTTTGTGACCTTATGTCCGAAATTGGCGGGTTCTTGGTCTTGCTGACTTCAAGAATGAAGCCACAGACCCTCGCGGTGAGTGTTACAGCTCTTAAAGGCGGCGTGTCCAGAGTTGTTCATTCCTTCCGCTGGGTTCGTGGTCTCGCTGGCTTCAGGAGTGAAGCTGCAGACTTTCGCGGTGCATGTTACAGCTCATAAAGGCAACACAGACCCAAAGGGTGAGCAGCAGCAAGGTTTATCGTGAAGAGTGAAAGAACAAAGCTTCCACAGTATGGAAGGGGACTTCAGCATGTTGCTGCTGCTGGCTTGGGTGGCCTGCTTTTATTCCCTTATCTGGCCCCACCCACATGCTGCTGATTGGTCCATTTTACAGAGAGCTGATTGGTCCATTTTACAGAGAGCTGATTAGTCCGTTTTACAGACAGCTGATTGGTCCATTTTGACAGATTGTTGATTGGTGCATTTACAAACCTTTAGCTAGACACAGAGTGCCGATTGGCCATTTACAATCCTTTAGCTAGACACAAAAGTTCTCCAAGTCCCCACCTGATTAGCTAGACACAGAGAGCTGATTGGTACATTTACAAAACCTTTAGCTAGACACAGAGTGCTGATTGGTGCATTTACAATCCTTTAGCTAGACACAAAAGTTCTCCAAGTCCCCACCAGATTAGCTAGACACAGAGCGCTGATTGGTGCATTTACAACCCTTTAGCTAGACGCAGAGTGCTGATTGGTGCGTTTACAATCCTTTAGCTAGACACAGAGTGCTGATTGGTGCATTTACAATCCTTTAGCTAGACAGAAAAGTTCTCCAAGTCCCCACCCGACCCAGAAGCCCAGCTGGCTTCACCTCTCAATGGCCCTCGCGGTGGGACTTTGCAGCACCTAGCCCGGGCACTCCGGCAGCCCAGAGGGAGCTCATCCCCCAATCAAGCCCAGCAGGTGCCAGCCAGCTGTGCCAAGTGCGGGGCCCGCGGAACCCACGCACACCTGGAACCCCCGCCAGCCCGCAAGCCCCGGGCGCAGCCCCGGCTCCCGCTTGCACCTCTCCACGAGCTGAGGGAGCCGGCTCTGGCCTCGGCCAGCCCCAGAGAGGGGCCCCCACAGCGCAGCGGCAGGCTGAAGGGCTCCTCCAGCGCGGCCAGAGCGGACGCCGAGGCCGAGGAGGCACCAAGAGTGAACGAGGGCTGCTAGCACGTTGTCATCTCTCAACCTGATTGGATTGGAGGGGAGACTGATTTATCATTGCGTCCCACTGGCTTTGGCACTTGGAGCCTGTGCCTGGCCCTATAGCAGTTGGAGTTCAGTTCATTTGAGAAGTGGTAGCTATGGGTCAGGCCTGGTGCTGGACACGGAGATGACTAAGACTAAGCTCTGTATAAGGGACTTTGGTTTCCTGGGAGAGTGGATGGTGATAATGAGATAACATTGTCTTTGCTTAGGTACCAGATACCAAGTCTGATCCAAATTGATTTTGTAAGAAAAAAAATTTTTTTTTGAGACAGAGTCTTGCTCTTTCACCCAGGCTGGAGTGCAGTGGCGCAATCTCAGCTCACTGCAACCTCCACCTCCCTGGTTCAAGCAATTCTCATGCCTCAGCCTCCCAGGTAGCTGAGATTACAGATGTGCACCACCACACCCAGCTAATTTTTGTATTTTTAGTACAGACAGGTTTTCACCATGTTGGCCAGGCTGGGTCTTGAATTCCTGGCCTCATGTGATTCACCTCCCTTGGCCTCCCAAACTGCTGGGATTACAGGTGTGAGCCACTGCACCTGGCCTGTAAGAAATGTTTTATCCTCAGATTAGTTAGGAGAATGTGTTAAACAAAGTTAAATAAATTTTTTTAATTGCAGGATTTTGAGAGGTTATTGTAATTTGGGAAACACTGAAAGCAATCTGTTATTAGGTCACTTTCTCAGATTGCCTTGCTTATAGCATATCTTATTCCAGGTTAAATTTATGACCTTTATTAAAAACCCACAGAAAACCAAATACCACATGTTCTCACTTAAAGGTGAGAGTTAAACATTGAGTACGCATGGACACAGAGAAGGAACAATGGACACTAGGTCCTACTGGAGGGTGGAGGGCGGGAGGAGGGGGAGGATTGAAAAATGACCTGTTGGGTGCTGTGCTCATTACCTGGGTGACAAAGTAATCTGTACACCAAACCCCTTTGAAACATGTAACAAACCTGCGCATGCACCCCTGAACCTAAAATAAAAGTTGGAGGCTGGGTGTGATGGCTCATGCCTGTAATCCCAGCAGTTTGGGAGGCTGAGGTAGGAGGATCACTTGAGCCCAGGAGTTCGAGACCAGCCTGGGCAACAAAGTGAGATTCCATGTCTACAAGAAAAAAAGTTTTTTTAATTACCCGGGTGTGATGGCACATACCTGTAGTCCCAGCTACTGGGGAGGCGAGGTGGGATCTCCTGAGCCCAGGAGGTCGAGGCTGCAGTGAGCCAAGATTGCACCACTGCACTCCAGCCTGAGTGACGGAGTGAGCCCCTGTCTAAAAAAAAAAAAAAAAAAAAAAAAAAAAAAACACAAACTTGGAAAGAAAACAAAAACCAAAAAAGGAAAGAAAAACCTTTAGGAATGGCCCAATATTTTGCATTTGATAGTCAGGGAACTAAAAGGTCTTTTTATACCTCCTTAAATCACAAATTTTGCTTGCTGAAAAATATTTTATAACAAAAAGAGGTATGAAAGTAACTATTAAGGCAAGAGAATCATTAGGGAGCTTAAGGAGGGAGCAGCAGGAAGGGTTGATGACCCCCTTTCTCTAAGCCAGCTTCCCTTGCCGCTCCCCTCCCTGCCTTACTTCCCAGGACCCAAGTGACACTGATTAAATGTTCATTTTCCTAAAGTCTCTACCAAATTCACCCTGCAGTGAAAAGGGGCAATACAGATGGTGGCTTTGATTTCATCTCTGAAACAACTAACATAAGAACCCCAAATCATTAAAAGCCTGATTCAATAGTCAGTTGAATTCAACAATCAGAATGATTCATTTGAACCATTTCGAAGAAGAACTATTAAAAAGAATTAGCAGCCTGTCACCAAATAGCTGGTTTCTCTTCCAGTTCAAATGTGCTGTAGTTTTTTCCTGTGCGTTTTTTGTTTTGGAGAAGACTATGTTGAGCAGAAGAATAGACCAAATGTGAATTGTTTTAGGAGAAAGTTGACACCAAAATCACTATTGTATTTATAAAAAGTCAAAAAAAAGTATGGGAATTCTTAAGACACATCATTTTGCAGCAATATTAGATATATCCATGAACCAACTACAGCATAAAGGATGCAGGGCAGAAAAGAAAATGGGAGGGCATTGGATAGTACCATTATGAACAAACATTACAGAGTACTGACTGTGAAGCAGAGTCTAACACAGAGACCCTGCCTACATCAGACGCTGCTTAGATAAAGGGGACAGACACATGCTCAAAACCTTATAAACAGCAGTGCACCCTGTCATGCTTAGTGTGAAGTGAGTGCTATAGACGGATAGTCTGAGAGTTCAGATAGGGTGCGTTAGGCAGAATGATGCTATCCCCCTCCGCACAAAGATGTCCACATCGTAATCCCTGGAACCTGCAAATATGTCACATTTCCATGGCAAAGGAGTATTAAGGTTGTGAGTCAACTTGACATAGGGAGATTATTCTGGATTATCCTGGTGTACCCAGTGTCATCATAAAAGTCCTTTAAAGTAGAAGAGGGAGGTAGATGAGGAAACCAGTCAGAAAGAGATTTTTAAATGCTACACTATTGGAGGAAAGGACGACAAGCCAAGGAATGCAAGTGACCTCAGGAAGCTGCGAAAGGCAAGGAAAGGGATTCTCTCCTAGAGCATCGAAAGGGAATGTAGCCTGGCAAACACCTTAATGCAGCGGTCCCCAACCTTTTTGGCACCAGGGGCTGGTCTCATGGAAGACAATTTTTCCATGGACCAGGTGCAGAGGGCTGGTTTCAGGATCATTCAAACATATTACATTTATCGTGTACTTTATTTATATTATTATTACATTATAATATATAATAATTATACAACTCACCATAATGTAGAATCAGTGGGAGCCCTGAGCTGGTTTTCCTGCAACTAGATGGTCCCATCTGGGGGTGATGGGAGACAGTGACAGATCATCAGACATTAGATTCTCATAAGGAACACAAAGCCTAGATCCCTCCCATGTGCGGTTCACAATAGGGTTCAAGCTCCTATGAGGATCTAATGTGGATGCTTATCTGACAGTAGGCAGAGCTCAGGCAGAAATTCTTGCTTGCTTCCTGCCCTGTGGCCCAGTTCCTAACAGGCCATAGACTGGTACTGGTCCATGGCAGAGGGGTTGGGGACCCCCGCATTAATGGGTCTGGGGATACTCATTTTGACTTCTGGCCTCTAGAACTTTAAGATAATACATTTTTGTTGTCTTAAGCTGCTAAGTTTGTGGTAATTTGGTACAGCAGCAGTAAGAAATGAATACAAGGATGCTGAAGAGAGAGAGGAATCAGGGACAGCTTCATGGAGAAGGTGGTTCTTGAGCCATGCATTAAAGATATTAAGAGTGGTAGTCACAGAATTAGAGTCATAGAATTGATGGTCTAGATATTGAACTAAACCTTTCATACCCTTTAATTCATTTATCCTCATAAAAACTCCATAAGGATAGTATTTTCCCCTGTTTTGTAGATGAGAAAACTGAGGCTTAGGGAGGTTAAGTGACTTGTACAGTCACTATGATGCAGTATCATTTGCTACAACTAGTTAATAGCTGGCCTTTTAACAACATGACGGCAGCTGACATTTGTGGTATGCTTAAGTGTACAGACAGGGTGCTAAGAATGTCACTGGCATTATCTCATTTAATCCTCTGAAGATCTAAGTGATTTATAATTTTCTGAGGCCTAGATTTATTTGGCCAGCAATGTGATTGGGTTAGAGGGAAGAAACTGGGGCCAGAAAATCCAGTCAGGACATAAGAGTCCAGACAATTGCTGATAAGAACCTAAAATGAGGGTAAAAACAGTGGGGATGGGAAGGAGAAAACATTCCAGAGATAGTCTGCTTCTTTGTTGAAACATAAATTCTTTTTTGAGACAGAGTCTTCCTCCATCCCCCAGGCTGGAGTGCAGTGGCGTGACCTCAGCTGACTGCAACCTCCGCCTCCCGGGTTCAAGCGATTCTCCTGCCTCAGCATCCTGAGCAGCTGGGATTACAGGTGTGCGCCACCATGTCCAGCTAATTTTTGTAGTTTTACTAGAGACAGGGTTTCACCATGTTGGCCAGTCTGGTCTTGAACTCCTGACCTCAAGTGATCCGCCCACCTCAGCCTCCCAAAGTGCTGGGATTACAGGCATGAGCCACCCCAGCCAGCCAAGACATAAATTCTTGTTTGAAGAAACTTCCTTTCCATCTCCAATTCTTCCCTTCCTGGGTAATTAGAGTACTGCATTTTAATGAATTTTAATGAATTTAGGCACTTTAATTAATGAACGATGTCACTATTGATAGTGCTGTAGACCAGACTTTCCCACTTACCCATGGAAGCATGGGCAGCAGCAGCCATGTAAACTTCTCTGTAGTATGTCTTATTTCTCCCCTGCAGTGGTAACTGACAGAGACCCTCTTTAATTTCTTGGCTTTTTTAACCAAGAGAGTAGGAATTTTCTGACTTAATGTGTTATTTCAGCAACAACAAATATATATTTATTGAAAAGGTATCATTTAAAAGAACAATAGACCATCACTGTGGGAATCTCAAATGTAAATAAAAATCAGTTTGGAGACACACCTAAACAAGGCTGTCAAATAGAAAGCAGAGGTGGATTCATATTAGTTGGTGTCAGTAACTTTGTAGAATGAGCACTGCCTTCTTTTCAAGTGTATGTATATATATGCTTGAAGTATATACTTGAAATATATATATATATTTGCAGTTTTCTCTCTCTAAATATAGGAACCATTTAAGGTTTTTAGAAAAGTTATTTGAAATTCTGATATCTGATAAGTAAAATCCCATCCATGGTCTATTTGTTTGGAATCAATTATGCAATCTTTTAAAGAATCACCAAAGTAAGATGTATGAACACTGGATATCTTATGTCTTATAATGGATGAGTTCATTGTTTTATTTATTCTGCTTGTCATAAGTAAAGATGTAATGACATTGCTGCTGCAAATAATTTGTTTTCAGCCCCAAGGAACCTTTAGGTAATTCTGAATGGCACAAAGGGTTTATATAGGGTTCATCCATATTTTAAAAATAATATATACCGTATATACTCCCAAGCTGGAACTTAACAGTAATGCTTGGGAGTATGCTACAGAATCGCTTCATTGGTAATGCATCTGCTAAAGAGATTTTGGTATGCCAAGATGAGATATAAGATGGACACTTTGGCCGGGGATGGTGGCTCACACCTATAATCCCAGCACTTTGGGAGGCTGAGGTGGCTGGATCATGAGGTCAGGAGTTCGAGACCAGCCTGGCCAATATGGTGAAACCCCATCTCTACTAAAAATACAAAAATTAGCCGGGCATGGTGGCATGCACCTGTAGTCCCAGCTGAGGCAGAAGAATCACTTGAACCTGGGAGGCAGAGATTGCAGTGAGCCGAGATTGCACTCCAGCCTGGGTGACAGAGTGAGACTCTGTCTCAATTAAAAAAAAAAAAAAAAAGACTCACTTTAAACCACTTCTTACTCCATTGTGAGTATATCTGTGTATATTCATTCATGTAGACTGAGCCTTGCCCTTAATTTCAAAGAATGATTTCAGGTCTTTCATTTCCAACTTGAGTCAGTAAAGTAAGTCCCTACCCAATGGGGTTTGATTTTTCTCTCCTGTTAAGTGATCAAAGCTAAATCATCAAAGCCTGAATGTCTTACAACAGATTCTAATAAGTTCTGAGTTGGCTATTCTTCTTAGTTTTAATCAAAGCAAAGATGGCATTTGCATTTTTGTCATCTCCATTTCAAAGTATTATTAGAGTCAGAATCACCCTGAATGGTTCCACATCAGTAGGATCTGCGTAGCCGTACCCAAAAACTGTCTGTGCCAGAACAGGGGCCCATTTCTACGTAAGTGGCGTAACACCTAAATACATAAACATTGGAATCATATGTCTAGATTACATAGAACCAAGTTGACATGAAAGGAAAATGTGGATAATCTGGAGTTCTTACACAGAATCCTTGACCCATGATAGCATCCCACCACTCCCCTAACTGTTCTTCAGTCCCCTTGACATACCATGGGTTCCCCCATTGCATCCCTCACATCTCCCCCACAGCATTTATACACACACAACCAATAGTCTTTGTGCCAGCTCTGCCTTGTTTTTTGTTTTTGTTTTTGTTTTTGAGACAGAGTTTCACTCCGTCACCCAGGCTGGAATGCAGTGGCGTGATTTTGGCTCACTGCACCCTTCATCTCCCGAGCTCAAGTGATCCTCCCACCTCAGCCCGCAGAGTAGCTGGGATTACAGGCGTGCACCACCACGTCCAGCTAATTTTTTTGTACTTTTGGTAGAGATGCGGTTTTGCCATGTTGGCCAGGCTGGTCCCAAACTCCTGACCTCAGGTGATCCACCCACCTCGGCCTCCCAAAGTACTGGGATTACAGGTGTGAACCACTGCACCCAGCCTCTGCCTTGTTTTCTGTCTTTGTTCTACTTACAGAGTACTTTTCTATTCCTCAGTTAGCCTTATTAACCATGAGGCATGGATGAGAGGGACAGGGAATGGAAGAGCGGGGTGTGTGTGTGTATGTGTGTGTGTGATACATATCTATAAAACCATTACATGGTTACCCAGCCATGGTTACCCTCACACTGAGTATATACTGCTGGTCTTTGAGTGACCTAAACCATCATGCTCTGCTGGGCAGGCCCCTGGAATAAGTATATCATCCACAGCAAATGTGTAGCATTTGGCAAATTTTAGAGTTAAGGCATTTTATTTTTAATAACTCTTTTTTTCATAGAAATGATGAGACTTTGGGCTAGAAAGTTATTCATATGATTTCTAAATATGCAGAAGTTCAGAAAACCTTTAGAAATATTCTCCCCCAATTAATTTGAAAATTAGAAACTAAAAAATTGGAAGGCTGAGCACAGTGGCTCATGCCTGCAATCCCAACACTTTGGGAGGCCAAGGCAGGAGGATCGCTTGAGTCCCGAAGTTTGAGACCAGCCTGGACAAAATAGGGAGACCCTGTCTCTACAAAAAAAAAAAAAAAAATTTAATTAGCTAGGCGTGGTGGCATGTGCCTGTAATCCTAACTACTTCAACTACTTGGGAGGCTGAGATGGGAGGATCACTTGAGCTCAGGAGCTCAAGGCTGCAGTGAGCTGTGATTGCACCACTGCACTCCAGCCTGGAGTACAGAGCGAAACCTTGTCTCAAAAGAAAAAAAAAAAGAAAAGAAAAAATTCAGAGAATGTGCTGAAGAGTATTTGATTTAAAATAAAATCCATACACTTAAAGCACTATATATAGCCAAGATTAAATTTCCATGTTTGCTATAGATCTGTTCTCATTCTTGGGCTTTCATCCAAATGTTTTGTTATTGTTGGCAAGAAAGCAGATTCTGAATCCACCCTCAGTGATTTGTTTTGTTCAGTCTTGGCTTTTGGAACAAAATAATAACCACTTATTATTTTGCCAAAAAATTTATTTCTACTAATATATTTCTTGACAATTGCACAATAATCTTGACTATCATGAAAATTACTTTAAAATGTAAGTATATGAAAAAGTATAAGTATATAAGACACACAGATACGCAACACACACCCCATTATTTATATGTATTTAAGCTAAAAGATGGCTTTATGGCAAAATGTGAAATCCAAATATTTGTATACTTTGAGGGAAAAGATCAAGCCAAGAACATGTGTTTCAATTTGTTTTTCATGGTCAAGAGGTGAGGGATGGGAAATATTGTGAGTAATGGATAATTTACCCTTACCCTCAAATTATCAACTATGTGAATTCTTAGGAGTAACATTTTATAAGTACTGCGTATCTATATTTACACAGGAATGTAACACAGATAACACTAATAGTGAATTTGGGGGGAAAATTTTAAAATTTCCCCCAGCAGATAATCAAGTCTTTTGTTGAATTTTAATTACTGGTTCAATAGAAAAGTGCTATGAGAAGACATTTGTATTTTCTTAGAGCAGAAAGTATAAAAATGACTGTAGAATTTCCTGTTTTAACCAAGAACGAAGGAGAGCTGTGAGCCATTTGCTTCCTGAGTGGCCACATTCCAGCTGTGCAGACTGGTCATAGCACATCTGCCAATCAGAACAGGCCCTGGAGGGAAGCCCTTGGATACTGAGTCTTGTTTACATGCATCGTGACTCTGTTTCTCCCTTCCTCTTGTGTGTTGTACCACTAGGAAGATTAGTGGGGAAATTTGCTATTACATGCCTAAGTAAACTATGTAACTAGGATCACAGCCACAGGAAATGATGTTCTGGACAGAGTTTTAGCTCGGCTTTAGCCACAGGTAAGAGTTGTTGCTTTGTTATATGAGGATAGCTAATCTGTATTCAGTTTCTGGCTTTACTTTGAGACATTATACTTCATTTTTGTAGCGAAGCTAGCAGGCTAAAAACTGGAGAATGATTGAGAGAAATGATTTAAATGTGCCCTGCGTTACTATGACTTTAAAATCTTAATACTCATCAAATGAAAAACATGATATTTTCATTTAAGGGAGGGGTAAAACCAAGTTAAATTAAAACAGAAAAGTTTTAAAAGCTGCAGTAATACTAAGTCACAGTGTAGAAAAATTGGAACCAGAAATGTGCTAACACTATGTGTTTGGAAATCATTATATCTAAGCAGGCATGCTTTATTGTGAATCTTTTTACTTATTAGTCTTTCAGAGAACAGTGTTTTCATGAGTACTAACTCTTTGGCTTTGAAAAACATTTCTTTTTTATTATGAACTCATTCAGAAAGAATTGTTACATACGTTTAACTGTGTAAATCCTATTCCTTTTCTTCCATATTTCTTTCTAGAAGTTTTAGAGTATGTTTCATAATCCTCTTATTCTGTTCTAACAGCAATAAAATTAAGGAAAAACTAAAAGCATTCCTGTCTTAATCTTTACGTTGCCATTAAATTCTATCTTGTTAGCATTAATTCAGAAGATACTATAGAAAACTGTATTTTGATAATATTCCATAGGATTTTTTCTTAACGTCATTGCTTAGGATATATTGTGGTTTGTATATTGCTTCATATTGTTTATTTTTGCATAACACTGCGGCCTTTTACTTCATTTATTTTTAATTCTTAAGCATATAGTGGAGGAAAAATTGTTACTCAGGTTCAAAAAAGACAACCTGTGGGTTTTATGGTTCTCTTGTATATGATAGTCTCAAGGTTGATTAATAGCATGTTACAGCAGTCTAGAGAGTCACTTTTGAAAAGTTCAAGCATCTGTGCTCTTATTTCTTACCCTATAGCAGGGTTTCTCGACCTCTGCACTGCTGACATTTTGGATGAGATAATTCTTTTGGTGAAAGGGACCGCTCTATGCATTGTAGGATCTTTAGCAACATTCCTGCTTTCTACCCATGAGAGTTCCCTTCTTCCCAGTTGTGACGATCAAAAATTTTATATAGAGAGCACATTATATCTAATTACTGGAGAAACATTGAAATCCAACTTCTGAAATGTTCTGGGTGGTAGATAGTTAAGGGTGAAGCTGTATTGGTCTTAGTATTTGCAGATGTTGTAGCTGACTGCTCATTTTTCCCCCTCCCCATTCTGTTAGAAGCTTCTGCCAACCATGATTCATGGAATGATTTTTTTGAGCTGAGTAATCTGTGGCTTTGCAGTTTCCTTGCTTTCTTTCCTTAGCTAAATCTCTTCTAGTGTTAGCAAAGTATTTAGCACAGGAAAGATCTTATAAAATGAAATAATGCATGTAATGATGCATTTTCCAAGTAGATGATTTTAACAAACCGTAAGCTTTTATGCCTGTCCTTCATTGTGTCTTTTCTGCCTCTGTCAGGCGAACTGTGATGAAGAGCCTTATACTTAGGAAGACACAACTACCTTTGAACAGTCCTTTGTGAAATCTAATGGTATGGCAGCTGGTATTTAAAAACTTCTTTCCAGAGCTTTTAAAGAACCTTTTGACACGTAACCATCTTCTTTCTCTACAGATCGCAACGAACGAAATAAACCAGAACATCGTTCTTCAAGGTATGAATTTACAGTATCTAATAATTCTGTATAAAGCTTCTTATTTGAAAAGTATTGTTTGGAAGCAATGTAAGTGTCCTCTTTAGAGTTACTGTCTATTGGAATCTTCTGTAGCATTCAGAGAAGCTTCATAAGGGAAATCTTATTCATTCTCTGAATTAAAATTTCACATAAAACTATTGACTACCTGGAAAACATGTTTTATTTTAGGAATTCCCATCAGTGACAGATATATTTTCGTAAAAATTATTTTACTCTCATTTATTAGTTTTTGTGACTTATTTTCCTCCCCTCCCTTTAACCAGTATTTTTGTAAGTGTGTACTGCTGTTTTCCTAATCATAAAACTAATATAGGCTCACTGTAGAAATTTAAAAGATATTTTAAAAATACAAAGCATGAAAAAAGCAGAACAAAACAAAACCCAGACTGCCTTCCATCAGCCAGAGATGGCTGGCTATTGCTAAAATTTTGGTACATTTCTTTCTAGACTTTTAGATTATATATGTATGTATATATTCAAATGGATTATTTTATGTTTTTGTTAGGTATTTCAAGTGGCCAGGAAGGTTGTATCACTTAAGCTCTCAACCACACTGAGTGTATTTCACTAGAATTCTCCAACACTGAAGAGTACATTAAAAAATCCTTGTCAAACTTATAGGTGAAAAATTGTCTGACTTCTCATAGGCAGGACTGACAGGCTATATTTAATATTTGTAACCCAGTACTATGAAAGATTATAATTTTTCTAATATTAATTTCTTTTTATTCCACATTCTACCACCTTTTTTGATGTTTTATTTTGTGGGAATTGTTAAAGTAATGTACTCATTGGATTGACTGCTCTGGTAAGCCAAATCCTGGTGCTTTTTCAAGAGATCAAACCCTAGAGTGCATTGACCTCAATCAATAAAAATATAAGATCTATAAAAATTTCATTGCTTAGAATAGCAATGCGTTTTGCAGAAATTGTCAATCAAAATAAGTTAGTGAGACCTAATCTGAGAGAAGAATATAGCTGGGTATTTAGAATATTGACTGATTTTTTTTCCAGGTACAATTTACATATGTTAAAATTCATTCTTTTTTGTGTATAATCTTACTAGTTTTGATAGGCATGTACAATTATGTATCTACCACCATAATCATTAAACAGTTCGTAAGATTCTTTTATATTAGATACTTAAAGAAAAATAGCAGCCAGGCATGGTGGTTCACACCTGTAATCGCAGCTACTTGGGAGGCTGAGGCAGGAGGATCGCTTGAGCCCAGGAGTTCAAGACTAGCCTAGGCAACATAGCAAAACACTGTCTCATCTCTGTTAAAAATAAAAATAAGGCAATGTAAGAGAAAGGACTTTGACAGCATGCTTAACTGTGAGTGACATAAAGTTGGAAGAGTCAAAAATACTTAGGATGGTAAAACCAGGATCCCCAAGACCTTTGACATTCTGAAGATTGGACTGAACTGAGCAATATGAATTTTAATAGGCACAAATGGAAACCCTTAGAATGAAACACCAGTGGAACATAAAAAGATAAGGGAGATGTGACTTAGCAATATTTTTGAAAAAGTCTGAAGGATTTAGTTCTTCATAAATTTACCATGAATCAAAAATCTTATGTCATTACATCTACCTTCCCCCAAAAAAGTCTGCACCGATTTGATTACACTGAAAGAAGTTTAATGTTCAGGCTAAAAGTGGTAGCTCTAGATCATACTTTTTTTTTTTCTTTGAGATGGAGTCTCGCCCTGTTTCCCAGGCTGGAGTGCAGTGGCACAATCTCGGCTCACTGCAAGCTCCGCCTCCTGGATTGACGCCATTCTCCTGCCTCAGCCTCCCGAGTAGCTGGGACTACAGGTGCCCGCCACCATGCCTGGCTAATTTTTTGTGTTTTTAGTAGAGACGGGGTTTCACCATGTTAGCCAGGGTGGTCTCGATCTCTTGACCTCGTGATCCACCTGCCTCGGCCTCCCAAGGTGCTGGGATTACAGGCGTGAGCCACCGTGCCCGGCCTAGATCATACTTTTGATATTCTGTTCAATTTGGGGTCCACAAGACCTTGAAAAACTGAAGTATGCAGTGGAGTGACTGTATAGATACCACATGGAGACCTTAAAAAACAAAACAAAACAGAATCCCATGCCCAACCCCAGATATTCTATTTAATAAGTCTCAAATGAATCCTCAAAATCTGTATATTAAACAAGTCCCCCAGTGATTCTGATGCGTAGTCAGGTTGGGGACCACTGGTCTAGAATATAGCAGCTGAGTTGGGACAGGGAAGATGAAAAAAAAGAGTAAGATAAAAGTCAAAGCTAAACCATAGGAAGACTGGTGTGAGGAACTGGGAGAACTTAGCCCAGATGTGAAAGTTTGGGGAAGTGCATGGGATGGAAACGATAACTGGCTTCAAACACCCAGAGGCTGATACGTGGAGGAAACTAGCAGAATTCTTCCTAATAAATGCTGTTCCCTACTAAGAGGAATGCTGGCCACTGGAGGAATGGCGGATTCTGGGTCTGGGCTAAGGGAAAATACAAGATGATCCTGGACATCTAGTTGTGATAGAAAGCTAGGAAGTGCTCAACTAATGGGGTCATGTTGAAAAGACAGATGGTAGCATCAAGGGATTTTCACTGGCCAAATTTTGGGGTAATTTGAGTATCCAAAAAAAATGATGATAATGGATCCCATGTAGGAGAAATGACAGAACTTAGAAAATCATCATTTTGTAATTCTCAAAGTAATAGTTGATGCAGGCAAAGATCATCAGTGGCAGCTAAAACTTCTGTAAAAAGTTGTTGGGAAACATCAAAAGATACCAGCTGCTGTTGAAAAAAAAAAAAAGTTGTTGGGAAAAGTTGTTAAAATATCACCCCACAGATCAGTTTTTAATTGCAAAGGGGGAAAATTTACCATTTCAATGGAGAGACCTAGTGGTCACCATCTAAATCAAGTAGTCAACATGTATATTATCACTAGTGAGATAAGCAGTACACTTATGTAGTAGTCCTAAGGAAAAAAAAAAAAAAAAAAAGGCTGGGAGAATATTCCAGGTAACAAGAGACCAAAGAGGCCGGGCGCGTTGGCTCACACCTGTAATCCCAGCATTTTGGGAGGCCAAGGCAGGTGAATCATTTGAGGTCAGGAGTTCGAGGCCAGACTGGCCAAAATGATGGCCAACTCCATCTCTACTAACAATTAGCTGGGCATGGTGGTGCATGCCTGTAATCCCAGCTACTTGTGAGGCCAAGGCAGGAGAATTACTTGAACCCGGGAGGCAGAGGTTGCAGTGAGCCAAGATCACTCCACTGCGCTCCAGTCTGGGCAACAGAGTGAGACTCCGTCTCAAAAAAAAAAAAAAAAAAAAAAAGAGAGAGAGAGACCAAAGAGATATTAACAACCAAATCTAATATGTGAATTTAAAAAAAAAATCTAGGACTAAAAAATCCCAACTTTAAAAAAGGTTGGGGAGGGGATAATTTAAACATGGATGTTATTTTAAATAATATTTTATTAAACATTACTTTTTAAGGTGTAGAATAGAAATGTTATTATGCAGGAGAATGTGATTCTTAGGAGATATATGCCAAAGTATTAATGTAAGGGTGATATAGTTTTATGTTTGCAAATAAATCTCAATTCAGGGGGAAAAAACCCAGGATGAGCAATAAAGAAGCAGATATTGGAAACTGTTAATAATTGGTGAATAGATGAAAGGCATATAGGTGTTACTTATACTGTTTCTTCAGCTTTTTTGTAGACATGAAAATTTCAAAATAGAAGGACACAGTGGAGAGAACTGTTGTGTGTGTTCCTGGGAGTCCCAGAGGGAGGACAGAATGCACCTCTGTGGGTGGAACTTGGAGGGGGATATATTTCTGCACAAAATGAGGAAGAATTTCCTGACAGAGCTGGTCAAAAATGGAATGGGCTACTCTGTGAAGTAATGCTGTCAAAGAAAAGCTAAATAAGCTAGCGCTGGAAATAAAAATAGAGAAGATTCATGCATGGCTAAGTCATTATTCTAGATGGCTCCAGCTCCTTGCTCACTAATAGCCAATAAATATCTCTTGTGAGTCTCTGTTCTGGCTCAGAATACAATAGAAAATAAGAAAAAGTCTCCAGGTTGAAGGAGGGTCCATTGTTGTGGACTTACACTCCCAATCTCTGAGAATCTATTGACCCTAAAGTGAAGTTCCCAGTCTTTACAGTTATATTTTAGGCAATGCTGTGGTACCTTTGAGGGTATTCGGAAAGTATTCTCAGTATTTTTAATCTCTTATTTATACTGTCAAGTTCTTTAGGACTGTGCTATTGGTCTTGGTAACCCTGACACTTAGTAGATTGCCTGGCCCACAATAAACAATAAATAATTGTTGAATAAATAAATGCCAAAGGTATTTTGAGGAGAGAAAGGGAAATATCAGTATTTTTACCTTACAAATCGGGAAGAACCTGACTCTCAAAAGCTCGCCCACGACTATTATTGGATCTGTGTGTTACAACAGCAAGGAGTGATGCCCTATAAGAAAGGAGAAATGTTTTTTCAGGAAAGGACATCGTTTTCTGTCCAGGGTATCTGCTGACATTGGCGGTGACCTGTTCTCCTGCCATCCTCAGCTGAGCAGGGCTACCCCGCCAGGCCAGCAGTGCATCAAGCAGATTAATACCTGCTGCATCAACAGAGCAGAAAGAAGAAAATATAAACAAAAAGTCATTTAATTTTGGTATGTTTTTCGGTTCTCCTCAGGCCACTTGGCAACAAGAATGATGGGCTCCAAGCCCAACAGGGATAACAGAAATGCATTTCTCTTGTTTGTGTTTTTAGAGGCCAAGCACTCCTATAGCTTTCATAGTAAGAGGTGAATAAATCTGGGACGTCTGCCTGTTCTTTCACCTCAGTGCTAAACTAAGAAGGAAAACATAATTCTTGTCAAGTTAAAGGAAAAGTTTTATCATATGTAGGCCAACACTAAGACCCCAAGCAAAAGGCATCCTGGGTGGTTTTTGATTACTTTGTTTTGATGTTGATTTGCTTGCTGCCGATTGATTGATACACATGTGAGAAATATCTGCGTTGTTCTTGTCTCAACCTTACTAGTTTAAACACACCATTTCCCAAATTGATGTCCCACAGAACTCTCTTCTGTAGATTATTAATCAGTATGTCAAGAAATAAGTGTTAATATGCAGAAAAGTTTATGAAATGGTGAGTTAAACAAAATTAGCCATATTTCTTTACTGTGATGCTCCTCAGAGTCTTTGATACACTCAAGTACATTATAAAACTCCAAGTGAGAGCTATACTACACACTCGTTTAAAAATTTATTTGAATTTATAACTTCTTTTCCCAGACATAGCTATTAATAACATCTAGGAAAAAGTACCATGGAGTGGCAGTTTGGGAAACGAATTAGAGGGAAGTAGGAGCTAAAGATAATAAAGAATGTTAAGCCCTATGGCAGTCAGTGCCACCAATAGAAAATTAAGAGCTCTTTTTACCATCCCACCAGCTCTAAATAATAGATCTTGATGACTTAGGGGTCTGAACTACCAGCTAATTCATCTCAAATGTTTTATCTACTACAAGGAAATATTTTACAGCAGCAAAAAAAGAAGGCGGCAAAACAAAGAACCTTAAATCTATTTCTCAAAAATTGTCATTTGAATCTTGGCCTCCCTAAAGTCTTCTTATAGTGACCTGTCATAATCCCCTTTGATATCCATTCATAAAATTAAATGAAATTTCATTAAAAATCATAGAAGTAAGAAAATGGAAATTCAGCAAAGTGATTCTTAGATGTATAAGGAAGAGCAAGACTAACCAAGGCAACTTTGAAGATCAAAGAGGAGAGGTGAACTCTTTTAAGTAATTAAGACAGTCTTTTGTCAGCAAACCTAGAAATAGGTTGTTGAAGCAGACTAAAGAGCCCACAGACATAGATGAATGCATAGAGTTCTGTGTCATGTGGTATGATAGAGGCAGCATTACGGATCAATGAGGGAAAGCTGGTATGTCAACAGATGGTGCTTGAATAACTGATTATCCATATTTTTAATCTACACGGAATTTGATTTATCTTATGACATGAGATAAAAATCTAAAGAAATGAAGTAAAATGGAAACATTTCAAAGAAATATATAAGAATATCTTTATGAGGTAGTGAGTTCTTAAGGGTCAACAAATACAAACCATGAAGAAAAAGACTGATAAATCTGACTATGTGAAAATTTAAGATTTATGTACATGAATACATCGGAAGCATGTGAAAAGGGAAGTCATGACTGTGCAGTGCACGTAGGTGACAAAGGTTAGTATCCAGGATAAAGAAAAACTACGCATACGGAAGAAAAAGACAAGTAAATACAGGTAGGGAACACATAAAAGATGAAACCTAAGTAACCAGTTAATATATGAAAAGATTCTTCACCTTGCTAGGATTAAGATGTGCACTAACATGGTAATGAGATACCATTTCACTTCCATGGAATTGGCACAGAACTCTCAAAGACTGAAAATACCAAGTACATATGAGAGTATGTAATTTGGTACAACTGTAAGGAAGACTTTATTCAGGACTATCAAGATAGGTATAGGGACAACTGCAATGGGATTTTGCAGTCGGGGAGTTAGGTCGGGCTCAACTCATGGGCAAGTGGGAATTTATAGTAAAAGAGCAGGGCGTGGGGGTCAGTGGATAGAAAATTACTGAGAGGAGACATCGGGGATAAAGGGGATTATAGCTAAGTTGACCTAATAGGATTCTTGCTGAAGTCAGACCAGGGTGATCAGACATCACCAAGAGGATGGCAGGGGATTGAACCTGATCAGATGTTAAGAGTAATCTGATATTGAAGATGAGGATTCTTGCTAAACTGACTTACTGCCAAAACTGGATTTTACAAGGAAGTACACAGATGGGACTAGGAAAAGTTTCAGAATCTTTGTCAGTTCAGAGTAGCCCTGTTTGAATTAAGGATATGTAGTATGTGAGAACATGGATACATCTCAGAAACATAATTTTGGATGACAAAAGCAAGCTGTAGAAGGATAGTTACAGTATAATGCCATTTATATAAAGCAGAAGTCAGCAAATGGGTCAAATCTGGCCTGCCACCATTTTTTAATTAAAATATTACAGGAACTCAGCCATGTCCATTTGCATATCATCTTGGGCTGCTTTCACATTACAACAGGAGAGTTGTACCAACAGGGACCACATGGCAAAACACAAATAATACATTGTTTGTTGTATATTTTTATGACTACGTATAGGTACTAAAAGTATAAAAAGATGTGCGGAAGTCATAAATAGTGAAATTAGGGTATTGATTATCAAATGAATGGGCCAGGAAAGGATCCACAGGGAGCTTCAAGTGTATCTTGACTGTTTTATTTCTTAAGCTAAGAGATAGGATTTGCAATATTATCTATACTTTTTTAAACTCCTGGGAATTAGCTGGGCATGATGACTCATGCCTGTAGTCCTAGCTGCTTGGGAGGCTACGGTGGGAGGATTGCTTGATCCCAGGAGTTTGGTGAACTATGATCACACCACTGTATCCCAGCCTGCATGACAGAGTGAGACCCTGTCTCTTAAAAAAGAAAGAAAAAAAAAAAACTCTGCATAGTTTCATAATTTTTTTTTAAATGGCATCAGGAGACCTTTTTGAATCCTATGGCAATGATAAAGATGTTTTTATAGGACATGAGTATAAAATTGAGTGAATTCTTTTTAAAGAGAAAAATTGAGGAAATAGTCAAGAATGTTCAGAAAAAATTGATTAAACACTTCAGATTTTACCTGTACTTATAGACCTGCTCCCATGTCTCCTTTTACTAGAAGCATCTTGTATTTCTCTGCAAATTTTTCTCTTTTTTGGCACTTAAGAGTTCTACAACTAACACGTGAAAACATGTTTTAATAGTACAGAAACATGTGGTATCTGCCTTTATCCCATAGGTGACTTAAGAGTGGTGGTTCAGTGTCTATCCTAGTCTGCTTTCTATGCATATATATAGCATATATTTAAATAATATTTAGAACAAATGGGGATATATATATGTGTGTGTATGTGTAGTATGTGTGCTTATATGTATGTTTGTATATCTGTATACATATATATGTGTTTCTGTCAATTTGACTTTTTTAACTTATTTAGAAAGTATTACCATGTCAGTTTCCACTTCATTATTTTTTTAACTACTGCATAAAATTTTCCAGTGTAACCTTATTATAATTTATTTAACCAGTCCTTTAGGTTGTTTCCAATTCATTGCAGTTAGAAATGATGTTGCAATAAGCATCTTTATGTTCATATCTTTGTGTATAGATGTGTAGGAAAACCTTTATTGTTCTTCCAAGATAGATTTTTTTTTTGTTTTCATTCACAATTACTTTTAAGTTTTTAAATTTTATGTGCCGTACATGTCTGTTTGCTTCCCAAATCTCAGATAGCTTCCTGGTGTTTGGTACTGTTCCAAGTTCTCTAGAGCCCATTACAACTTCCCTCCCCATAATGTGGCCTGAAATGTCACCCAGCACAGGGAGAGACTGAAACTCAACATGCAGAATATTTGTAGCACATAGTTTAGTACTCTCAGAGTTAATAGTTGGTGATGTTAAAACTCATAGCAATCACTATATCATTACGAATTTAAAAGGGTCTTGGTTCTCTGCATTGGTATCCTTTTGTTGATTTTATGAAGATGTTGAAGATTTTATTTTGACACTTTACCATCATCACATTGTGGTTTAAATAGATTAGCTAAAAGCAAAAGATTTAACTTGTTTTAGCTGTTCTCTTTTCTAAGTATGTCTATCAAAATACCATGCTCTGCTGGGGTTAGTTTAATACTGAAATTCTGTAGCATTTCCCTGACCATATGTTTTGATACCTGTACCTCTATAAACTATAGCTCTGTGTAATTACTTTCTGGCATTATGTTTTCTAAGCAATAAGAGAAACATTACTTTTGCTGCAGCATCTGTAATGCCATAAACAAGGTGAAACATTTAAATATATACAGGTTTTGTGGGCGGGAAATTCTTTTGCAAAGGAAGATGTGAAAGGACTATTAACATTTTTTTGTCATCCTACAGAGAATACACACACACACACACACACACACACACACACACACACACACACACACAGTGTTGTTTTGTTGTGGTTTTCAGAAATGTAACTTTAGCATTTCCCCCTAGTGTGATGGGAATGAAAATGAAGCATGTATATGGTGTAGCAGTTGGGTAATTGAAAAGTTTTATTGGCTGGTCTACCACTGCCATAGTACTTAGTGTGGGGCTTTTCTGAAGTTGTTTCAAATTAAACTATCAGCAGGCAGTTAACTTTGGAACAGCAGCTGGTCTTGTGTTTATTACTTTTTCTCAAGATGGGCTTGTTGGCCACCCATTTCTCAGCAGTCCAGGGCGCATGGAACTCCTGGCCCTTAAATTTTTTTCATCCTAATTCTTTCCTCTCTTTCCCTTGGGTTATATTTTATATTAGTTATTTACCTTTCTGCAGTATAATTTAGAAGTAGTTGTTTATACAGTTCTACAAAATGTTGGTTAAACAGCCTGTAGTCAAGTGAAGTTTGTATACATCTTTGTGGCCCTCAATCTATCCTTAGGTTATGGTTTTACTCCAACTAATAAATATCCTTGGGAAAGTGGACTTTAAATTTTTATTCAAATATTTTCCCTTATTGAACACAGCATACATCACATTCTTCAAATGTATTGATTAGGACTGTACGCCACAGAAGCGTACTAGCTAATTCCTGGAAAAATCTTAGGACAGAATTACTGAACAGTCATTCATTAGCTCAATCACCTCCTGTCTCATTAAAAGTAAACTGCTGTTGATCGGAATTCAGTCTTGTCCTTAAAGGTAACACCCTGGCTGGGCGCGGTGGCTCATGCCTGTAATCCCAGCACTTTGGGAGGCCGAGATGGGCAGATCACGAGGTCAGGAGTTCGAGACCAGCCTGACCAGCATGGTGAAACCCTGTCTCTACTAAAAATACAAAAATTAGCCGGGCATGGTGGCATGCGCCTGTAATCCCAGCTAGCTACTCAGGAGGCTTGAGGCAGGAAAATCACTTGAACCCGGGAGGCAGAGGTTGCAGTGAGCCGAGAGTACGCCACTGCACTCCAGCCTGGGCAACAGAGCAAGACTCCGTCAAAAAAAAAAAAAGGTAAAACCCTTTCCTGAAACCAGAAATCAGGCCTGGTCCCAAGAATTCAATTTCAAGGTTTGAAGTATCTTTGTTGATTAGCAGCTCCTCTGCATAATAAATCAGAGCATTCATTTCTGCCCTCATGATAAGTTTTTGCCACTTCTAATCTCATTTTAGTTGTAGGCCATCTTTCCAGAAATGCAGAGTGAGCAAGCCAGCTCTTTTGCAACACTTCTAAATGCAGCAACATTTAAGGCAGGAATCCTGAAGGACTTGTTTGTGACCTTGCTTCCTTTTGGACAGGAGGATTGAGAATCAGTATCCTTTGTTAATTAAAAAAATGAAAGAATGGAAGGAAAGTATGGATTGTTTGGAGGCTTCAGAGTAACATTGTGTCTACAATACAAACATTCCCTCAACTATAAACCTGTTTCCTCAAGATAATGTTTTCCCTTGGCACACTGCCTTGTGCAGGCAGTTCAGGGATGCTATCAAGGAATGACAGGCGGACTTAAAGTGTATCACTATCTATTGCCCAGTAGTTTCTCTTGGTCATGGATTCTGAAGAGAAACTCTAGGTAGAAGAGGCCTTATAAACTGAAGTACGGTCTTCAGAATATTTTAATGAGGCCGGCTGTGGTGGCTCATGCCTGTATTCGCAACACTTTGGGAGGCCAAGGCAGGAGGATTGCTTGAGGCCAGGAGTTTGAGACCAGCTTGGGCAACATAAAATTTAAAAGTTAGCTAGGAAGTGAGGAGCGTCTCTGCCCGGCCGCCCATCGTCTGAGATGTGGGGAGCGCCTTTGCCCCGCCGCCCCGTCTGGGATGTGAGGAGCGCCTCTGCCCGGTCGCGACCCCGTCTGGGAGGTGAGGAGCGTCTCTGCCCAGCCGCCCCATCTGAGAAGGGAGGAGACCCTCCGCCTGGCAACCGCCCCATCTGAGAAGTGAGGAGCCCCTCCGCCCGGCAGCCACCCCGTCTGGGAAGTGAGGAGCGTCTCTGCCCGGCAGCCGCCCTGTCCAGGAGGGAGGTGGGGGTCAGCCCCCGCCAGGCCAGGCGCTCCGTCCGGGAGGGAGGTGGGGGGGTCAGCCCCCTGCCCGGCCAGCCTCCCCATCCGGGAGGTGAGGGGCGCCTCTGCCCGGCCGCCCCTACTGGGAAGTGAGGAGCCCCTCTGCCCGGCCAGCCGCCCCTTCCGGGAGGGAGGTGGGGGGGGTCAGCCCCCCGCCCGGCCAGCCGCCCCGTCCGGGAGGGAGGTGGGGGGTCAGCCCCCTGCCCGGCCAGCCTCCCCGTCCGGGAGGTGAGGGGCGCCTCTGCCCGGCCGCCCCTACTGGGAAGTGAGGAGCCCCTCTGCCCGGCCAGCCGCCCCGTCCGGGAGGGAGGTGGGGGGTCAGCCCCCCGCCCGGCCAGCAGCCTCGTCCGGGAGGTGAGGGGCGCCTCTGCCCGGCCACCACCCCGTCTGGGAGGTGTGCCCAACAGCCCATTGAGAACGGGCCATGATGACAATGGTGGTTTTGTGGAATAGAAAGCGGGGAAAGGTGGGGAAAAGATTGAGAAATCGGATGGTTGCCGTGTCTGTGTGGAAAGAAGTAGACATGGGAGACTTTTCATTTTGTTCTGTACTAAGAAAGATTCTTCTGCCTTGGGATCCTGTTGATCTGTGACCTTACCCCCCAGCCCTGTGCTCTCTGAAACATGTGCTGTGTCCACTCAGGGTTAAATGGATTAAGGGCGGTGCAAGATGTGCTTTGTTAAACAGATGCTTGAAGGCAGCATGCTCGTTAAGAGTCATCATCACTCCCTAATCTCAAGTACCCAGGGACACAAACACTGCGGAAGGCCTCAGGGTCCTCTGCCTAGGAAAACCAGAGACCTTTGTTCACTTGTTTATCTGCTGACCTTCCCTCCACTATTGTCCTATGACCCTGCCAAATCCCTCTCTGTGAGAAACACCCAAGAATGATCAATAAAAATAAAATTAAAAAAAAAAAAATTTAAAAGTTAGCCAGTCACGGTGGCATGCACCTGTAGTCCCAGCTACTCAGGAGGCTGAGGCAGGAGGATTAGCTAAGCCCTGAGCCTAGGAGTTTGAGGCTACAGTGAGCTAGGATTGTACCACCACACACCTGGGCAACAGAACAAGACCCTGTCAAATAAATAAATAAATTAATTAATTAATTAATTAATTCATATTATTAATTCCTCCCTCCAAGACAGGATCTTGATCTGTCACCCAGGCTGGAATGCTGTGGTGCAGTCACGGCTCACTGCAGCCTTGACCTCCTAGGCTCAAGCAGTTTTCCCACCTCAGCCTCCCAAGTAGCTGGGACTACAGGTGTGTGCCTCCATGCCTGGCTAATTTTTGTATTTTTTTGTAGAGACAGATTGTACCATGTTGCCCAGGCTGGTCTTGAACTCCTGGGCTCAAGTTATCTACCCACCTCTACCTCCCAAAATCCTGGGATTACAGGCATGAACCACCACTCCTGGTCCCAATATCTTAAAATAAGACAGCCATGAAGTTTGCCACATCGATTGACTCTTCCTTTCACAGTTTCTCTGCAGCATGCAATGCTGTTTGATACCATTTTACCTACAGTAGAACTTCTTTCAAAATTGGAGCCAATCCTGTTAAATCCTACCACTGCTTTATCAACTAAATTTATTCTAAATCCTTTGTTGTCGTTTCAACAATGTTTACAGCATCTTCACCAGGAGTAAATTCTACTTTCTTTGCTCATCCAGAAGAAGGAACTCCTCATCCACTGAAGCTTTATCATCAGATACATCAATGTGGTCACATCTTTAGGGTCCACTTCTAATTCTAGTTCTCTTGCTGTTTCCACTATATCTGCAGTTACTTCCTCCACGGGAGTCTTGAACCCCTCAAAGTCATCCATGGGGGTTGGAATCGACTTCTTCCAAACTCCTGTTAATGTTGTTACGTTGCCCTCCTCCCATGAATCACAGATATTCTTAATGGCATCTACAATGGTGAATCCTTTCCAGGTTTTCCATTTACTTTGCCCCAGTTCATCAGAGGAATTACTATCTATGGCAACTATGGCCTTACAAAATGTATTTCTTAAATAATAAGACTTCAAAGTCAAAATAACTCCTTGATCCATGGGTTGCAGATTGGATGTTGTGTCAGCAGACATGAAAACAATATGAATCTCCCTGTACATCTGCATCAGAGCTCTTGGGTGACCAGGTGCATTGTCAATGAGCAGTAATATTTTGAAAGGAATCTTTTTTCCTGAGCAATAGGTCTCAAGAGTGGGCTTAAAATATTTAGTAAACCATGCTGTAAACAGATATGCTGTCATCTAGGCTTTGTTGTTCCACTGGCACTGGCAGAATAGATTTATCATAATTCTTAAGGGCCCTAGGAGTTTCAACATGGTAAATGAGGCCAGGTGCCCCTCACACGTATAATCCCAGCACTTCAGGAAGCCAAGGCAGGAGGATTGCTTGAGGGCAGGAGTTTGAGACCAGCCTGGGCAACATAGCAAGACCCTGTCTCTACAAAAAATAAAAATTAGCCAGGTGTGTTGGCATGTGCCTGTAGTCCCAGGGAGGCTGAGGCAGGAGGATTGCTTGAGCCCAGAAGGTTGAGGCTGTCATGAGCCTTGATCACAGCACTGTACTCTGGCCTAGATGACAGAATGAGAACTTGTTACTAAAAAATAAAAAAATTATTTAATGGTAAATGAGCATTGGCTTCAACTTAAAGTCATCAGCTGCATTAGCCTCTAACAAAAGTCAGCCTGTCCTTTGAAGTTTTAAAGCCAGACATTGACTTTTCTGTCTAGCTAGGAAAGTCCTAGATGGCACCTTCTTCCAATATAATACTACTTCATCTACACTGAAAATCTGCTGTTTAGTGTAGCCACCTTTACCAATCATGTTAGCTAGATCTGCTGGATAACTTGCTGCAGCTTTTCCATCAGCACTTGCAACTTCACCTTGCACTTTTATGTCATGAAGACACCTTCTTCCCTTAAATTGCATGAACCAACCTCTACTAGCTTCCCACTTTTTTGTGCAGTTTGCAGTTTCCTTACTTATCTCAGCCTTCATAGAATTGAAGAGAGTTAGGACCTTGCTTTAGATTAGGTTTTGGCATAAGGGAATGTTGTGGCTGGGTTGATCTTCTATCCAGACCACTAAAACTTTCTTCATATCAGCAACAAGGCTGTTTCACTTTCTTATCATTCATGTGGTCCCTGGGATAGCACATTTAATTTCCTTCAAGAACCTTTTTTTTTTTTTTTAATTAACAGATTTGCTAAATGTGTGGTGGAAGAGGCCTAGCTTCTGGCCTATCTCAGCTTTCGACCTGCCTTCCTCACTAAACTTAACCATTTCTAGCTTTCAGCTTAAAATGAAGGAAGTGCAATTCTTCCTTTCACTTGAACACTTAGAGGCCACTGTAGGATTATGAATTGCCCTAATTTCAGTATTGTTTTAGGGAATAAGGAGACCCAAGGAGAGGGGAAAAGATGGGGGAACTGCCAGTGGAACAGTCAGAACACACACAACATTTATCCATTAAGTTCACTATCTTTTTTTTTTTTTTTTGAGATGGAGTTTTGCTCTTGTTGCCCAGGCTGGAGTGCAATGGCACAATCTTGGCTCACTGCAACTTCTGCCTCCCGGGTTCAAGTGATTCTCCTGCCTCAGCCTCTCGAGTAGCTGGGATTATAGGCATGCACCACCACGCTTGGCTAATTTTGTATTTTTAATACAGATAGTCAGATATCTTATATTTTTACAAGATAGTCAGGTATTTTGTATTTTTAGTAGAGATAGTCAGATATTTGTAGTAGAGACAGTCAGGCTGGTCTCGAACTCCTGACGGCTGAGATGAGATGGGGGTTAAGCCTGGGAGGTTGCAAGGCTGCAGTAAACTATGATCTATACTCCAGCCTGGGTGACAGAGCAAGACCCAATTTCAGAAGAAAAAAACAACAACAAACAATTAAATTTTGTTACTATAAAATAATACGTGCCTATTATAGAAAGTTTGTCAAAATACAAAAAGGAGAAAAAAATAAAATCATTAATAGTCAACAATAATTGCTGTTAGTATATTGGTGGTTCAGTCTTTCTTTTGTGCATACTTGGTGTACTTTAAAAAAAATACTGGGGGGCCAGGCACAGTGGCTCACGCCTGTAATCCCAGCACTTTGGGAAGCCGAGGCAGGCGGATCACAAGGTCAGGAGATCAAGACCATCCTGGCTAACACCTGAAACCCCATCTCTACTAAAAAATACAAAAAATTAGCCAGGTGTGGTGGCAGGTGCCTGTAGTCCCAGCTACTGGGGAGGCTGAGGCAGGAGAATGGCAGGAACCCAGGAGGCGGAGCTTGCAGTAAGCTGAGATTGCGCCACTGCACTCCATCCTGGGTGACAGCGAGACTCTGTCTCAAAAAAAAAAAAAAAAAAAATTGGGATGATATATATAAGTTTCTTTTCATAAAACAATAGTTTATAAACATTTTCCCATAACATGATTTTCATGGCATTTCATCATGTAGTATACCAAACTTTTTCTATTATCAGACATTTAGGTTATTTCAAGATTTTACTATTGTAAATAATCCTGTAATCAGATTCTTATACCTACATTTTTATGGACCATCACTGATTATCTCCTTGTGATAAATTCTTAGCAGTAGAATTAATGGAACAAAAAATATATAAATATTTTAAGACTTTTCATATATACTACCAAATTATCTTCATGAAGGGTTGCATTCTTACCTCTGTAACATTCTTTGAGATTCTTCCCTTTCCCTGTGTTTTTTATGGATGAACCAGAAGAAAATGGTCCTACGCTATTTGGCCATAGCTAATAGAACTCTGTCCTAGAAGGTGTCCAATAAGAATATTGTTTCTTCCAGTTTAACTCATATTTTTATGTTATAATGCTCAGATTTTTTAACCCATTTCTGTTATTTTTATTTCAGGTCCCAAAAGAGCACTTTCCAAAAGGGGTCTTGTACTAATCCACAGCCTCTGGAAATCTGTATGCTCGGAGCTTTTCAGAGGCCTTTCTGAAGCCATTCAGGAGTCAGATCACTTGGATTCAAGGCATAGACACCAGTGCATAACTCTTAAGCCTGTATTTGAAATCTGGACTGTCTGTGCCCAAATTTGGGAAACTTTTAGGGTGATCCAAAGTGAATTTTAAAAATACTCTCAGGTCATGCCCAAGTTTGGAGGCTTTCTAGGGCAATCCAAAATGATTTTTAAGAAATACTTTTTCAGGCTGGGTGCAGTGGCTCACGCCTGTAATCCTAGCACTTTGGGAGGCCGAGGTGGGCAGATCACTTGAGGTCAGGAGTTCGGGACCAGCCTGGCCAACATGGTGAAACCCCATGTCTACTAAAAACACAAAAAATTAGCTGGGCGTGGTGGTGAGCACCTGTAGTCCCAGCTACTCAGGAGGCTGAAGCAGGAGAATTGCTTGAACTCAGGAGGCAGAAGTTGCAGTGAGCCAAGATTGCACCACTGCACTCCAGCTTGGGTGACAGAGTGACGCTTTCTCTTAAAAAAAAAAAAAAATACTTTTTCGATTGTTTAGGTTCTGCCTGTATTGGTAGAACCACTCGAGAAGCTGTGGGATAGTGTGTGAAGTACTTGGGTCCAGGCATCAGGCTGACGGGGTTAGAATCCCAGCTTCACCACTTGGGAGCTGGGTTCCCTGGGAAAGTTTCTTAATCTTTCTTTACCTCAGTTTCCTCATCTATAAATGGAGCTAATTAAAGTACCTATCTCTTGGGGTTATTATAATTATTTAGTTGCTTTATCAGTCAGGGTTCAACCAGAGAAACAGGACCAGTAGGAGATGTATATTAAAGAGATTTACTGGCCGGGCATGGTGGCTCAAGCCTGTAATCCCAGCACTTTGGGAGGCTGAGGCGGGCGGATCACAAGGTCAGGAGATCAAGATCATCCTGGCTAACACGGTGAAACCCCGTCTCTACTAAAAATACAAAAAATTACCCGGGCGTGGTGGTGGGCGCCTGTAGTCCCAGCTACTCGGGAGGCTAAGGCAGGTGAATGGCGTGAACCCAGGAGACGGAGCTTGCAGTGAGCTGAGATCATGCCACTGCACTCCAGCCTGGGTGACAGAGCAAGACTCCATCTCAAAAAAAAAAAAAAGAGATTTCCTGGGGCCGGGCACAGTGGTGCATGCCTGTAATCCCAGCACTTTGGGAGGCCAAGGCAGGTGGATCACCTGAGGCCAGGAGTTGGAGACCAGCCTGACAAACATGGTGAAACCCCATTTCTACTAAATACAAAAAACTAGCCAGGTTTCGTGCCGCATGCCTGTAATCCCAGCTACCTAGGAGGCTGAGGCAGGAGAATCTCTTGAACTCAGGAGGCAGAGGTTGCAGTGAGCCAAGATTGCACCTTTGCACTCCAACCTGGGCAACAAGAGTGAAACTCCATCTTTAAAAAAAAGAGAGAGATAAAGATTTATTGCAGGGAAATATTTATGTGATTGTTGGAGCTGATTTAGGCAAGTCAGAATTTCGTAAGGCAGGCCATCAGGAAGGGCAGGCTGGAACTCTCACCCATGGAGTGAAGCTGCCATCCACAAGTGGAATTTCTTTTCATTATGGAAGCCTCAGCTCTGCTCTTAAGGCTTTTTAACTGATTAAATCAGGCCCACACAGATTTCATAGAATAATCTCCCATACTATACCCTGATAAAG
This sequence comes from Homo sapiens, assembly GCF_000001405.40. NCBI lineage: Eukaryota > Metazoa > Chordata > Mammalia > Primates > Hominidae > Homo > Homo sapiens. Next base: position 144,855 of record NW_025791772.1, on the reverse strand, counting down.
TCCCATCAACTGGTGGACTTTAATCACACTGACATAATGCCTTTATAGTGACGTGTAAATTAATGTTTGATTAAATAACTGGAGACTGTAGCTTAGCCAAGTTGACACATCAAATTGATTATCACAGTTGCTTTGGACCTCAGTTAAGCAGGCTAAACCCACTTGGAAATGATTTTCAGTGTTATCTCTGCTTTTCAAGGTCAGGGCTCTTCAAGTCTCTGTAACCCAGAAGTTCTTTCTGACATATCAGTTTGATGTTTGTTAGTTTTGTCATAAGAAACTACAATTGCATTATTATTGTCCTAAAGAATTCTCTCAACTCAAGCCAGGGTGTGTGGTCATGGTGGGATTCTGTGAAGGAGCATAAGCCAGCATCTGCATAAACACCTTGATCCAGGCGGTATTTGCTCTTATACATTTGTGCTATCCCTTCGTGCTTGGAGAAGCACACTATTGTTACATATGCCTGCTTTGTATGAACTGGTAAAGTCTGGAGTTGATAGGAACTGTTGAGTAGTCCCACAGGCCTCTGTCATAGTGGCAAAATATTACCTTTGGCTACCTGAAGAAAAGATACAGATTTGGTCCTCTCTTTTCACTAGTGCTAATTTTTCCACACAGTGATCAACTTCCTTTAGGGAAGCTCATTGCATTTCTTTGAGCATAACCTAATCTCCTCTCATTCTGAATGCAGGATGTCTTCTTTGCCCTCTAACTCAAAGTAGGAAAAGATAGGCCACTCAGAAGTAAAATAGCTAATGGTAAAAGCATGATAAACTGTTAGGATACTTCCTGGTGGCCTTGGGTTTCAAGCTTTTACCAATCACTCTGGAAACAACTCCTGTAATTGTTCCTCTTGTAGATTCTCTAGGCCTGCATTTCAGTGTTTAGTTTTTTTCCATAGCTTTGAACGATGAGGTGGTGATGCACTGCTACTAAATCTTATCTCATGCATCCCTGAGAACTGCCTCCCAAGCCTCCAGTCTCAGCTGAAAGAAAGGCACCTATGGCCAGGTTTCCACGTGGTCCTACCCCATTTGGCCATAGCTGATAGAACTCTATCCTATAAGGTATGCTAATCAAGTTTTTTCTCATGAAAGTTTAAACTAAAAGACAGAGCTGACAGCCATGGTTTCTGGAGGTTTAAAATTATTTAGATTTGGGCTTGGTAGGATATGCATGCTGATGAACACTGGCCAGGTATGCCAGTGAATGAGCAGGGAGTTCAAGAGAAGACTGCAAAAACTGAAGCGGAGGTGATGTAGTCCCAAAGAGAAAGTGAGGAAGAATGAGAGCATGCACGAGAAGCTGCCTTGTTTCCCAGCACTGCCCAAAGTTCAGCTGCACTTCCTGTTCATACCCATTCCCAGGATACCTTTGTATGCTCATAATAAAAACCCCTTTAATTTAATTCAAGTTTAAAGGGGTTTCAGTTGTTTTAACCTCACAAGTCAATGCAATACCATTAGAGGAAATAATGATAACAATACCGTAATTTAGAAATGAAAGTCACATACCTAACATACTCATGTTGGTTTTAGGACTACCAAAACTATAGCCTTGATTCTAGAATTTATTTCCATATAGATTAGGGTGCCATGAATATATTGAGAAAATAGAGTAGGGTAGTACTTTACAGTATTTATGGAGAAACAAAAGCCATGCCATATAATATGTTGTATGAAGAGGGAAGTGTATTGCTTGTCTTATGAACACTGACATCAGATCTATGCCAGTGAGTAATAGAAGACTTTATTGTTTTGTCTTCTTTCATCAACAAAAGGCAAAACACACACAGACACACACACACAAAAAAAACCTTCTTTAATGTAGGATTTTCTGAAACAACACAAAATACAGCCAGACCTATAAATATCCTATCATTTATTTGTATATACTCCCTGACATGTTATATTTTGTGAATAAATCCCAGGAGTGATAAAAGTCTTAAATCATTTTCTGATACTATTTAAGATTCTGCCCCCTTTCCTCCACCGTTGCTTCTGATTTAACTCTTCCAGCCATGGGATGTTCAGTGAAAGAAGACAGTTCTTAAGGTTCTTTGGTAATTAAATCACAATTCTCACCTAATGTGTTTTGTGTGTGTGTGTGTGTGTTTTCCTCTCAACAGTCAACTGTATGTGAACTTTTTGTGAGATAGTGAAGCACAGTAGCAAAGAACTCTGGCCCTGCCTAGAGTCAGACTGTCCAAGTTCCAGTCCTGACTTCACCATTTACCAGCTATGAGTCCTTTGACATTTAAATTATGTAAACTCTTTTTTCATCTCTAAAACTGGGATGATAACAGTACCTTCTTGTACGGGTGGATGTGTGGATTAAGTGAGTTAAAAGATGTAAAACCATTAGTGTAGGTCAATTAGATTAGCTATTTCTTTATTATTATTGGAATGGATTAAATATCAAGTCCAGCTCCCTTACTGCAGTTGGATTAAGTAATTGATTCTTATTAAATGAATTTAAATTGGAATCTTGGAGTGTTTTAAGTTTCATATTTTAAAAATTTTAGACCTAGTGGGTAGAATAGAGATCATCCAATCCAATAATGTCATGTTACAGATAAGGAAACTGACATGTGATTATACTCATGGAGTGAGTAAAGGCAGAGCTGAAATTGGGCTTGTCAGACCCCCAGACTCCTCACACAGTTCACGCTCTGTCTGACAACCATCAGGGGGATGGTCCTACATTCTCTGTGTCTCCAAGAATTCACTGATAGCCTAAAACAAACAGATGCTTTATGTACAAAGACAGGAATGCCAGCAAACAATCTTCAAGTGTAGCAGAAGATGTGAAGATTGAAGCAGAGATGATGTGGTTTCAGAGAGAAAGGAAGAATGAGAGCTTGCACAAAAAGCCGCCGTGTTTCCCAGCACTGCACAAAGTTCAGCTGTACTTCCTGTTTGTACAAATTCCCAGGATACCTTTGTATGCTCACCTCTTCCCTCTTCTCTTTGGCCTTCTATTTGCGTAAAGAACAGACTTGGCCGGGCACCCTTGGCTCATGCCTGTAATCCCAGTACTTTGGGAGGCTGAGGTGGGTGGATCACCTGAAGTCAGGAGTTCGAGACCAGCCCGGCCAACATGGTGAAACCCTGTCTCTATTAAAAATGTAAAAATTAGCCAGGTGTGGTGGTGCGCACCTGTAATCCCGGCTACTCGAGAGACTGAGGCAGGAGAATCACTTGAACCCAGGAGGCAGAGGTTGCAGTGAGCCGAGATCACACCACTGCACTCCAGCTTGGGTGACAAAGTGAGACTCTGTCTCAAAAAAAGAAAAAAAGAACAGACTTGATCTCAGTATTTAAATAAGGTACTGCTATATTTCTTTAAATAATGATTGTTAAAAATATCACCTTTGAGTTTCCCATAGATTTGTTCTGCTTAAGCCTGAGGCAAAACAACAACTTTAGTTTATGTAGGCCTGATGTTGGAAAGATCATGATTTTAAAAATAACATCTCCATGAAACATTGATGAATCCATATTTGACATCAAATGGCAGATGTACTGGAGTTTCTGCACTATGATATGTTTTGTTTTGAAAGTGAGATTCACTTACATTCAAAAGATATTTATTGTGTGTGAAAAGCATTTTGCTAGACACTGAGGTAGTTTATACTAAATGTAAAGACTTGGAACCCTAAAAAATAAATCTACAGAAATTTTTCTTCACCCTGATTTACTATGTAAACCCTATTAAGAGTTAGCAGTCTTCCTGCCTTCTGCATTTTTCTTCCTTTTACTAGTACTTCTTTGTAAAATACCAACCCAAATATTCTGTCTTTGTATGGAGCTAGTCAAAGTGGTGAGTCCTGTGAATGGGCCTACTTGTCCTCACTCCTCGATTTGGACATGACTTTACCTTAAGAAAATATTTAGGTTTTGACATCATTTTTGCTAACAATACTGTCACTCAGTGTTTACAGTTCAGTGTTATGCTAATTCATGTAGGGTTTTTTTTCTATTACTTTCTATAAACCTCTTACAAATAAAACATGGAGAAGTAGAATTTATACCAGACTAGTTTAAAAACACATTGTGACAAATATATTAATGTAAGATGAGAATAGTAGGGAAAACAGTGTGGGGTATGTGACAACTTTCTTCACAACTATTCTGGAAATCTAAAACTAATTTACAATTAAAAGTTTATTTAAAAAAAATCCTCCCCCAAAAACATACACACAAAATTATTATGATGAAATAAATTGCAGCAATTTAATATTAGCATGGTGACCAGCTTTTATTCTGTTCCCCTAAATAATATAAAATAAAATGATCAAGGCTGAATTATTTCAGTAAGAGAAACGTCATTATTCTTATAGAAAGTCCTAGTTTGAAAACAAACATTTCTAACAGCAGGTTAGAATTAGAAGGGAATACAAGTACAAAGTCTTGGTGTTAAAATTTTAAAACTAGGATTAAAGTTATTATTTGAAACATTTTGATTTCTCAGGGACAAAAACAAACCAAAGACAGTTCCTTGGCATACTTTTATCTAGAGCACAAATGACCTTTATAAGTTGGTGGGGCTGGCATCCCCACCTGAGGGCAGTGGTTCATTTTTTTATCTCCAGCCATGGTCCGTAATCATGAGGTTATCAGTGATCAGTGAGTGTTTCCTGAATTTAGTGGCAAGGAAACATTTTCACTTGAAATAAAAATAACAGAGAATCTGAGGACCTCTAGAAGTTTATTCCTTTTTGAAGCTACTTGCAAAAATAAATAAGCTAAAGAAAACCTTTCTGGTTAGGTTCTGTGCATTGGTGATCTTCACACTGTTGACTTCTCAGGCTGCTGAAAGTCATCCAGTAGCCCCAATCCCCACTGCCAAGGATTGTTCCGTGTCAGCTGACTCTTCCTGGGAAAGGGCTGGTGGCGATGATGGGGTCAGTGGCACCGATGCTGCGATTGCTGGGGGTCCTGTCATGGGAATTCCACCTGTCTTTTTCAGACCTTTGGTGTTAGGACTGTGGCCTGTGGGAATGAGGTGGGATTAGGAGTCAAGCTTGGAAGTGAGTCTTAGATCCTAACCCCACCACCAACAGTCACATTTCTCTTTCCTCGTTTGTCTCCATCTCCTCTCCCCCTTCAATCCCCCAGCATTCTTGAAATTTTAGGCAGCATTCCAAATAGCCTCTGACATAGTTCAACTTAGACCGAAACAGTTGTATAATCTCTCCTGGGAAAATTGAAGCCCCAGTTTTAATGGTCAGAATATTTGTCTGGAAGCAAAATGTCCAACTTTATCACACTAGTTTTGGGTGTTTAGAAGGGCCCTCATGCTCTGTTATTCCATTAATAAAATATAAATACTTGCTACCTAAATAGATGGAACCTAAAGGTAGTGGGATTACTAAAGACTGTATCTTGTGTTTTGAAAGTAAGGTTGTTAAAAAGAAGTCTGTCTGTCTGTCTGCCTACCTACCTGTCCCTCCATCTATCCATTCACACCTTCATTTCGGTTGATTCCTATCATTAGGAATTTTTCCAACAAGAAGGGCCATGACGCAAGAAACAGTTGGCATATCTTACAGACATTCTTATGGTGACATAGATATTGGTTAGAGGTATGAGGAGGATCATCTTTAGTGCAACTAAAAGTTGGAATTAGTACTGGACTGTAGTGCCACACCAGTTCTAAAAATGCCAGCACTGGACTAGCTAGGAGTTTGAGGAGTGACTCTGGCTTTGGCTGCTACAGAAAAGCAGATGTTACTATTCATGTATGCATAGTCTTGCCACTAAGAATCTATTTTATTATTATTTTGAGACGGAGTCTTGCTCTGTCGCCTAGGCTGGCATTCAGTGGCGCGATCTCGGCTCACAGCAACCTCCGCCTCCTGAGTTCAAGCGATTCTCCTGCCTCAGCTTCCCTAGTAGCTAGGACTACAGGTGTGTGCCACCACGCCCGGCTAATTTTTTGTATTTTTAGTAGAGACAGGGTTTCACCGTGTTAACCAGGATGGTCTCGATCTCCTGACCTCGTGATCCACCTGCCTCGGCCTCCTAAAGTGCTGGGATTACAGGCGTGAGCTACCACACTCAGCCTTATTGTTATTATCATTATTTTCTTTCTTTTTTTTTTTTTTGAGATGGAGTTTTGCTCTTACCGCCCAGGCTGGAGTCCAGTGGGGCAATCTCGGCTCACTGTAACCTCTGCCTCCCGAGTTCAAGCAAATCTCCTGTCTCAACCTCTCCATTATCTGAGATTACAGGTAGCCGCCACCATGCCTGGCTAATTTTTGTATTTTTAGTAGAGACAGAGTTTCGCCATGTTGGCCCAGGCTGGTCTCGAACTCCTGACCTCAGGTGATCCACCCGCCTCGGCCTCCCAAAGTGCTGAGATTATAGGCATGAGCCACTGTGCCCGGCCTATTTTATTATTTTTTAGAGTTTGATTATACTTTACCCTCTCCTTTAGTTGTATTTCATTGAAATTGGCATTCATGATTAGTTCTATATTTGTGATACTATTTTTTAAAGACTCCAGATGTTCCTAGGTGGTTCCACATTTTCTAATCTGTATTAAAATCGCCTGTTTAAAAAATTGTTTACTTCTCTGTCTTCTGTACTTAACTGTAATCTCTTTGAATAGAGGGGCTCATCTTGTTTTACTTTTGTCCTCAGCACCTAGGAAAATTTCTGGAACGTAGAAAACACTCGGGAAATAATAGCTAAATTAATGCTTTTAAAATTCTAAATGTTATATGGATTTAATTTGATTAACACCCTGTATTTTTATTTTATGCTGGAGCAATAAGGGGTATGGGAAATACAGAGATTTGAAGTTGTATGCATGCTGTAATTCATTTTTGTTATTCACATCAGGATTCTGGGGGATTTTCAGCCCTGTAATGGCATCTACATGTGACTTTGAACTCAGCCTGCTGTTTCCAGAAAGTGATTGATTGGCTGGTGGTTTGGCTATAATCTTCATTATTTAGAGGTCATGAATTTGACATGAACCAGTGAATTTATTTTGTTTTGTTTGTTTGCTATAGCAATTTTTAAAAATAGCACACAAATTATTAAAGTAATTATAAAGCTTGAAAAATTCAGAGACACAGGTAGATGACAAATCATTCATAATTCTTTACCTCTTAGAATCAACTATTGTTAACATCTGGGGCCTGTGCAGTGGTATGCTGATAAATGTGAGCAACTCGCTCTCTGAGCGTAATTCCAATATGAATGTTGGTTGATATGTTTGTTTATATTAATGAGTAAGATAAACGTGAAACAAAATATGTGTCAAAAACCAAAACCAAAATATATGTCAGAGTTTCTATTCATTTGTCAATTGCATGAGCAACCTCTTTGCTGATTCAGATGATAGTTTTCAAACTGGAAGAATGTTTCCTCAGTTTTTTTGTTCTTGTCGTAATGTAACAGCTCCACATATAACATGCTTTTAGGTTGAACGTGCATTATTACTAACATTTTCTTTGTCACTTTCTTAAGTTTAGACAGTCAATAAAATGATAAAGTAAACCCTAATTTGCCAGTTTTGTGGGATAAATATTCCCACCATGGCCAATTTAAAGCTACCAATATGATACCACTGGTGATAGATTGGGAAGAGATGCACAGTAGCACGTCATTAGCAGTAGTAAAATTTAAGAAAATAATTAGGAAATGATGAACCTTTAATATTAGCTTTACTTTAATTGTAAGTTTGTATAACTTAATTTTTAATAATGGTTATATTTAACAACTGGCTTGCAAAATTTCTGAAAATTCAATTGTCAGCTCACATGAGCTGGCTCCAGCACATCACTGGGTAGATGCGTTCTCACTTTTTTTGTATAAATGTAATTATACAAATATGTGTGTGGGGTGTGTGTGTATGTGTATGTATGTATGTGTGTATGTATGTATGTATGTGTTAGTCCATTCAGGCTGCTATAACAAAATACTGTAGACCAGGTGGCTTATAAATGACAAACAAACAAAAAAATCCACACTTCTCGAGGCTGGGAAGTTCAAGATAAGACACCAGCAGACTCCCTGTCTAATAAGGGCTTGCAGTCTGGTTCATAGACAGTATCTTCTTGCTGTTTCCTCTTATGGCAGAAAGGCAAGGGATCTCTCTGGGGCCTCTTTTATGAGAACATTAATCCCATTCATGAGGGCTCTACCCTTATGACCTAATCACTTCCCAAAGGTCACATCTCCTGGTACCAAAACCTTGGAGATTAGGATTTCAATATATGAATTTGATGGGGATACAAACATTCAGACCATAGCAAAATAAATATATATTTTTTAAAGTAAGATTTTACAAATAACATTGGGATTATACTATTTCGTAGTTTGGGGACTTGTTTTCCTTGTAGACATGGATTCCGGTGTCATTTGGTCATGCATGCTCTTTTGCTTTGGCACGGTCTGCACTTTGGGCCCTTTCACAGTGCGTGCAGCTGGTCACAAGGGGAGGCTAGATGAGAATAGCTGAATAAAATGCTTCCAGTGTGGCAGGAAAGAAGAGGGAATGAATGGGGATGGGGCAGCCTATGCCCCCTGTGCAGCAGGCGAGTTATTTCAAAGTATGCTGCCAAATGAGTTTTATCATTTCCCAGGCAGAGTCCTTACTTTGAGACTATTTGGAACCTTGCTCTGTCCACCCACAATATTATGCCCCATCCTTTGTTCTGCTGAACTCCATACCTGCCATTTTCTACTACATTCTCTGCTGTACCTTCTTGGATCTCTCCTGTCTGCTTCTTTAAACTGAGGCTGATAAAAGGCACATTTCCTCTCTGTGAATCTTTTTAAATATCCTGAAAACAGAACTGTTTGTTTGGGGACAGTTGTACTCAGACTCAGAGTCTGTAGTCCTAATGAACAGTCAGTCATTCCCCTTAAATGATGGTATCCTCAGATACATAATATATTAATAATATCCTAAAACATACTTCTTTGTGGGCTCCCAAATCTAGAAATTTACTGTATCTTTTGGGTAATTTCATGTAACTATTGGTATTTATAATTTTAAATCACTTTAATGTCCTTCGGCTACCAAATATGTTCTTGGTATCTAATGGGAAAGTTCTCCAGTGGCTTTGCAAAAAAAAAAAAAAAAAGATGTTAGCTGGTGGGAAGGCTGCTAGCCCTGCTTGTCTCATGGAGAAATTGTTGAATATTTAGAGTAAAGGTTTCGTGCCTACCCACTGCTGAAGTTTCTGTTGCAATTTCCAGAGAAGAACAAATCTTTGATTGTTAAGAATGAATTCAGCTGTTTCCACGTTGTGTTTATATTCTTGGTTAAAGCCTTCAGCTTTATAACAGTAACTCCTTAAGAGCTGCCTATTTTTGAAAGACTCAGTTAAATGAGTGTTTAAAATGTTTTTTTAATTGGTAATTAAATAATTTATGCATTTTTATGAATTTACATTGTTTTGCCGTTATGTATATATTTGTTGCTTCATTATTTCTCAACCATTGATTGAGTGTATTTTATTTTGGCTTAGACATCACTAGATATTTGGTGAAAAGCTAGAAATGTAATGATGTAGGAGCCTCTAAAGGGTCAAAGGAAGGCTTAGCTAACCTAAAACCTTTGATCAAGTGATACAAAGCTAAGAAATGGGTGGCTAGGGCATTCACATTTGAAAGATACGTATATATTTTTATATATAAAGATAAATATATATTTTTATATATATTTTATATAATATATATTTTATATAATATATAATATATGATATATATTATATATTATATAATTTTTATATAATATAATTTTATATTTTATATAATATATATTTTTATATTATATATATATTTTTTTTTTTTTTGAGACAGAGTCTCGCTGTGTCACCCATGCTGGAGTGCAGTGGTGTGATCTCAGCTCACTGCAACCTCCACCTCTCGGGTTCAAGTGATTCTTCTGCCTCAGCCTCCTGAGTAGCTGGGACTACAGGCATGTGCCACCACGCCTGGCTTATTTTTTGTATTTTTTGTAGAGATGAGGTTTCACCATGTTAGCCAGGATTGTCTCGATCTGCTAACCTCGTTATTCGCCCGCCTCAGCCTCCCAAAGTGCTGGGATTACAGGCATGAGCCACCGCACCTGGCCTGAAAGATACATTTTTTAAAGTTATCTGATGTGGAAAAAATCTTACAGTGTCACAACAATTTAAATAATTTATGTATTTTATTAATAACATTCAAATTTTGCTTTTTAAAAAAAGTATCTGCCTCACTATTTCACATAAAGCCTTGGCTTCAAACTGACCTAATTTCTAGGTTTTTAGAAATGTCATTTAATTAATATTTTGATCATTTTCAGATGCTTAAAATATGTATTTGTTTTTACTTTTAAAATGACCACTATTATCCCTTATTAGTTTTATTTTAATCGCATAAAGAATGGAGAGAGACAAAATCATGTTTCTCACCTTTTTTCTTTCCCTTCTGCTGTCTAAACACACTGATTTTTCGTATGTTTTAGAATTAATAGTAGGGTTTTATTTTTCACAGGAGAATATTGCAGTGGTTAATTGAGATGAATATGCTCTCGTTTGAAAATATCACATGTTGAGGTTAAGGCTCTTCCCAAATAGTCACGTGCATGCACACACCCCCTTGTTTGTAACATTTGTTGCTAACCCAGTTCCAAATATTAGCTGCTTCTGGAACATTTGAATTTTTGTGCTGATTTTGATTGCCACATCATCAGTAGATATTAGACACCCATGCCGTGCAACTATCCCTTCTGACGAATTCAAAGTAAATTAGAAGGCTGGGTGTGGTGAATTGTGCTGCTATAAATATGCATGTGCAAGTATCTTTTCGGTATAATGACTTATTTTACCCTAAGGTGCCCAGCACAATGCCCGGAATAGCATAGGCATTAGATGTCTTGGTTGAAAATTAAGATTAACTCTTTTTTTTTTGAGATCGTCTTGCTCTGTCACCCAGGCTGGAGTGCAGTGTGTGATACCTAGGTAGATACCCAGGAGTGGGATTGCTGGATCAAATGGTGGTTCTACTTTTAGTTCTTTAAGGAATCTCCACACTGTTTTCCATAGTGGCTGTACTAGTTTACATTCCCACTAGCAGTGTCAAAGTGTTCCCTTTTCACTGCATCCATACCAACATCTATTAATATTTTTTGATTTTTTTATTATGGCCATTCTTGCAGGAGTAGAGGGGTATCACATTGTGGTTTTGATTTGCATTTCTCTGATAATTAATGATGTCGGGCATTTTTCATATGTTTGTTAGCCATTTATATATCTTCCTTTGAGAATTGTCTATTCATGCCCTTAGCCTAATTTTTGATGGGATTGTTTGTTTTTTACTTGCTGACTTGTTTGAGTTCCTTGTAAATTCTGGATATTAGTCCTTTGTTGGATGTATAGATTGTGAAGATTTTCTCCCACTCTGTGGGTTGTTTACTCTGCTGATTATTTGTTTTGCTGTGCAGAAGCTTTTTAGTTTAATTAAGTCCCATCAAGAAAAATAGATTATATGTTCTGATGAGAACCAGCATACTGGAGTATTCAGTATATGTTTAGTTAAAAAAAAAAAACTAATACTATAAATAGCAGATTTTTCTAGGTAGTGATAAGCTAATATCTTTTCCTCTTCCCTTTTCTCCCTGAGAATTTTTTCATCTCTGGACAGAGGGCTTTTTCTTGGTGTTTTATGTTTTGTTTGTTTGTTTTTGAGACAGGGTCTTTCTCTGTTGCCCAGGCTGGGCTGTGGTGGTGCCATCCTGGCCCACTGCAGCCTCGAATTCCCAGGCTCAAGCCATCCCCCTGCCTCAGCCTCCCAAGTAACTGGAACTACAGGCAGGCACGCACCACCACATCCAGTTAATTTTTTTTATTTTTTGTAGAGATAAGGGTCTCACTATGTTGCCCAGATTTGTTTCTTATTATATGTATAGACTCTAAATATGGACCTTGATGGGCCTGCCTTTGATGTTCCGTTTTTGATATGACCAAATGATTCCTGTTTGAATTTCCACCCAGCTTCCTCTGTCCTACTTTCTCTTGCCAGGCAGTGTCCCCTGCCAGTCTCATGTCTGTGGCAGCAGCTTATACCAGGTTTTCCCCAAACGTTCATAAGGAAGTGTCCGAAGGGATGTGTCACCCCTTTGCATATATATAGTTTTTGAAACCAGGATGACCGGTTTGAGAAAATTCTTTTTTCTTTTTTTTTTTTTTTTAAGAACTTCTCTTACATCTTTTAAAGTCATTGTTAAGTAGGGTGTAACTGGATGAGTCAGTTGTTTTTCAGAAACTTTTTCTTTACGTATGATCTAAAGTATTTTATGGCATGGAATCTGAGCATGTCAAGAGGACTTCTTAAATTGCCTTAATTTTTTAAAATTTGCTGTAATTATTTTTTTAATTTAGGATTTATGTGCAACATCATTCCAACATGTCCAACATGTATATGGCCTGAGAAGGAGATTATATTCTAATAGAGGAACTAATATGTAAAAACACCTCTCTGATAAAAGATTAAAAAAATATATAAATGTTCTAATTTTAAGAAAAGCAGAAATTCAAATCATAAGCTCTTTTCTTATCCACAGGCTTCTCACTAGACCATGAGCACCTATGAGCACCTATGGGCAGGGGCCATGTCCTAGTTAATCTTCTTTCTTTGGTGCCCAGCACAATGCCTGGAATAACATAGGCATTAGGTTTCTTGCTTGAAAATTAAGGTTAACTCTTTTTTTCTTTTTCTTTTTTTTTTTTTTTTTTTTTTTTTTGAGACAGAGTCTCACTCTGTCCACCAGGCTGGAGTGCAGTGGGGCGATCTGGGCTCACTGCACGCTCCGCCTGCTGGGTTCACACCATTCTCCTGCCTCAGCCTCCCGAGTAGCTGGGACTACAGGCACCCGCCATCATGCCCGGCTAATTTTTTTCGTATTTTTAATAGAGACGAGGTTTCACCATGTTAGCCAGGATGGTCTCGATCTCCTGACCTCGTGATCCACCCACCTCAGCCTCCCAAAGCACTGGGAATATAGGCATGAGCCACCGCGCCCAACCTTTTTTTTTTTTTTTTTAAGATGGTCTTCCTTTGTCGCCTAGGCTGGAGTGCAGTGCACGATCTTGGCTCACTGCAACCTCTGCCTCTCAGGTTCAAGTGATTCTCATGCCTCAGCCTACCGGGTAGCTGGGATTACAGGCAGGTGCCACCACACCTGGCTAATTTTTGTATTTTTTGTTTCACCACATTGGCTAGGCTGGTCTCGAACTCCTGACCTGTGGCGATCCACCTGCCTCAGCCTCCCAAAGTGCTGGGATTAAAGGTGTGAGCCTCCATGCCCAGCTGAAAATTAAGGTTAACTCTTAACAGTTAGATGCACATTAATCGTTTGACGAAAAATGAAGAAATCATCAGCTAATAGGACAAAAGTTTAGCCAGGCACGGTGGCTCATGCCTGTGATCCCAGCACTTTGGGAGGCTGAGGTAGGCAGATCACCTGAGGTCAGGAGTTCGAGACCAGCCTGGCCAACATGGTGAAACTTCATCTCCACTAAATTTACAAAAAATTAGCTGGGCGTTGTGGCGGGCACCTGTAATCCCAGCTACTCGGGAGGCTGAGGCAGGAGAATTGAAAAAGACAAAAGTTTGAAAAATCAGTCTGTAGTTGTTGTGGATGCTTGAAACTGAAACTACCATATATTTGTCTATATTTTATCGCTTATTTTTTTCCTGGCATTTAATAGACACCTCTTTAGACCTATGCTATCCTTTTTATGCCTTTTACCAACAAATAACTCCTAATCATAAAAATTAATCCTACTGGCTGGGGGCGGTGGCTCATGCCTGTAATCCCAGCACTTTGGGAGGCCGTGGTGGGTGGATCACTTGAGGTCAAGAGTGTAAGACCAGCCTGGCCAACTGGTGAGACCCCATCTCTACTAAAAATACAAAAAAACTAGCTGGGCGTGGTGGCGGGCACCTGTAATCCAAGCTACTTGGGAGGCTGAGGCAGGAGTATCGCTAAAACCCAGGAGGCAGAGGTTGCAGTAAGCCGAGATCATGCCACTGCACTCCAGCCTGGGTGACAGAGCTGAGTGACCAAAAAAAAAAAAAAAAAAAAAAAAAAAAAAATTAATCCTACTATACTGCTACACATCTAGAAAAGAGAGGATTAGATTTTAGCCCTTTTTGTCTTTTTAGGTTTTCTATATAAACTCTTTCTATAGATCACTTAGGTTGACTGTGAAGGAAAGATATAACCCCAGAAAAGTTTTATTCTGGTTATTAATTCCTTGGTTCCTTCAATAGGTGTCCATTGAACACAATTATACATCAGACCCACAGTTCTTAATCTTTCTGTGTTCACATTTGAAGGGGTTAGATTCTGAGCTCATATGTTGCAGTAAATGCTACATTTCTTAGGTGCTGGGTTGACATGCACCATACCTCTTCCCAAACCAAGTTGTATCTGTTCCATGTCATGTAACCTAACCCATTCAGACAAGTTCCATCTTAGTAAAGTCACTGTGTGTCACTGTGTGTTACTGTATATTACACATGGTTTCAAATTTAGCGGCATACCAGTGAAGACTTTGTGCTGCTTGTTGCTTAGGAACTACCAGAGTCTTAACTTACGAAGAGACAGGTTCTAAAGAAAGTGTATAATGAGAAAACCAAATATGCAGAATTACTTCCAAAATTCTGTTAATTGATACTAAAAGTACAGTATTTATTGCCAATTTCAAGTGCCATGTTGAAGTCTACCGTACCATCTCTAAATAAGGTCAACCTGGCTAGTTTTCCATTAGAAGTGAGTGCTGTTCTTTAGTGAACACCAAATGCTCATCAAGATGACTTTTTATATTTAAAAAAAAAAACAAACCTATTTTAAACATTAGACCAGACACTTTTGATAAGATGTGCATACAGTGAGATGTAACTGGCAACTGAGTCCAACTAAACAAAACCAGCAGCAAAATTATCCCTGGGGATTTGCTTATTAAGTGGATTATAGGTGGAATAACTAGTACTATTTAAATTACAATATTTCTTTCTCTCTATGAGTAGAATTGAGTTCACATTAGTCCAGTAGTGGGCACATGTTACATGACACATTCTTTCTCCTTGAGAAGCTTGCAGTCTAGTTAGAGAGTCAAGACAGGAATGTGTGATTAAAAAAAAAAAAAAGAAGAATTGGAAAGGACAAGGCAACATATTCTGATTTTTAAACTGGCTGTAGTTATAAAGAACATAATTGAAAGTCTTTTCCAAGATCTTTGAACTTTTTTGTGGGATTTGTTTTTTAATAGAGTTAAATATGAAACTAAATATACATAGCTACTTGATCAGCATGCCCATTTCTTGGGAAACATCCTGAGAAGGATGACCTAAAGGAACAGAGGTCTGTGTTTTCAATGGGGGAAATACAGCGTTCACAAAGGCTTGTAGGTTTGTTTTGTTCTCTTGGTTTTGTTATTGCTTTGGCTTCATAGGAGATTGGGTATATGAGAAGTATGTGTTGTGAAACTCAGAATGATTGTAAATGGTAAATAATAATTTCAGCAGAAATGCAAATCATTTAAATTTATAAGGTAGGGTTATAATAACTATAGGTTAACCCACTGGTGATGGCAGGATAGTCCCAAAAATTTCAGCCATATATATTGTGAACAACAGAAATGTTTATATTGGAAAATGGGTAGGAAATTTAACATATCTTGAGACTCTGATACGTGCCCAGTACTATGATATATATTTCACAGAGTTTTCTTATTCAGTCTTAGCAACAAGCCAAAAGATAGGCACTAGTATCCTCATATTACAGATAAGGAAACAATTCCAGCAAGTAAGTAAATTGGCCAGCTCACACAAATAAGAAAACACCTCTAGCTGACTACAGATTCTGTACTCTTGCCGGGCGCGGTGGCTCACGCCTGTAATCCCAGCACTTTGCGAGGCCGAGGCAGGCGGATCACGAGGTCAGGAGATCGAGACCATCCTGGCTAACATGGTGAAACCCCATCTCTACTAAAAATACAAAAAAATTAGCTGGTCGTGGCACCTGTAGTCCCAGCTGTGGGGAGGCTGAAGCAGGAGAATGGCGTGAACCCAGGAGGCGGAGCTTGCAGTGAGCCAAGATCATGCCACTGCACTCCAGCCTGGTGACAGAGCAAGACTCTGTATCAAAAAAAAAAAAAAAAAAGGGCTGGGTGTGGTGGCTCACGCCTGTAATCCCAGCACTTTGGGAGGCCGAGGTGGGAAGATCATGAGGTCAGGAGATCAAGACCATCCTGGCTAACATGATGAAACCCCATCTCTACTAAAAATACAAAAATTTAGCTGGGCATGATGGCGATCATCTGTAGTCCCAGCTACTCGGGAAGCTGAGGCAGGAGAATGGCATGAACCTGGGAGGTGAAGCTTGCAGTGAGCCGAGATTGCGCCACTGCACTCCAGCCTAGGTGACAGAGCAAGACTCCATCTCAAAAGAAAAAAAAAAGAACAGATTCTGTACTCTTCTGACAGTCATGCTGCCCCAGTGGGTATATCATGCTTTCTACTTACATGCCTTGTACAGGGGAACACCTCCTTTTAAAACCATCAGATCTTCCAGACTTATTCACTATCATGAGAACAGCACAGGAAAGACCCACCCCCATAACTCAATCACCTCCCACCAGGTTCCTCCCATGACACATGAGAATTGTGGAAGTTAAAATTCAAGATGAGATTTGGGTGGGGACACAGCCAAACCATGTCATTTCACCCCTGGCCCCTCCCAAATGTCATGTCCTCACATTTTAAAACCAATCATGCCTTCGTAAGAGTCCCCCAAAGTCTTAATTCATTTCAGTATTAACTCAAAAGTTCACAGTCCAATGTCTCATCTGAGACAAGGCATGTCCCTTCCGCCTATGAACCAGTAAAATCAAAAGCAAGTTAGTTACTTCCTAGATACAATGGGCGTACAGGCATTGGGTAAATACAGCCATTCCAAATGGGAGAAATTGGCCAAAACAAAGGGGCTACAGTCCCCATGCAAGTCTGAAATCCAGCAGGGCAGGTCAAATCTTAAAGCTCCAAAACGATCTACTTTGACGCCAGGTCCAAAACGATCCAGGTCATGCTGATGCAAGAGGTGGGTTCCCATGGTCTTGGGCAGCTCCACCCCTGTGGTTTTGCAGGGTATAGCCTCCCCACCAGCTGCTTTCACGGCTGGCGTTGAGTGTCTGCGGCTTTTCCAGGAGCACAGTGCAAGCTGTCAGTGGATCTACTGTTCTGGGGTCTGGAGGACAGTGGCCCTATTCTCCCAGCTCCACTAGGCGATGCCCCAGTAGGGACTCTGTGTTGGGGCTCCGACCCCACATTTCCCTTCTGCACTGCCCTATCAGAGGTTCTCCTTGAGAGCCCCACCCCTGCAGCAAACTTCTGCCTGGACATCCAGGTGTTTCCATAAATCCCCTGAAATCTAGGTGGAGGTTCCCAAACCTCAATTCTTGACTTCTGTGCACTTGCACGCTCAACACCACATGGAAGCTGCCAAGTCTTGGGGCTTGCACCCTCTGAAGCCACGGCCCAAGCTCTACGTTGTCCCCTTTCAGCCACAGCTGGAGTGGCTGGGAGGCAGGGCACCAAGTCCCTAGAGTGCACACAGCAGAGGGACCCTGGGCCTAACCCATGAAACCATTTTTTTCTCCTAGGTCTCAGGGCCTGTGATGGGAGGAGCCGCCAAGAAGACCTGTGACATGCCCTGGAGACATTCTCCCCATAGTGTCTTGGGGATTAACATTTGGCCCCTTGTTACTTATGCAAGTTTCTGCAGCCATTTTGAATTTCTCCTCAGCAAATGGGATTTTCTCTTTTATCACATTGTCAGGCTGCAAATTTCCCCAACTTTTATGCTCTGCTTCCCTTATAAAATTGAATGCCTTTAAAAGAACCCAAGTGACTTTTTGAATGCTTTGCTGCTTAGAAATTTCTTCTGCCAGAGGCCCTAAATCATCTCTCTCAAGTTCAGAGTTCCACAAATCTCTAGGGCAGATGCAAAATGCCACCAGTCTCTTTGCTAAAACATAACAAGAGTCACCTTTGCTCAAGTTCCCAACAAGTTCCTCATCTCCATCTGAGAACACCTCAGCCTGGTTTTCATTATCCATATCATTATCAGCATTTTGGGCAAAGCCATTCAGCAAGTCTCTAGGAAGTTCCAAACTGTCCCACATTTTCCTGTCTTCTTCTGAACCCTCCAAACTATTCCAACCCCTGCCTGTTACCCAGTTCCAAAGTCGCTTCCACATTTTGGGGTATCTACAGCAGCACCCACTCTACTAGTACCAATTTACTGTATTAGCCTGTTTTCACACTGCTGATAAAGACATACCTGAGACTGGGCAGTTTACAAAAGAAAGTTTTGTAAACTTTCTTTTTGGACTCACAGTTCCACATGGCTGGAGAGGCCTCACAATCATAGCAGAAGGTGAAAAGCACATCTCACAAGGCGGCAGACAAGAGAATAGTGTTTGTGCAAGGGAATGCCTCTTTTTAAAACCATCAGATCTCATAAGACTTATTCACTGTCGTGAGAACTACACAGGAAAAACCTGCCCCCATAATTCAATCACCTCCAACCAGGTTCATCCCACGACACGGAATTGTGGGAGTTACAATTCACGATGAAATTTGGGTGGGGACACAGCCAAACCATATCACTGAGTGACTTAAAACAACAGAAACTTGGCCGGGCATGGTGGCTCACACCTGTAATCCCAGCACTTTGGGAGGCCGAGGCGGGCAGATCACAAGGTCAGGAGATCGAGACCATCCTGGCTAGCACAGTGAAACCCTGTCTCTACTAAAAATACAAAAAATCAGCTGGGCATGGTGGTGGGTGCCTGTAGTCCCAGCTGCTTGGGAGGCTGAGGCAGGAGAATGGTGTGAACCCGGGAGGCAGAGCTGGCAGTGAGCCGAGATCACACCACTGCACTCCACCCTGGGCGACAGAGCGAGACTCTGTCTAAAAATTAAAAAAACAAAAAACAAAAACAAAAACAGAAACTTACTGTCTCACAGTCTTGGAAGCTGGAAGTCTGAAATCAAGGTGTCAGCAGGGCTATGCCCCCTCTGAAACTCATAGGTGATTTCTTCCTTGCCTATTAGCTTATGGAGGTTGACCAGCAGTCTTTGGTGTACCTTGGTTTGGCTCTTCAGATGGCCATCTTCTAAGAAACCAGTTATGTTGGATTGGGGCCCATCCAACTCCAGTGTGACCTTATCTTAACTAATTACATCTGTATGGACTCTATTTTCAAGTAAGATCACATTCTGAAGTCCTACTGGTAAGGACATCAACATTTCTTTTTGAGGGAGGATATGCTTCAACCTGTAACACCTTCCGTGTTCCACCCCAATCAATACATCTTCCTTCTCAACAAAAGAGACAAAGGATGTTTTAAATTCATAATATCATCCCTGCCAAATCAGTGGTAGTGAGCAAGGAGATTGTGATGTATTCACTAAGAGGGCTGTTACCCCTTCCATATTAAGATTGAGTATCCCTAATCCGAAATCCAGAATGCTTCAAAATTTGAAATTTTTTGAGCAGTAGTAACATAATGTTCAAAGGAAATGCTCATTATATCATTTCAGATTTCAGATTTTTGGATTAGGGATACTTAACTGGTAAGTATATAATGCAAATATTCCAAAATAAAAAGAAATCCTAAATAATTCTGGTCCCAGGCATTTTGGATGAGGGACATTCCGCCTCTACCTTATATTAATTCTTTTTTCATGTAGCTGTTTTACAGAAAGCCTTTAAGCACTCTTTAAAAAATCAGTATTACTGTAAACAGTTGTATCTTTATATTACAGTCCTCGCTTTAAGGTATCAGAGACCTCCTAGAGCTTAATCTTTCCCTCTGTATAACACAATAGTATTGTCTTAGTCAATTTTTTGCTCCTATAATACCACAAAATGGGTAATTTATAATGAACAGAAATTTATTGGCTCATGGGTATGGAGGCTGGGAAATCCAAGATTGAGAGGCTGGTATCTGGAGAGGGTCTTCTTGTTGCCGTGTCATCCCATGGTGAAAGGCAGAAGAGCAAGAGAGGAAGCAGGGTGTTGGGTAGGAGGGGAGAAAGGGAGAGAAAGAAGGGGGAGAGAGAGACAGGGAGTCTGGGAGGGAGAGGGGAAAGTCTCACAAGATTATTTTATTTTTAGGTGGTGATGTTTTAAATTCTAATCTTAAGAAGAAATGCTGTTGTTCCTTAGGTCAAATTGACTATATAGATTATGTACTTTGATGTGATATATGAAGATAGGAATTTCAGTGTCAAACACAAAAGAGCCATAAGGAATAAAGTTCTTTTGAGCGCCATGTAATGCTGTCTAATTACGAGTGGTATCCAGATTTTCACTGGAAGATACAGTATGTAAGTAGCTATGAAAGCAATTTTAAGGCAAAATTTTACTTACACTGCAAATATATTTCCCATAAAACAAATTAAAGTCAAGTTTTAAAAATTTCTTTAATTTTTGATTTTTAAAGAGGATAGGCCAGTAAATAATGTATCAAACTTGTGGCTTAGCACCATATTGAATCCCAGAAATGACTTGGCCTTATGAATGGCTCTTTTCAAAAAGGATTAATGAATGTATAATAAGTTTTCTTTCTTTTTCTAGCCAAGGACCCTTGTCATCCATTAGAGCGGTAATCAAGAGATGTAAGTTTGTTTTTTCCTTCTCTGTATTTTCCTCTGTAATAATTTTAAGTGATGATTTAGATTTCCAGCAGGTGATTGTATTTGACGAATCTACAAAGAACCCAAGAGTAGCTTCTCCTAAGAGGTATTAAAGCATTTCAGACAAACAGCTACTTTTCAGCCTATATTTATTGATAAGCCGGTTTCTCAGAACTGTGTTTTTCTCTTGCAGAACAAAGCTGGGGTTTTTTTTCCTTAATCCCAAATGTGATACTATAAAGCTGTTTGTTTTTTTTTTTTAATTTGCCTCTCTAGTTAGTTTCTGTGATCTAATATAAATTTTATGTAGCGGCCGGGTGCAGTGGCTCATGCCTGTAATCCCAGCACTTTGGGAGGCCAAGGCAGGCGGATCACGAGGTCAGGAGATCAAGACCATCCTGGCTAACACAGTGAAACCCTGACTCTACTAAAAATACCAAAAATTAGCCGGGCGTAGTGGCAGGCACCTGTAGTCCCAGCTACTTGGGAGGCTGAGGCAGGAGAATGGCGTGAACCCGGGAGGCAGAGGTTGCAGTGAGCCGAGATCGCGCCACTGCACTCCAGCCTGGGCGACAGAGCGAGACTCCATCTCAAAAAAAAAAAAAAAAAATTATGTAACCATTTTCTAGAGTTAGAGATATCTAACAGGTTTAAGAAATATTAAGTCCTGGCAGGCACGGTGGCTCATGCCTGTAATCCCAGCACTTTTTTGGGGGCTGAGGCAGGTGGATCACCTGAGGTCAGGAGTTCCAAGACCAGCCCAACCAACATGGTGAAACCTCGTCTCTACTAAAAATACAAAAATTAGCTGGGCGTGGTGGCAGGCACCTGTAATCCCAGCTACTTGGGAGGCTGAGGCAGGAGAATGGCTTGAACCCAGGAGGTGGAGGTTGCAGTGAGCCAAGATTGTGCCACTGCACTCCAGCCTGGGCAACAAGAGCAAAACTCTGTCTCAAAGAAAAGAAAAAAGAAGTATTAAATCCTGTTCCTTTTGGTTCATTTGTTTCTACAGGTACTTTTCACAATATATTTTTTAACTGTATAAGTGCCTATAAAGACGGGCTTATACTACCATATCAAGATAGAAGTGCTAAGAGTAGAATTCCCATCAGAAAGGAACATTTCTATTTTCTGTCCTTATCTCTTGGTCAAAACTTCAAAACTTGCTATTAGTGTGGTATTTTAACACTTTTTTAAATAAAAGGCTCTGGAAAGATCTCTTTAAAAATAGAACATGGATTGCCTGTGTTAGAAAAGGATAAAGATAGGATTTTAGATGTTCTTTGCATTATCTGAGCTGAGGTTACCACCCCGAGGAGAATGTGCCCTATTTTTAGAAACATAACTTGGTTGTTTTTCCCCCCCGATACATGGTCTCTCACTGTCGCCCAGGCTGGACTGCAGTGGCGCGATCTTGTCTCGTTGCTACCTCCACCTCCTAGGCTCAAGCAATTCTCCTGCCTCAGCCTCTTGAGTAGCTGGGATTACAGGCACCCACCACCATGCCCGGCTAATTTTTGTATTTTTAGTAGAGATGGGATTTCACCACATTGGTCAGGCTGGTCTCCTGACCTCAAGTGATTTGCCCGCCTTGGTCTCCCAAAGTGCTAGGATTACAGGTGTGAGCCACCATGCCCATTATGAATTTAGGATATTCACAGGTCATGAAGAATATGCATTTGAACAATTCCAGTGAAAATTTTACAAGCTGACAATACAGAAAAATATGCCATGTTTCCCCACTCCATTTTTTTTCTTTATTGGTGAACTATAAATATGTGGGAATGCTATGGTATGAGATGAAGAGAATTCAGATATAAAAATGAAAACTTCTTGATAGCCTTTCATGCCTTATAACCCTTGGGTTGTGGGTGGCAGGCGATGACGGGCAGAGAGATAATTTAAATACAAAATTAGGATCTAGAACTTAGGCAAGAATTTATTGGCTGGAGATATAACTTAGAGTAATCACTGTTATAAGCAAAATCCTGGAAGTAGCCAAACATGTAGGGAGAAAGTACACAGGATAGGAAAGATGAGAAGGGATAGAATCTTGGAGACGCTGACGTCTGAGGACAAGCTATGCCTTCAAGAGGCATAAGGCAAAAATGCATGACCCAATGAACCCAGCCCTGCTGTGAAAGGCCTCCTTTCACTGAGTCATATCTGTGGGCTCCTGCACTTTGTTCCCTGGCTTCTTGCCTTAATTCCCTTGGATTTCAGGACTTTTTTGTTAGGGAATCACAATCTGTGCCTGACTTCCCATGGATCCCCCAAGATAGATCTTGCTCAGCGAAGACATGGGCAATAAAAGCTTAAAAGGAATGGTCAGAGTTAAAAAAAAAAAAAAAAAAAAAAAAAAAACAGGACACAGCTGTGTTTTAGAGGTCAAAGGAGAAGATTTTAAAAGGAACAGGTGAATCACCAATAGCTCTTAATACTAAACCAGGCCAAGCAAAAGGTGCTGAGAACAGGTTATTGTGTCTGGCACTTAGGAGGTCAATTGAGACCCACGAGAGAGCAGTTTCAGTAAATATTGAAGTTGGAAGCCACACTTCAATTTCAACAATGAATAGAATATGTGGAAGTTGGGGCGGCTAGGGTAGCCTACTCTTCTATGAAATTTGGTGGTGAACAGGAGAGATATGGACTGTAATTTGAGAAGGAGGCAGAGTTAAGGAAAGAGGAGATCTGACTATGCTTAGGATGAGGAAGCATGAAGACATTTGTAGGCAGCAGGGAAGCAATCAGTGGAGGGATCAGACTGGAGCCATGAAAGAAGAGAAAACGGTGAAACAGGGCCCTAGCAGAGAGAGGAAGGAGGATATGAAACAAAGGGAAAAACCTTGCTTTGAGGTAGCTGGTGTTTTTTTGGTTTTTAACTCAGTTGTCTTTTAATTCTTCTGTCAGTCGCTTTGTAAACACTAAAGAAATACTTGTATTCCTGATGTTTAGGCAAGAAGGCCAAACAGATCCTTTCATGATAACATATAAATACAGAATGAGTAACAATTGTGCCATTCCCTTTTGTTTTCTTCTTTTTGCCTATTCTATAAGAAAAAGCTGTAAATAATTTTTATCTTAGCCAGCCCATTAAAATGTGTGTGTTACTATCCCATACTCAGTCATCTAACCCTGGCAAGCGGAAAGACTTTATCCCATTGTTAAAGTGATATTCTTTAACTGGTTGTAGTTCAACTTATTTCATAATGATTCCGGTTCCAGTCAAGCCTTGGGGTCCTTTTCTTTGCATGTATTCTTGTGAATCCTGAGTATTTTTGGTAAAGTGTTTTGATGTATCCTAATTGGATACATCTAGAATTTTATGTTCTTCCTTTCATTAACTTTTTAAGAGAAAATTATTTTCTGAAATTCAGACTTAGTTAATATTGTTTACCTACCATGAGTCAGGAACTGTTTCCATACATTATAAAATAACACTGTGCGTGGTAGGTGTTGACCCATTTTACATGTGGTAGTGAAACTGAGTCCCAGAAAGGTTAAGTGGCTTCACAAGGTAGAGCCAAGATATGAACCTTGTTTCCTGACTTCAAGGCCATTGAGCTTTCCACTCCACAGACGTTCTTGTTATCATGTCAAATGCATCTAACTCTTATACCCTGTCCCAAACAAATGTAGTCAGTAAGTTTCTTATATTATTGTGATTTTCATTGATCTTTCATTCTTAGTTCATTGATCATTCATTCATAGTTCTATAGCAAGGGTATTTATAATTAATAATCCTTCTATGTGTTTATTTCTTCTGACATCATTTTATTGATAATTTTGAATTATTTAGATCAAGACTAGCTAGCATCCCACTCTCCTGGCTCCACACAGAGTTAAACTGCTTCAAGAAACAAACTGCTCCTAGCCTTGCTCCTAAAGGGCTGTTGGACCTGGGGTAATTCATTTAACCCCTCTGTATCTCAGTCTTCTCCTCTGTGAAGTTTGAGTAGGACGATCGCTGAGGGTCTTTCCAGGCTTGTGATCCTGCTGGAATTCGAGAAGATTCTTTATTGGTGGTAATACTGCACATCTACATCTCAACTTTAACATGAATATGTTTTGTATTTAGAATTTAACCACTTGAACTCGAAAAGTTTGAAAATAGGCCAGGCACTGTGGCTCACACCTATAATCCCAGCACTTTGGGAGGCTGAGGCGGGCGGATCACCTGAGGTCAGGAATTCGACACCAGCCTGACCAACATGGTGAAACCCCATCTCTACTAAAAATACAAAAATTAACCCGGCGCAGTGGTGGGCACCTGTAATCCCAGCTACTAGGAAGGATGAGGCAGGAGAATCGCTTGAACCTGGAAGGCAGAGGTTCCAGTGAGCCAAGGTCGTGCCACTGCACTCCAGCCTGGGCGACAGAGAGAGACCCCAGCTCAAAAAGAAAAAAAAAAAGAAAAAGTTTGAAAATAATTCTGTAAAATGATAGGATAACTCTAACTGAAAATACTGCCTTTATTCTGTGGCATTAACCCAAAACGTACCAGACTAGCAGCTTGTGGCAGAGAGGTAAAATGGGACATGCTTGTCTATATGGCAATCTGGCAAATTCGATTTTCCTGGCAACTACAGCAAATTTGTTTAATCTGGGAAAGTGAGAATGAAATGTATAAGCAGATAGTTGAGAAATTAGCACAAAGAGCATGAGACAACACATGAAAATCTGCAGTGAAAACCAAAAGTGTTTGTAGCTATTAATCTTGTTCAGCACTGACAGAAGGTGTCAGTTTTTCCAGAAGGATCAAGAGAGAAAAGAAAGATTTCATAGATAAGTGAATGTGAAAAAAGCCAGACAAGGAGAGGGGAAAGCAGTGATTCTTGAAGGTTGTGCAGAAGGACATCTGTACGTACGACTGCAAGACCCCTCCATGTTCTTCAGCGGCAGTGCCACTCTGCTGCCTGGGGGCCTGCTGTGAATGACCTCTGGTGTGAACGGGCAGAATCAAGTTAAAATTGCTGATTTTAAACAATGTAGATCGACTACTGAATTACCTTTTAAGTACTATTCATACTTTAAAATCAATGCTTATTGAAGTAGCAAATTGATTTTGCAAAATAGTTTTTAGATTTTTTAAAACCGTTGTTAAAAACTGCAGACAGGCCAGGCATAGTGGCTCATGCCTGTAATCCTAGCACTTTAGGAGGCCAAGGTGGGCGGATCACTTGAGGTCAGGAAGTCGAGACCAGTCTGGGCAGCATAGCAAAACCCCGTTTCTACAAAAGATACGAAAAGGAGCCAGGTGTGGTCGTGCATGCCTGTAGTCCCAGCTACTCAGGGGGCTGAGGCAGGAAGATCGCTTGAGCCAGGGAAGTCGAGGCTGCAGTGAGCCAATATTGTGCCACCGCACTCCAGCCTGGGTGACAGAGCAAGACCTTGTCTCAAAAAAATAAAAAAAAAAAAACCCTACAAGCGGGTTTTTCAACTGGTTATGTGTGTGGATATCCTGGTCTGCACAGACAAATCTTTGCGGCAGTATTTCTTTACTCTCTGAATCTGTGGATCATCAACTTTGCTTTTCCATTTAAGTGTGCATAGCAGGGAAAAACAGTGGTATGGCAAGACAGTCATGCTCCTGAATTCCTTTTAAAGCTTAGGCAACTAGGTTCACTCTTTTCTCTTCCTTTCCTCTTCTATAACCCCTTCTTTTTTTCCCTTAGCACTCATGAATAGTACACAGCAAAAATGCCCCGTGGAAGAGGTATGTTTGTGATGATAACATGAAGTCTTTTAAAAGTGTTATCCCTGCTGATTTCAGCATTAGTGATGGTGGTGATGTGATTGTAGCAAACTTGAATGGGCCTCTGACTTAATGAAACCATTCTTACAAATCAGACACACCATGCAGAGCTCTAGCCTCCCTGTCAGCTTGGTTTAGCTCTTGATAAAAATGTTAATAGTCAGTCAAACCAGTTGATGATATGAATATGAGGACATCCTCCAAGTAGAAACCCAGGGGTTTGGTTTCAGATCTTAGAGGTTTGCTTTGCCAACCCAGCAGAGGTTCACCTGTTACGGCTCCAATCCAGCCTAAACTTCATTCCCACCTTCCACTTCCACCCCTGCCTCCCCTAGTTTTGACAGCCTCCTTGTTCAGAGAGAAGCAGAAGTTAATAGGGGGGAAAGATCTATGCTTCCAATCTTTTCAAATAGGAAGAATTGAACAAGTTGAGTATTACTGAGA
This sequence comes from Homo sapiens, assembly GCF_000001405.40. Classification (NCBI taxonomy): domain Eukaryota; kingdom Metazoa; phylum Chordata; class Mammalia; order Primates; family Hominidae; genus Homo; species Homo sapiens. The sequence continues at coordinate 117,936 of NW_025791772.1, read as the reverse complement.
TATGAAAGCAACTGGTTAAAATAGTTTATATCTGAAACAAATTTCCTTTGTGCACAGATCTTTACACTATAGTATTAGAAGATTTTTTTCCCCAAAGAGATCTTTAGAATATGTTCCATGAAAAATAGAGGTAGGCCGGGCGTGGTGGCTCATGCCTGTAATCCCAGCACTTTGGGAGGCCGAGGTGGGAGGATCACGAGGTCAGGAGATCAAGACCATCCTGGCTAACACGGTGAAACCCCATCTCTACTAAAAATACAAAAAAAAAAAAAAAAATAGCCGGGCATGGTGGCAGGCACCTGTACTCCCAGCTACTCGGGAGGCTGAGGCAGGAGAATGGCATGAACCCGGGAGGCGGAGCTTGCAGTGAGCCGAGATGGCGCCACTGCACTCCAGCCTGGGCGACAGAGCGAGACCCCATCTCAGAAAAAAAAAAGAAATAAAGAAAAATAGAGGTAATAGTCTCTATTACATAAAAATTGAAAAATTGACCCCATATGTGTCGGGCGCAGTGGCTCACACCTGTAAAGCCAGCACTTTGGGAGGCCAAGGCGGGTGGATCACAAGGTCGGGAGATCGAGACCATCCTGGCTAACACGGTGAAACCCCGTATCTACTAAAAATATAAAAAATTAGCCAGGCATGGTCGCGGGCGCCTGTAGTCCCAGCTACTCTGGAAGATGAGGCAAGAGAATGGTGTGAACCCAGGAGGCAGAGCTTGCAGTGAGCCAAGATCGCGCCACTGCACTCCAGCCTGGGCGACAGAGCGAGACTGTCTCAAAAAAAAAAAAAAAGAAAAAAAAATGACCCCATATGTGATATGTTCTAGATTATCCGATTAAAACTTAGTTTACTTTATAAAATAAAATTTGGGAAAAAATTTAAACTATCAAGCTTAAGGACTTGAGTTTGAGACTTAAGGAAAAAGTCAGTGCTGCATATACAATAATATGTGCTATAAACAAGTTTATAAAAGTGATTTGAACACCTTTTACATTAATTATTATATCTTAGTTTAAGTAATAAAAGGCTGGGCATAGTGGCTCATGCCTGTAATCCCAGCACTTTGGGAAGCCCAGGCAGGAGGATCGCTTGAACCCAGGAGCTTGAGACCAGCAACATGGCGAAACCTCATCTCTGCGAAACATACAAAAAATTACCAAGGCATGGTGTCATGTGCCTGTAGTCCCAGCTACTTGGGAGGCTGAGGCAGGAGGATCACTTGAGCCTGGGAACTTGAGGCTGCATTGAGCCCTGAACATCATGTCACTGCTCTCCAGCCTGAGCAACAGGGTGAGACCCTGTCTCAAAATAAATAATAAAACAACTTAAAGGTTATAAAATGTCAGATAAGTTAGACAAAAGATGAAAATTTGACCAGTTTCATTCTACAATAGATTTATAAACAAACATCACAAAAGCATAGTCATATAGATTGGAATCGATATTTAAAATTTTTTCTGCCCATTGTTACTTCATGTCATCATCTTAATACTCCAGCCATGCAATTTATATTTAATAGCTGTCTTCTTTTCTCTGTTCATTCTTCAAACTATTTTCACAACTACAGAATGTTCTTTGGGGAGTTTTTGAAATCTATGTATTATGCAATCTCTAATATATAACCATAATTAACTTTATGCTAATAAAATGATTGTTTTGATTTACTTTTTTTTAAGGATATTAAAATTCATACATTCTATATGATGTCAAGTATAAGCTTTTTCCAATTGTGTACTTTGTAAAAATTTAAACCCTTACCAAACATACTAATTTTGTACTATACCAGTTTATTCCTTCTTCAACAGCTTCTCGGACTTCTATTCAGAGTGAACTTCATCGAGATAGAAGGTATGGTTATATTTATAATGGAGGACATATATTAGACTAATAATTGAGTAAAAGTGTGTTATCAGGTAGCAAATTAAATGTTTCACTTTCATAAGCAATGTATTCTTGTATTCTGCTTCATCAATATATCTCCTGAATTAACTTATAAGTTTGAAAGATGATTTTGCTTGAGAGAAGGAGTGATACAGGCTTGAAAATGTTCTTTTGAGTATAGTTATTTATTGAAGTTGATTTTTTAAATGTTTATTAAACAGCTGTTACATGTAAAGCATTGTAACTGCTTCAGAGAAATGCTTTGTACCTCATGCTACTTAGTACATGTTGCCTAACCAAATGGATGGATGACAGGATAGAAAATTGAATGGAAGGATAAAGAAAGGAAAAGAGGAGGTAGGCACAATGAATAAAGCCTGGATGGCTTTTTGGAAAAAGGAAGGGAAAAGAGAAGGGAGGAAAGATAATATTTGGGTAGATAGAAGGAAGGACCAGTGGACAGATGGACAATAGAATGGACAGAAGGATGGATGGACAAATGGCTAAATGGATGGATAGATTTTTTTTTTACATTACATCATGACATTCAATCAGATAGAGAGGTTTTCATAAGTCATGGTCCCTGCTGTCAAATTGCTTACAGTATAGTATAGAATAATGAAGGACTTCAGAGTCAGAACCAAATTCAAATCCTGACCGCCACTTTCCTACCATGTGACCTTGGATGACAAGCTGCTTAATCTCTCTAGCTTCTTTATCCCAGCTTTAAAATGGTGCTAATCATACCTACATCACAAGGTTGTCATAAGAATTAATATACATATGATGCTTAACGTTTATTAACTAATAACTCTTACTATTTAGTTAGACAAAAGCTATAAGCAAAGGTTCTTAGGAAGTACAGTTCAAATTTTATCAATGATCAGGTTCTACTGTTTCACAATGTAGCATGAGTATGTGTGTAATGCATAATTTTGAGAATGACAGTGCTTTTTTGTTTTTATTTTCCATAGAGTGCTAGAGAAAGGCAGAGCAGGTATTATCATCCATGTATGTTCCATGAGAAAACTGAGTTTTCCAATCAAAACTTGATTGATTTGTTCAGGGTCACACAGTTGCTGTTTGTTAGGAAATCAGGTTTAAGAGAAAATTTAAACATGCTCCAGGCACAGTGCCTTACACCTTTAATCCCAACACTTTGGAAGGATTGCTTGAGGCTGGGAGTTCGAAACCTGCCTGAGCAAGATAGTGAGCCCTTGTCTCTACAAAAAATTTTAAAAATCAGCCAGGCATGGTGGCATGTGCCTGTAGTCCCAGCTACTCAGGAAGCTGAGGGGCGGGGAGCTCGAGGCTGCAGTGAGCTATGATTGTGCCACTGCACTCCAGCCTGGGCAACAGAGTGAGGCCCTGTCTCTACAAAATCAATTAATTACTTTAAACATGAGAATGTAGAATCAGATTAAGAAAAAGATAAAAGGAGTCATGCCTAAATCACTATAGCTCTCCAGTATTAAAGATTAATCATCAAATCATATACAAACCTGATCACGAACCCAGAGACACATATCAAAGTCTAGAAGTGAACATATAAACCCAAAACACTTAAACATAACTGTGAATTGAAACAGAGATGAAGTAAGGCAGAAGAGGATATTCTTTTTAAATGGTAATTTTGCATTTCAGAGTATGCACTTTATAATAACAGAAAACCAAGCTGGGTGCAGTGGCTCACGCCTCTAATCCCAGCACTTTGGGAGGCTGAGGTGGGCAGATTGCTTGTGGTCAGGAGTTCGAGATCAGCCTGACCAATATGGTGAAACCCCATCTCTACTAAAAATACAAAAATTAGCTGGGTATGGTGGCACATGCCTGTAATCCCAGCTGCTCGGGAGGCTGAGGTGTCAGAATTGCTTGAACCTGAGAGGCGGAGGTTGCAGGGAGCCAAGATTGAGATCGCGTCACCACTGCACTCCAGCCTGGGCAACAGAGTGAGACTCTGTCTCAGATAATAATAATAATAACAGAAAAACAATTCCATTTGACTAATGGGCTTTTATACCTTACACTGTATGTTTGCCCTAAGGCTAGATAGCCCTGGAATGAAGAGATTGTATAGGCCTTACTTAGTTCTTATCCTTATCAACCAAGGCAGAGCCAAGTGTGCCCAGGGTCCAACTCTAACTTTTTGAGGCCAAAGTCATAGAGGATGATTGTCATTTGCTCTCTTGAAGCCTGTCTGGGTGTACTGTCAGAGACAGCCCAGGCCTGACAGGTCATTTCTGTGACTGTGTTAGTTCTTACAACTTTTTTGGTTGATGGTGGTTTTCATGAATCTTTGAACATTTATAGATAGACAATAGCTTGTTACCATTCTGCAAAACCTCACTGAGGCTTCTGTCCACTAGGCGCCCAGAGATCACCATTGTGGCAGCTGAGCCACTGAGGCCAGCCTCGTGGTTTCCAGGAACCCCACCCCCAGGACTGGGATTTCCTACATCATCTGCAGCAGGCTCTTGGAGGCCTAATGAGCTGGTTCCTGCTGAGGTGAATAAACATTACATTATCTCTTTGCATTTTATTTTTTAAATGAAATTGGAAGATAAGAACAGTGAGACTGTCAACACCTTAGCTATTGCCCTTAGATGTCTAAAATCTTCATTCTTTACTTTTCAGCTCCCACCATCTTATGAACAAGTTATAAAAGAAATCAACCAAGTTCAAGTTAATACTACAAATAATAATAATGCTGCTGCTACTCCAAGGCACACTATTACTTCTGCAACTCAGACTGACTTTTCAGAAGAAATAGACAACGATCTGCCTCAAAGTAATGCAAGTAATTTGTCTTCCCTAATTCTGACCTAGTTCTAGGGAAGTAATCCGTAGGCTTCCAGCCTTTAAAATAATTTGCAATTTGTGCATAATTCATTGAGCTCTGCTGCCCAGTCAGTGTGATCACTGTGTGCTTGCTTTATTTGGGTGTGCAGTGATGATTATAATAGATCATTCTTACAAACTGCAGCCCCAATCTCTTGAGCTTACCCTAGTTTATATCACAAAAACATTATCCGTATAATTCATGGTGGGTATTACCATTGATTCCCTTTATTCCCTCTGAGAAGGATCTTATATTTAGCAACTTATACTTGATAGGATGCTAAGGGTGGTTGTCCTGTTAGGCTTTTTTAAAGTGTTGCACTGTGGCTTATGCCTTTAATCCCAACGCTTTAGGAGACTAAGGCGGGTGGATTGCTTGAGCACAGGAGTTTGAGACCAGCCTGGGCAACATGGTGAAATCCCATCTCTGCAAAAAAATGGAAAAATTCGCTGAGTGTGGTGGTATGTGTCTGTAGTCCCAGCTACTCAGGAAGCTGAAGTGAGAGGATCGCTTGAGCACTGGAGGGTGAGGCTGCAGTGAGCCGTGTTAGAGCCACTGTACACCAGCCAGGGCAACAGAGCAAGACCCTGTCTCAAAAAAAAAAAAGTGTTATATGAAGAGCACTCCTACAGGAAACAGAATAAACATTTCCATTTTTGAATCACTTTTTACTAATTAAAAGAAACCAAAATCTCTTGATATTCCATGTATGTAGTTTTAAATCTGTGTATCTTCTATTTTTTTCCTTATACATTGTTAACGTTATGGCTTGTTTTTATTTGTTTTGGTTTTGTTTTGGTCTCGTCAGCACTACAGGCACCTCTCAAGCCTCTTCAGCCTTTCTCAGCAGTCTCGTCTGGCAATCTTCCAACAAATGTGGCACCTTTAATCGTCTTTGATATTTCTGAAGAACCGAATTGTCCAGAAAACCCCAGTGCTACAAGATGTCCAGTGCCAAAACCAAGATCAAAAAGCAACCTCAGACCAATACCCAGAGATTCTCACATTAAAGAGCAAAGTCAACAGAAAATCAGCCCAGCAGCCGTAGGAGAGGAGTCATCCCCAGGCCGGCCCCAGTCTCTGCTGGACAACGCTAGCACCTCAGACAGTCAGGCAGTGATGAACATTATGAACACAGAACAAAGCCAAAATAGTATTGTTTCCAGAATTAAAGTGTTTGAGGGTCAGACAAACATAGAAACCTCAGGACTGCCCAAGAAACCAGAAATTACTCCACGTTCACTTCCTCCAAAGCCTACTGTTTCCTCAGGGAAACCTTCTGTAGCTCCCAAACCAGCTGCTAACAGAGCTTCTGGAGAGTGGGACTCTGGGACTGAGAACAGACTCAAGGTGACCTCCAAGGAAGGACTCACCCCATACCCTCCCCTGCAAGAAGCGGGAAGCATCCCAGTAACCAAACCTGAATTGCCAAAGAAACCAAACCCTGGCCTTATACGAAGTGTTAATCCTGAGATTCCGGGAAGAGGGCCCCTGGCTGAGAGCTCTGATAGTGGGAAGAAAGTGCCAACTCCTGCCCCGCGGCCTTTGCTGCTGAAGAAATCTGTTTCCTCAGAAAACCCCACCTACCCTTCAGCTCCACTGAAACCTGTCACTGTTCCTCCCCGACTCGCAGGGGCATCACAAGCCAAAGCATACAAGTCACTGGGAGAAGGGCCCCCAGCCAACCCCCCAGTTCCAGTTCTGCAGAGCAAGCCCTTGGTGGACATCGATCTCATCAGCTTTGATGATGATGTTTTGCCCACCCCATCGGGGAACCTGGCTGAAGAATCTGTTGGTTCAGAGATGGTTCTAGGTGAGTGAAAAATCAGCAGTGGAGGGGAATCTAAACTCATGATAGGGTATTTTAAATGGCACTTGCTGTTTTAGTTTCTGGTACATAAGTTATTGAGGTGTGTGTATACAAGTATGTGCACATGCATGTGTGTGTATAGAAACAGAGGAATGAACAGACAGATCAAGAAACATGGGAGCTATGTGGGGAATGGAGACAGGGAGGGAAGGGAAAATATGGGATGGGGGTAATGGAGTCAGAAATGGGGAGACACATGCATCGATTACTATTATATGAGCCAGAAGTAAGCAGACTGGGGCTAGGAGCTAAACTATAATAGGTTGTGGGGCTGGCTCCCCTTACTCTTGGCAGATAGAAGTTCAGACTTCACATTGAAAGGATCCAGGGAGGTTATGGAACATGTAGAAGGATGCAGAGGAAGCTTCTCTTAGATGGGAAGTCATGCAGTGGCCCCAGAGGGGCTCCTCAGATGAAATGGGCCTCAGCTGGGAGTGCTGGGAGAGGGGCCAGCTCCAGGGGAGGACTCGAAAATGTACGGAATGAGGACCCAGCCACATGTTGCAAAGTTGTTCCTTTAATCTTCACAGAACATCTTCCCTTGAGAGTGAAAAGTTTTGTAAATAAAATACAACAGATACAAGTTAGCTGCCAAGATCAGTACAATTAAATATCCCAGAAGGCAGAGAGTATGTTTTCTTTCCTCTAACTGTTCCGTTGGAGAGTGTGATGGTAAAGCTTATCTTTGATTTGTCAAACTAAGCTGCTCTACTTGTCATTGATAAGATTTCTTTTACTGCTGTTGACTTATTTGGGTGGAATTTGTGAACATATAAACTTAATAGAATTTTCAAAAGCTTAACTGTCACTGTATAAATGTTTAACATGCATCAAAATAGTACAGGCTCTGTGATTTCACAGCCACATTCTGCATAGCACAGGTGTGTTTAAAATGAAAACAAACATACACATTATTAAATATTCATCATGCACAGAACATTGTAACTGACACACAACATTTTAGCGTATAAACTAAAAGACATACATGGCTTTTGTCCATAAAGGGTGGAAGGAAAAACATTTGAATATATTAAGCTTCTGCAGTGTACCTAATGCTCTGCTAAATACTGAGACATACATTATTTTATTTAATAATTGCAACAACCGTCTGTGAGTTATCATTGGCCTAAGTTTGCAAATGAAGACAGTGAGACTGAGAGAGATCTATGGATCACTTGCCCAGTGTCATAAAACAATTGTTCAAGTCAGGATTCAAACTTAGTGTTTTTATTCTAAGCCTAGTTTATTTTTCACTGTATAATGTTGCTACCCAATATTTTCATGAATCCTTAACCAGGCAACACTTTAAAAACTTTTCAAGTCTTTGATAATACCATTTTCTTATATAAACCTTTTTGGTATTAACAAGATTCAGAGAAGGACAGGGATAGATAAACCCAACAGCAGCAAGCTAAAGAAATATTACCTTTTGTAGAACTTGCTAGTTTCTATGGGGATGGCAACTCAACTAATAATTGCTGAGAATTTATTTTGTATCATCTAGCAGATAATTATAGTCATCTTCAAAAAGGAAGGTCAACAATATACTTTAAGCATGAATACAGTCTCATGCTTCATACTCAGCCTTTTCCATTTCTTGATTTCTACCACTTCATTGAACAACATTTAATTATTGGGGCGTCTTTTAGCAAAGTGTGTAATTTGCTTGTGCTATCTGACTTTAACCATTGCTCTGGACTATGGGGTTATACTGAGCTGAATACTATCTTCTTTCTAAATCTTCTTTCTTCCTATATTTTGCAACTCACTATTGACACCATCACACACACACCAGCCTTTCCTGGAGAAACCCAGAGATCATCCTTGAGTCTTCTCACCGTGTCACACAGTGGCTAGCTGTTCAGATTTGGAGTCTGCCAGGGTCTACCATATTTGTTACATGACCTTGGGCAATTTTCTTAACCTCACAGTGCCTCTGTTTCCTCATTTGTTTAGACGTAATACTACTCCTCACCTAGGGTATTGCAAGGGTTAAATGTGATTATGCAGGAAAGCCCTATGATCATTAATTAGTAGTTATTATTGTTACTTCTCTGCCTTCACATCTAATTAGTTACCAACTCCTGCTGGTTTTACCTTCCAAATAGTTCTTGACTCTGCCTCTCCTTTTCATCCTTCCCTCTTCTGCCCCACTTTAGGCCTTTACACTCTGATGACTGCAGTGGCCTCCCAAATTGAGCCCACTCAGACAATCCTATCACAATCCATACTGTGGCTACCTAGGGGGAGTTTCTAGAATGCACACTGGTGCTTTTTGCCTCCCTACTTATGCCCTCCAAAGGCCTTCAGGATCACCTCTGAATGCCTTGACCTGTGGAGGGATTTTTGTTTGCTTTTTGATTTGGGGCTTTGTGACTTTTTGGTGGTATTTTGGTAGCATTGTCATTGTAAATAAAGGTTTATGGTCCTGGGAAACCTTGCCTAATCATCCAGACACCAGGCAGAAACTGGGAGAGGAACACAGGAGAAAGAAGAGAAACTTACAAATAACTCTTCCCTTCCGTTTCTCTTACCTCAAAAATAAAGAAAATCTAATAAAATAGCATTCATAAAATGAAGTTGCCATATTAATCTCAGGAAATAGAGATCTGAAAATACTGAAGCTATGAAAACATTGTAAAGATTAGAAAAATTATTAAATAAAAACTCATAAAACAGGCAATTTAATATTGGATTCATTTCTTGGGTAGAATGCCTTCCAGGTTAATGTAATGGAGCCCAGAAGTATTAGCAATTCTTCTTCACACCTTTACAAATCATACCCAGTTGTCAAAAGAAGCAGAATGTTTCTGCCATCAGCCCCATTACACAGACCAGAATAATAGTTTAGCAGCCAATTTCTGCTATTAACAGAACTCAAGGGAAAGAAATGACAGAAAAGCAAGCCAGGGATGGTGAAACTAATTGTGATGACAAGCATATTATTAGAGACAGGTAATGGGCGGAAAACTACTTCATCATCAGTGTTTTTCTCAATCCAGTAATGAAGACCATGCGGATATAGGTGTAAAGAGGCCTCTGCTTGTTCACCAGCAGGTGTGGAATAATTGGTGCTGGTGTGAGGGGGTAGAGGGAAGACAGAATAAACATTGCAAATACAAGTAGACAAAAATGCCATCACTGCAAATAAAAGTAGACAAAAATGCCATTTTCTTGTCTTAGATTCAGATAGGAGATTCTTCTTAAGATGCTCCGTGTTTTTTGTTTTTTGTTTTTCTGTAGAAGCAAGAGCAGTCTGTGATAGAATTATGGCAGCAAGTTCTTAACCCTTTCCAGATTACCAAACTCTGAGAATCTGACATAGCCTGAGAGTCTTTTCTCTCCCTTGAAAATAGCCATTAATTCAGTGACTGTTTGGAGCTGTGAGGAAAAAAAAAAAAAGAAAATAGCCATTAGCTCATGTGTACACAATTCAAGGTACAATATCCAGAGCTTAGAGGGCCCATTTTGGGCTCTAGATTAAGGACTTCTACTACAGAATATTGGAAATAAATGTCAATGGACTGCTTAAATAAATTATAGTACATCCATAACAATGGAGTATTGTGTGATAATTAAAAGGGAGGGAGACCTATTATCCCCTACTTTGGACCAACCTCCAAGATATTATTAGGTGAAAAATGCAAGATACAGGATACTTTTTATGTTATTTTAGCTATTGTTTGTGTTAAATGTCAAATGCAATGTACAGTAATGTATGAAAAGGTGGTACAAAGTGTGTCTTTTATGAAGGAACTGGATAGGAGAGAACAGGGAACCTGGTTTTCACTGTATGCATTTTGCTCCCTTTTGAATTTCAGACCATGTGGAGGCATTACCTTTAACAAGAGAGTTAATCAATAATCTTTTTAAAAGAGCTGAACATAAGCATAATTAGGCTGAAAGAAACTGGGAGAATTATCTCTTGTCGTCTTTGCCACTTCTGAAGAACTGCTTCCCCCAATGACCCTCAGATTCTGATAAGTAAAAATTTTTAAAATAATAAAATAGTGATTTATCTAAATGGTTATATTATTCAAGGTTACAAATAGAAGCTACTTGTTATGAACTAAATATGCCTAAATTAGATAAATTCAAAATTTTATATCTGCATTATTTCCTTTTAAATTGAACCCCAGAAAAAGAGTTTTTATTTTTCTAGTTACTTTATGGAAAATTTTATGGCCATTATTGCCTTGAAAAAGCAACAAAAGAAACCAGAAGTTTCTTTTGTTCTCTTATTTTTAAGTGGTTTTGTTCTGGTTTGTTTGGCAGAGGTGTTAACTCAGCTTAATCTTGTAACTTTTTCCTTATGATTGAATTTATTTTATTGGATTTGTTTCTGTTAGAAAAGTAAAATATATTCGTTGTAACAAGTCAAACAATTCAGAGATTTTGGATTAAAAAAAAATGTAAACTCCCCACGGTAACCAATGTGAACAAAGTATGCAGCCTTCTGTGCCTTTGGGCATGCCAAACCAAAGCTTACACATATACACATAATGGACTTTTTCCAGAAATTTTTACCATACGATACCTGTTACTCAGCAGAGTGCTTTAAAAAACAATGACATTTATGACTTCTCTTCAGGATAATAGGTCTAATTCTAATTCATTTTCTCCTACTATGAGGTATCCTGCCTGATACCTCATAGTATATCATAGCTGGTTCAGTATTTCCCCTGTTGATGGACATTCAGGTTGTTTTGTTTGTTTTATTTAGTGGGGCAGGGGGATGTTGTTTTGTTTTGTTCCTTGTTGGTTTTTGCCACTACAAAAAATGCTGCAGTAAATACCCTCATAAGCATGTTCACTTCTGCTGATGCTTTTATTTCTGAAGAATAAATTTCTGAACGTGGGACTACTAGTCAAAGGTTATGATCTTTAAACATTTTAACTAGTACTAATGATCCAGTTTCTTACCTGGTGGTGTCTGGAGTACCCCAATATGAGGTGCCAGCCTTGCTTTATATGTTGCCCACTTATAACTTATGTTGGAAAAAATAGCCCTCTTAGGAAAAGACATAAAAAGTGAACTTACGTTGCTAGAGAGAAGCTTGCACACCATCATAAGATAAAAAACAGGCCTCTGGCTCCACCGTCTCATTGAAGTGATGCTGTTTATCCTCCCCACTAATCTGCACTCCTCACATGGATCACAGCCCAGACAACATGCAGACAGAGAGGCAGATGCAGAGCTCACTGACTCAGTGAGCACAGCTGGGGGAGATCATTAAACAGACCACTCCTGCCAAACAGCCTGCGGTGGTGGAACACGAAGACTTCCTTGCCTCGCCACATGGAGAAAGAATTTTTTTTTCCCGGAGACATGTATAGTAGAATAATTATACACTATCTGAGTGCCAGTTATTAAAAAACAGCTAACGGTATTAAAAATTAAAAAAATGAGAGAGTGAGTAAGCTAGGACACTTTGAATACTTCATAAGTTATACCTATGCTACTTCAATTTAAATCCTTCAGGTTAAAACAAAAAATGATTGGACCCTTTAACAGAATAGGTGAGATCTGCCCACACTGTGTGCAGGATTTGGGTCAGGATTTCCTGAGGCCATTCTTCCCACAGCAAGCACGTTTTGGATGCCCCCTATGTTCAGCCCCTCAGGGGTGCTGATTGTCCTCTTTTCTCCTTTCCCTGCCTGCCCCTACCCCCATCCATGCCCTCACTTGTGAAATGTGAGTGTGTAGGTCTTATACTGGCCCAGAATTTAATTTGATTTGGGAAACAATTTAAGTCATTACATGCTCAAGATTTTCTTCCCCCTTCACACCCACCCAAAAAGCATCATTGACTAAAATTTTAAACTAATAACCAACAGGGTATTGATACCAAAAGCAGCTGTTAAAGAAATAGCACTTCAGGCCAGGCACAGTGGCTCACACCTATAATCCCAGCACTTTGAGAGGCCAAGGTGGGAGGATCACTTGAGCCCAAGAGGTCAAGACCAGCCTGGACAACACAGTGAAACCTCATCTCTACAAAAAATAAAAATTAGCCAGGCATGGTGGCACATTCCTGTAGTACCAGATACTCAGGAGGCTGAGGTGGGAGGATTGCTTGAGCCCAGGAGGTTGAGGCTGCAATGAGTCGTGATTGCACCACTGCGCTCCAGCCTGGGTGGAATGACAGAGTGACACCGTGAGACAGAGGGAGTGGGTGAGAGTGAGACCGTGTCTCAAAAAAAAAAAAAAAAGAAATGCTACTCGAAAGATAAGACACCGTGAATGATTATTGGAAGAACTATTCAAATATGTAAAATCCAGTTTTTGGAAAGACAATGTCACCTGCCTCACCTGCTGCACTCATGTTTCCTTCTGCAACCTGCTTCCCTTCTGCCCACAACTGAAGTTCCTCACCTTGTTCTGCTTTTTCATTTTTCAATATACTTCTCACCTTTTTCAATATACTTCTCACCTTCTAATAAACCTCGTGAATTGCTTATCTGTTACATGTATTGTTTCTTGTCTCGATCTTCCTGCTGGAATGCAAGCTCCATGAAGGCAGAGTTCTGTGCTTTGTTCACTGCTATATTCCCAGCACCTAAAATAGTGTTTTGTTTTGTTTTGTTTTTTTAACTAAAAAGTAAAGTTTAATGTTGAAAATGCAAACTTGGGGAAGACAGAAAAGATCACACACAAGGCTGTCACTTCACACTTGGAAGGTTGCACAGCGGCCGGGCAGAGGCGCGCCTCACTTCCCAGACGGGGCAGCCGGTAAGAGGCGCTCCTCACTTCCCAGACGGTGGGGCGGCCTGGCAGAGGCGCTCCTTACTTCCCAGATGGGGCGGCAGCCAGGCAGAGGCGCTCCTCACTTCCCAGACGGGGTGGCCAGTAAGAGGCGCTCCTCACTTCCCAGACGGTGGGGCGGCCGGGCAGAGGCGCTCCTCACTTCCCAGATGGGGCGGCGGTCGGGCAGAGACACTCCTCACGTCCCAGACAGGGCGGAAGCCGTAAAATAGTGTTTAATGCATAGCAGGCACCCAGTCAATATTGAATGAACAAAACTGCTACAAAGAAATTGATATAAAAGTGCTAAGAAATTGATATAAAACTACAAAGAAATTGATATAAAATGATCCTGGGTTTGTTTTTCAAAATATTTATATAATAATAATACATGTAATATTTATAGAAAATACATGGACAGATATACCAAATTTTAGACAATAATTAATTTTAGAGAGATGAGATTACAAGAGGTTTTCTTTTTCTATTTTATATAATTCTTAATGTTTCTCACTTTTACAACAAATATTTCTGTGAAGTAAAAAAAGTACTATTATACTTGTTATATATTTGTTATAATAAATTAAAGAATTAAGGAATTTGGTTAAATCTAAAAACAGGAGCTTTGTTTTATGGGTGACATAGGTCACAGTGGAAAAAAGTTATATTATTAATATAGTAGTTTTTTTTTGAGTTTGATGACATTCTTTTGATAATCTTGAGTTGGTTTTTTTAACGTAAGACTAGCCTCACTCACTGTGAGCTGGTAAGATTCCACAGAGGAGTCATCTATTTTTTTTTTCCTCAGTAGCATAATAATAATTTTAGCTAGCTTGCCATCTGGGGACCCTTCCTAAGTGGTAGATAAGAAACTTAAAATAGGATTGTACTTTACCATCATATTTCCCCACCCAGCACTGTTACTGGCATAAATATGTGAGCAAGTGACTGGTGAGAGAGTGATGCCTTTGGCAGGGTATCTGATGGTGAGATCGACTGAGAACTGAGTGGAAGAGAAGGCGAAGTATCAGATTGCCAAAAGGGCTTTTATTCTTAGCTCAGCCCTTCACGTATCCTGCAAAGAGCTGCTCAGCAAAAGGTGCTTATTGAATTACACCTCATAACAGGCAGAATTTGAATGCTGTTCATCACAGGAGCTATGGAGTGCATAGTTTTATAGAGAGTATCTCCCCGCAGGCAAGATACATAGAACAGGTGCAGAATTACAGCATATACTCATTTCGCCTCTTGTTAAATAAAAGCAAAGACAGTCTCATGCGATCCTGTGTGCTGAGTAGAATATCCATTATAGAGCATTTTCTTTTATTTTTGTTAATATTTTTACTTGTAGATTTCCCATTAAAAAAAAAAAAGTATAGTCATTTTTCCAAACCACTAAAAAGGACACTTATATTAAAAACTGTTTCAGTAAAAAGGTTTACAGCCATGCTTTTGTTTAAAGTATTTCTCCTAAGTATATACTGTCCATTTAAAATATTGGGTTGGCGCATTACTTTCAATGACAACCACTGCAATTACTTAATAAATCGGTTAAGATGGAGGAATGCCGAGTCATATATCCTTCCCCCAAAATTAAATATTTGAAGGGATATGTCTTATTTTATTTCTGGGATAGAATGTTTTTCATTTTCATGTTACTGAAGTGTAGTTTTACTAAACTACTAAATCGGAGACTGCTAAGCACCTTCCCTGTGCCAGGCACAGCACTGGGTAGGGTGAGGGCCCTGGGAGTAAATATTCTGGGACAGGCACAGGGGGTGTACAGGGAAAGAGTCTTTCCTCTCTGTGGCATCTGGGAGGCTTTAGGATGTGGGAAAGATGGTCTCCTCATCTCAGTTGCCCCTCATTTTCAGGCAGACACGTATGAAATGATTACACTCCCCTGAAAGATCAGCTTCTACATAATTCAAGATCATCCTCAATCTCTCTCATCAGAGAGGAAGAAAAGCCGCATGAATTATTTACAGAACACTAAGTTATTTCCTTTTATGAGCTCCAACTTTGTTTTTGTCTCTGCAAACTGAGATTTTGTTTATCCATGAATAGTTTCCCCAGGGGCATGAAAAATATGACTCTTAAATTATGAATGAGGTTTTTTGTTTCAGTCCATGTTAACTAAAACATGCAAAATAAACTATGTTTTTCATTAGATCCCTTTCAGCTCCCTGCAAAAACAGAACCAATAAAAGAACGAGCAGTTCAACCAGCACCCACCAGGAAGCCCACTGTAATTCGAATTCCAGCCAAACCAGGAAAATGTAAGCACTTCTCTGCTTTCTTTATTAGCTTCTTCAAGAGGCTGGGAGAAATATATGCTAATTTATCAATGTCTGCTTTTGAAATTATGTATAATCTGCCATTCATAGTCAAAGCTATTTAAAAGCAAATTGTTTTTTCACAATTCTTCGAAGAATTAGTTCAGTAAATTTGGATTTCCCTTTCCCCTTCGCTTCCCTTTCCCTTTCCCCTTCGCTTCCCTTTCCCTTCCCTTCCTTTTCCTCTTTTTTTTGGGAGTCACGCTCTCTCACCCAGGCTGGAGTGCAGTGGCACAATCTCAGCTCACTGCACCCTCTGCCTCCCGGATTCAAGCAATTCTCCTGTCTTAGCCTCCTGAGTAGCTGGGACTACAGGCACACGCCACCACACCTGGCTAATTTTTGTATTTTTAGTAGAGATGGGGTTTCACCACATTGGTCAGGCTGGGGATTTCATTTTTCTTTAATGTTGTCTTTAGACAGAGAATAGAGGGAAACTGAAATTTAGAACAATTGTTATATCCCATGTTAACACCTCTGGTACAGATTTGGTGGGAAAGTAATCTAAACTAATAGCAAATAAAGGTGTATATGTCTATCAGTCAGGAGTATATTATTGCAATCAGCATAATCTCAAATATGGCTATGTGTGAATTCGGTGAAGAGCAGTAACCAAAGCTTTAAATAATAGTTTATAAAAATACTTCTTAAATTGGCCAGGTGCAGTGGTTGATGCCGGTAATCCCAGCACTTTGGGAGGCCAAGGCAGGTGGATCACGAGGTCAAGAGATCAGGACTATCCTGGCCAACATGGTGAAACTCTGTCTCTACTAAAAATACAAAAATTAGCTGGGTGTGGTGCTGCGCGCCTGTAGTCCCAACTACTTGGGAGGCTGAGGCAGGAGAATCACTTGAACCTGGGAGGCGGAGCTTGCAGTGAGCCGAGATCGTGCCACTGCATTACAGCCTGGGTGACAGAGCGAGACTCCATCTCAAAAAAAAAAAAAAAATTAGTGTAACGTTACATTTTGGTTTACTTCCTTACTTGATTTTTTCCTTACTTGATTTTTTAATAGTATAACAAATGAAATTCTATAGGAGCTTTAATAAGTACTTCAAAAAGAAATCTGATATTTATTATAATGGGAAAGCCACAAGGGCCAGAATTATTTATTTTAGGCACCAGATTATTAAAAACTGTGATTAAAAGGGTGTTTGTGTATGTGTACACACACACACAGTGGGTTCCAGAGCAGTTCATGGCACTGCTTGGAGTGATCACACAGCTTTCTCTGCGGGCATCTGATTTCATTTATGCCTGCAATGCCTTTATATCATAGCCCGCATGCATTCTTTCCTTTGTCTAACAAGAGATTCTGCCCACTTCATTCCTCCTAAAGCAGAACAAGCATTCCACTCTTTCACCTGTAGCACCCAGGATTGTATGCAGGCATATTCCCTTTATTTTAGGAGTTTGGTTTCTCTATAAAGCACTACCCAGAAGGATCATCTTGGTTTCAGTTTTTTGATGATTCTGTTACTAACTGATGGCTCTCAGCCAAGTAGCAAGAAAATTGAATTGAGTTGCTATGAAGAATGTGGAGGAGAAAAAAATCTAAGGTATCAAATTCTGGTTCTAGTTTCTTAGGAAGTTATATTTTATTTTTTTAGAGGTAATATTTTAATGTTAGATTTAAAAACCAGTGGTAGGCCAGCCATGGTGGCTCACACCTGTAATCCCTGCACTTTGGGAAGCTGAGGTGGGCAGATCACTTGAGGTCAGGAGTTCGAGACCAGCCTGGCCAACATGGTGAAACCCCGTCTCTATCAAAAATACAAAAAAGTTAGCCAAGCATGGTGGCACACACCTGTAATCCCAGCTACTTGGGAGGCTAAGGCACAAGAATTGCTTGAACCCAGGAGGTGGAGGTTGCAGTGAGCGAAGATCATGCCGCTGCACTCCAACCTGGGCAATAGAATGAGACTCCATCTCAAAAAAAAAAAAGAAAGAAAGAAAGAAAAAACTGGCAGTATATTTCTTTTGACAATATTATATAGCCCACAAATCAGTAAAACGATAGCTCATTGGGTTGTTTGCCTGTTTGCTATTACTTTGTTAAATGTATTCTGGATTTTAACAAGTATAGTAACATATAATAATAAGAAATTTTGCCTGGGTTTTAAGTAATACAACTTTTACAGAAATTAGTAATAAATACAAATTTTTAAATTTATTCATCTGTTGTGTCATTGTCCCCAAGACCACCCCCAGGTTTGATGATTCACTAGGAGGACTCACAGGACTCAACAGATAGTTGTATGTATGGCTATTATTTATTATAGCAAAAGTATATGAGGCACAATCAGCAAAGAGAAAAGGCAAATGTGGTGAAGTCTGGAGGAAACCAGATGCAAGCTTCCAAGAGTCTTCTACTGGTGGAGTCAGAGGACATATGTAACTCCTCCAGCAATGAGTTGTGATGACAAGTGTGAAATGTCAACCAGAGAAGCTCACTACTGATTCAGTGCCCAGGGTTTTTATTGGGGGCTGGTCAGGTAGGCACTCCTAGAAATTTTGGCACTTACCAAAATTCCAGATTCCCAGAAGGAAAGCAGATGTTCAGCATAAACCATATATTCTGTTTTATCAGTTTTGAGGATGGCGAGAACTGTCCCAAAGTCCAAGTTCCTATATGCCAGTCAAAGACCAATCCTGTGGCTGGGTGTGGTGGCTCATGCCTATAATTCCAGCACTTTGGGAGGCAGAGGCAAGTGGATCACGTGAGGTCAGGAGTTCAAGATCAGCCTGGCCAACATAGTGAAACCCCATCTCTACTAGAAATACAAAAATAAGCCGGGCATGGTGGCATGCGCTTGGCTGATGCAGGAGAATCGCCTAAACCCAGGATTTGGAGGTTGTGTTGAGCTGAGATCACGCCATTGCCCTCCAGCTTGGGCAACAAGAGCGAAACTCAAAAAAAAAAAAAAAAAAAGGGACCAATCTTGTAAGTAGGACTTTCTAGGGATAAAGTTTCAGACCTGCTATGTTTACTTTTTCTGCACACTTGTAAACTGCATTAATAAGCTTTGAAATCCTGAAAAGGATATGCTGAGGAAGCAGCTTTAATTATTATCCTGACAAAGCTCCAAGAACTAGTAGAAAATTGAATTCTAGGAGTTCGAGACCAGCCTGGCCAACATGGTGAAACCCTGTCTCTTCTAAAAATATAAAAATTAGCCGGGCTGCAGCCATAAAAAAGAATGAGTTCATGTCCTTTGCAGGGACGTGGATGAAGCTGGAAGCCATCATTCTCAGCATGCTAACACAGGAACAGAACTAAACACTGCATGTTCTCACTCATAAGTGGGAGTTGAACAGTGAGAACACGTGGACACAGGGAGGAGAATATCACACACCGGGGCCTGTTGGGGAGTTGGGGGCAAGGGGAGGGAGAGCATTAGGACAAATACCTAATGCATGCGGGGCTTAAAACCTGGATGACGGGTTGATAGGTGAAGCAAACCATCATGGCACATATATACCTATATAACAAACTTGGGTGTTCAGCACATGTATCCCAGAACTTAAAGTAAAATTTTAAAAATATTCTTTTAAAAAATGAATACATAAAAATAAAGGCTCAATTAAAAAAAAAGAATTTAGCCAGGCATGGTGGCACACACCTGTAATCCCAGCTACTTGGGAGGCTGAGGCAGGAAAATCACTTGAACCCAGGAGGCAGACGTTGCAGTGAGCCGAGATCATGCCACCACATTCCAGCCTGGGTGACAAAGCGAGACCTCATCTAAAAAAAAAAAAAAAAAAAGAGGTATGAATTGAACAGTGAGAACACTTTGGCCACAGGAGCACACCAACATGGCACATATATACATATGTAACAAACCTGCACGTTGTGCACATGTACCCTAGAACTTAAAGTATAATTAAAATATATATATATATATATATATGTATAAAAGACAAAAACAAAGTGAGGAGGACTTTCTGCTTTAAATGGCAGGTAATTTATACCCAAAGAGGGTATTTTAATTCATCATTAAGCTCCTCTTCAAAGAAAAAAAGTAAGTTGAATTCTATACTGCCAAATGTAGGAGAACTGAAATGACAGAATGATTTCTAGAGAGTTATTTCTATTTATACCAAAAATCAATTCCTCAGAATTTTATTAATATAATAATGCATATATTCTGTGGAGGAAAAAGAATGAAACTTTGGTGTCTGAAGAATTTGGAATGGTCAAGGGAAAAAGGGGATAGCTTCGTGGTGCAAATGTCCTTGATCTTATTTGAACCTGTCAGCTCCTTTCCCCGGGGCCTGTTTCTTCTGACCAGGTTGTCCTTTTCCCAGATGTCTGCAAGGCTCCCTCCCTCACCAATCCTTCAGGTCTTTGCTCATTGCCACTTTTTCTCAGAGACCTTCCCTGACTACATTATTTAAAATTGGAAATCTCCTACCTCCACATCCCACACATACTCACACCAGATACTCCCTGTGTTTCTCCTTCCAGTAAGCTATCTCCTTTCTACTTTCATATTACTGGCTTATACTCTTAAATATTTGTCACGACAGTATTATACTCTATATGATTAACTATTTCCTTGTAAGAATAAGGAAACCACAGCACAGAAAATATCTTCAAGATGGTGACTGAGTTGGATGTTTTTATTATATATGTCTTAATTCCCAGAGCCACTGCACGCCTCTCACTAAGAATGTTTGCCTCGCTCTAAATCATTGTTTTCCTAGTTGCTGGCCTGGGTATTTTCCTCCCTTTGAGAATGTTGTCCTGTCTGCGGATAAAACAGGAACCTGACAAATCATCTTCTTGTTATAGGTTTTTCACTTGAAATGGAAGAAGAGAGTGTACATTTGAAAAAAAAAAAAAGAGAGAGAAAGAGACAGAGTGCTCATCTGCTCATCTCCTTTTAATGTCTAAACCAAACAGTGTAAAAGGTGGCTTTAGCGTCCTTCAGTATGTTACAGTCATTCACTCTCCCAATTGTTTTTGCACACTCATTTTAATTAGCTGTCACTAATTTGGTCATCTTGGTTTTCTTCTTTTTAAAATAAGTTGGGGCTACATTATCACTGATGTGGGTGTGGTTTGGATGTAAAGGTATTGTTTGTTTAATTGAGGGCAATTATGTTCATTATTCAGAAGCTACTGAATTAGAAAACACATTGGGCGGATGCAGTGGCTTACGCCTGTAATCCCAGCACTTTGGGAGGCTGAGGCGGGCGGATCACGAGGTCAGGAGATCGAGACCATCCTGGCTAACACGGTGAAACCCCGTCTCTACTAAAAATACAAAAAAATTAGGCAGGCGTGGTGGCGGGTGCCTGTAGTCCCAGCTACTCCGGAAGCTGAGGCAGGAGAATGGCGTGAACTCAGGAGGCGGAGCTTACAGTGAGCCGAGATTGCACCACTGCACTGCAGCCTGGGTGACAGAGCGAGACTCCATCTCAAAAAAAAAAAAAAAAAGAAATAAAACACATTGAATTATTTTTGGATGAGGGAGTGTTGGATACACCACCTATTAAGAAGCAGCATGCCTTATCAAAATGAACATGGACTTTTAGGTTCAAAACAATGGATCTGACAATTACTAGCAATAAGACCTTGGGTAGTGCATTTATTTTCTTCTTAGCTTCAGTTTCTTCATCTGTAAAACAGGTAGGATATTATCTAGTGTAGCACTGTGCGATAGAACTTTCTACAAAGATAGAAATGTTCTTTAACTGTGCTGGTAGCCACTAGTCACAGTGGCTAGTAATTTGAAATGTGGCTAGTGCAACTGAGGAACTGAAATTTTAATTTAATTTAATTTTAATTAATTAAGATTTAAGACTAAATCATCAGATGTAGCTACTAGCTAGTGGACTGGACAAATCTAGCACATAGATCTTGGTTGGAGAAATGTATGTAAATATAGAGCCTAACTTAATTCCTGGCACATAAAAGGTTCTCAACAATGCTGGCTGCTGTTGAATTGTTTAGTATTATTTTCACTCTCTATAAAAACATATAGTAAAATTAACTGATGTTGACTAACACATCAATTTTCTGAAGTTTGCTGGGAGCTCTTTCTCATTTGCTTAACTATTTGTGTGTATCTTTTATGATAGCCATTTTTCTAATAAACTAAGCAGCAATCATTTCATTCTTTGGAATCCCAGAAACTAGAAATTATTGATGAATTACTGCTACTTTTTCCAGGTTTACATGAGGATCCACAAAGTCCACCTCCTCTCCCTGCTGAAAAACCTATTGGAAACACTTTCAGTACAGTATCTGGAAAGCTCAGTAATGTTGAGAGAACTAGAAACTTGGTAAGTGGTCATTATAGATTGTACTAGATTGAAGACGTAGCTATGCATTAATTTTGAATAGTCAGCTAATATCTAAATTATTTTATTACTGGTCAGATTAAAAACAAGAACCCTCTATTAGAGACCAGTCTCTAAGCCCCATGTACTTATATAATATAGTGTTCAATATGTTAAAAGTCCCTATAGAGAGATTAGGCCAATTCATTGTACTTCACTATAAAATAATTTGTATACCAACTTAATGGCATTGTCTTTTAAATGAAACTAATAAGGAGAAGGTTATTAAAATGTCTAAAAACCTTTAATATTCAGGGAAATAACTTTATTCAAGTTGTTGGTTTTTATTTAAAATACCCAACTAGTGACCAAAATTTAAGATAATTAACATAAGAATTTTTAAATCTGAAATTTAAGAAAAATGTATTTTTTTTATTTAAAAAATAGTGTTTTACTGTGCATTTGTTAAGATGGAGGTCAAAGAGATTTTTTAAAGTACATATATATATTTTTCATTTCAACTTCAATATCCTCAATACTTTTATTTATTTTTTTTTTTTGGTCTTCCAACTTTTGTGGTTTCTTGGGGAAACAGACATGCAGCAAGTAATTAGAGAAGTGGTTTAAGAAAAAGAATAAAGGTGGCTGGACACAATGGCTCACACCTGTAATCCCAGCACTTTGGGAGGCCAAGGCGGGTGGATTACCTGAGGTCAGGAGTTCGAGACGAGCCTGGTTAACATGGTGAAACCTCGTTTCTACTAAAAATACAAAAATTAGCCGGACGTGGTGTCGTGTGCCTGTAATCCCAGCTACTCCAGAGGCTGAAGCAGGAGAATCGCTTGAACCCGGGAGACAGAGGTTGCAGTGAGCCAAGATCACGCCACTGCACTCCAGCCTGGGGCGACAGAGTGAGACTCCATCTCAAAAAATAAATAAATAAATAAATAAAGAATAAAGACTTTCAGAGGACTTTATGGGAAGCCCATGACAAAGCTCCTGATTATTTCCTCTGTTTTAAATTTAAATAATAATTGTACATATTCTTGGGGTACATAGTGATGTTTCAGTACATATACTATATAGGGATCAGATCAGGGTAGTAAGCATATCTGTCATCTCAAACATTTTTCACCAATTCTGTTTGGAATATTCAATATCTTCCTTCCAGCTATTTGAAGCTATATATTATTGTTAACTATAGTCATCCTGCAGTGGTATAGAACACTAGAATTTATTCCTCCTGTCTAGCTCTAATTTTGTATTATTTAACAAAGCTCCCTATCTCTCCCTTCTTTCTACCCTTCCCAGCCTCTAGTATCCTCCGTTCTACTTTTTATTTCTATGAGATCAACTTATTTTTAGCTTCCATGTATGAATGAGAAGATGCAGTGTTTAACTTTCTGTTCCTGGCTTATTTCACTTAACATAATATCCTCCAGTTCCATTTATGTTGCCACAAATGACAGGATTCCATTCTTTTTTATGGCTGTATAGTATTCCATGGTGTATACATGCCACATTTTCTGTATCCATTTATCTGTTGTTGGACACCTAGGTTGATTCCGTATCTTGGCTATTGTGAGTAGTGCTGCAGTAAACATGGATGTGCAGATGTCTCTTCAATGTAATTTCCTTTCCTTTGAATAAATTCCCAGTAGTGGGCTTGCTGGATCATATGGTAGTTCTATTTGTAGTTTTTTGAGGAGCTTCCATCCTGTTCTCTACAGTGATTGTACTAGGTTACATCCCCACTAACAGTGTATAAGAGTTCACCCTTCTCTGCATTCTTGCCAGCATTTGTTTTTTTTTTTTATCTTTTAGATAATAGCCATCCCAACTGGGGTGAGATGATACCTCATTGCCATTTTGATGTGAATTTCCCTGATGATTAGTGAGGTTGAGCATTTTTTAATGTATTTGTTGGCCATTTGTGTGTCTTCTTTTGAGAAATACCCAGATCATTTGCCGTTTTTTTTTTTTCTTTTTTTGAGATAGGGTCTTACTCTGTCTCCTGGGCTGGAGTGCAGTTGTGTGATCACAGCTCACTGCAGCCTTGACCTCCTGGGCTCAGGTGATCCTCCCACCTCAGCCTCCTGAGTAGCTGGAACTATAGGCGCATGCCACCACACTCAGCTAATTTTTTGTATTTTTTGTAGAGACAGGTTTTGCCACATTGCCCAGGCTGTTCTTGAACTCCTGGATTCAAGCAGTTGTCTGGCCTCCGCCTCCCAAAGTTTATTTGCCCATTTTAAAATCAGATTGTTTGGGGTTTTTGCTGTTACGATGTTTGAGTTTCTTTTGTATTCTGGATACTAATCCCCTATCAGATGAGTAGTTTGCAAATATTTCCTGCCATTCTGTAGGTTGTCTTTTCACTCTGTTGGTTGTTTCCTTTACTGTGCAAAAGATTTTTGGTTGATATAAGCCCATTTGTTTATTTTTACTTTTGTTGCCTGTGCTTTTGAGGTGTTATTCATAAAATCTTTTTTAAGACCAATGTCCTGAGGTCTTTTCCCTGCTTTCTTCTAGTAGTTTTATTGTTTCAGGTCTTAGATTTAGGTCTTTGAGTTGAGTCTTATAAAGAGTGAGTGGGAGGGTTTAGTTTCATTCGTCTGCATATGGATATCTAGTTTTCCCCAGCGCCATTTATTGAAGAGACTGTGCTTTCCCCAATGACTGTTCTTGGCACTTTTGTCAAAAATCGATTGGCTGTAGATATGTGGATTAATTTTTGGATTCTCTATTCTGTTCCATTGGCCTGTGTGTCTGTTATTATGCTAGGTCCATGCTGTTTTTGCTACTACATCTTTGTGTAGTGTATTTTAAAGTTGGTAGGTGATGCCTCCACCTTTGTTCTTTTGGCTCAGGATTGTTTTGACTATTCGGGGCCTTTTGCGGTTCCGTACAAGTTTTAGGATTTTTTTTTCTTTGTTTGTAAAGAATGTCATTTGTATTTTGATAGGGATTGCATTGAATCTGTAGATTTCTTTGGGTAATATTCTCATTTTAACAATATTAATTCTTCTAATCCATGAATATAGAATGTCTGTTTGTTTGTATCCTTTGTATCTTCTTCCATTTTTCCATCGGTATTTTGTAGTTTTCCTTGTAGAGGTCTTTCACTTCCTCAGTTAAATTTATTACAAGGTATTTCTTTTTGTAGCTATCGTAAATAGGATTGCCTTCTCAATTTCTTTTTTTAGCTAGTTCTTTGTCATGTATAGAAATGTTACTGATATTTGTATATTAATTTTGTATCCTGCAACTTTACTGAATTCATTTATCAATTCTAAGAGGGTTTTTTTGGTAGAGTCTTTAGGTTTTTCTAGATATGAGATCACTTCTTTTTTTGAGACAGAGTCTCGCTCTGTCGCCCAGGTTGGAGTGCAGTGGCACGATTTCGGCTCACTGCAACCTCTACCTCCTGGGTTCAAGCAGTTCTCCTGCCTCAGCCTCCCAAGTAGCTGGGACTACAGGTGCGCACCACCATGTCCAGCTAATTTTTTTTGTATTTTTAGTAGAGACAGGGTTTTATCATGTTGGCCAGGCTGGTCTTGAACTCCTGACCTCAAATGGTCCATCCGCCTCGGCCTCTCAGAGTGCCAGGATTACAGGCATGAGCAACCACGCCAGACCCCAGTCGTTTTTTTTAAATGTCCATATGGCATATGATCTTTAAGGCTTGTTTTAAGAGAAATTAACTTTTAAGTCTTTGAACCAAATTTTCAGTTCAAATTTCATCATGATTTTACATTGTGCATTAACTATGCTTATTATACAGGCAAGCCCACCTAATCATCTGGAGAAGAAAAATTTCTTTGAAGGAGACATTAAATTAAATTAGCCAATATCAAGTTAATGAGATTTTCCTGAAGAATGAATTAAAATTTAGTGATCACTTGTGATTTTCAAAGTAGCTGGTAATAAACTTTTATTAAATCTGGGCCAAGAAAGCCCAAAAGAGGATAGTAGGGTTCCTACCTTACTAACGTTAAACTGGAAAATCCCAAATTCCCTTGGAGGAAAAGTTGCTTGAGAAGGTTGGCTTCTACTCTGAAATGGTTATAAAAAGGAGTGAGAGGGTGATGAGTAAGTAAAACATCATTTGTTAATGTCCATTATATGTAATGTCCATCATATGTAATGGACTTTGTAAACTATAAAGCTTTATTGAAATAGTATTGGGGTGCACTGTGGCTCACACCTGTAATCCCAGCACTTTGGGAGGCCAAGGCGGGCAAATCACTTGAGATCAGGAGTTTGAGATCAGTCTGGCCAACATGGTGAAACCTCATCTGTGCTAAAAATACAAAAATTAGCCAGGCATGGTGATGCGTGCCTGTAATCCCATCTACTTGGGAGGCTGAGGCAGGAGAATCGCCTGAACTCAGGAAGTGGAGGTTGCAGTGAGCCAAGATTGTACCACTGCACTCTAGCCTGGGCAACAGAGCAAGACTCGTCTCCAGAAGAAAAAAAGAAATAGTATTATACAAAAATGAGCCAGGTGTGGTGGCACACACCTGTAGTCCCAGCTGCTCAGGAGGCTGAGGCACGAAAATTGCTTGAACCCGGGAGGCAGAGGTTGCAGTTAGCTGAGATCGCACCACTGCACTCCAGCTTGGGCAACAGAGCAAGCCTCTGTCTCAAAAAAAAAGAAAAGAGGCCGGGTGTGGTGGCTCACACCTGTAATCCAGCACTTTGGGAGGCCAAGGCGGGTGGATCACTTGAGGTGAGGAGTTCAAGACCAGCCTGGCCAACATGGTGAAACCCCATCTCTACTAAAAATACAAAAATTAGCCAGGTGTGGGCCGGGCGCAATGGTTCAAGCCTGTAATCCCAGCACTTTGGGAGGCCAAGGCGGGCGGATCGCCTGAGGTCGGGAGTTCAAGACCAGCCTGACCAACATGGAGAAACCCCATCTCTACTAAAAATCCAAAAAATTAGCTGGGTGTGGTGGTGCATGCCTGTAATCCCAGCTACTCGGGAGGCTGAGGCAGGAGAATCGCTTGAACCTGGGAAGCGGAGGTTGTGGTGAGCCAAGATCACACCATTGCACTCCAGCCTGGGCAACAAGAATGAAACTCCATCTCACAAAAAAAAAAAAAAAAAAATCAGCCGGGTGTGGTGTCATGCGCCTATAATCCCAGCTACTTGGGAGGCTGAGGCAGGAGAATTGCATAAACCCAGGAGGAAGAGGTTGCAGTGAGCCGAGATCGCGCCACTGCACTCCAGCCTGTGCGACAGAGTGAGACTCCATCTCAGAAAAAAAGAAAAGAAAAGAAATAGTATTATTATGTTTAGTGCTAAGCAGTCCGGAAGCAACTTCCACATTTTAGAAAAACAAAAAAAAGGAAGTTATAATAAATTAAACCATCTGGAGAGATACCATATTCATAATTGTGTTTGTTCCTCACATGACAACATGAGGAAAATCCTGTCCTGCACTGTTTATAAAGGGAGTCAGAACATTCAGTACTGTACTATAATAAATGCATACCATAATAAACACACTGAATCTGAAGGAAGAAGAGATGAAGAATCAGACTACAAGTTAAATGATTTGCCTGAATTCACGCATATAGATTTCTGGGACCTGAAAGTCAATCTGTGCCTAAGAAATCCCTTTTTTTTTAAAAAAAATTACAATTACTGAATGAATTTTGAAACAGAGGCCATAAAGACTTAAAGGTGTGGGCCAGGCACGGTGGCTCATGCCTGTATTCACAGCACTTTGGGAGGCTGAGGCAGGTGGATCACCTGAGGTCAGGAGTTCGAGACCAGCCTGACCAACATGGTGAAACCCCCATCTCTACTAAAAATACAAAATTAGCCAGGTGTGGTGGAGCACGCCTGTAATCCTAGCTACTTGGGAGGCTGACGCAGGAGAATCGCTTGAACCCAGAGGTGGAGGTTGCAGTGAGCCGAGATCGCGCCACTGTACTCCAGCCTGGACAACAAAGCGAGACCCTGTCTCTAAAAAATAAAAAAAGAAGTAGTGCTAATTCTTGGAGAAAAAAGATAAGAAACATATGGAGGCCACTCAGTAATTCCAGCAGACAAGAGTGTGGTCTTGGGAGAAATACCTGTTTTTTTAAAAAAATATAGCAGCTGGGCATGGTGGTTCATGCCTGTAATCCCAGTACTTTGGGAGGCCGAGGTGGATGGATCATGAGGTCAGGAGTTTGAGACCAGCCTGACCAAAATGGTGAAACCCCATCTCTACTAAAAATACAAAAATTAGCCGGGTGTGGTGGCACGTGCCTGTAATCCCAGCTACTCAAGAGGCTGAGGCAAGAGAATTGCTTGAACCCAGGAGGCGGAGGTTGCAGTGAGCCAAGATCGTGCCACTACACTCTAGCTTGGGTGACAGAACAAGACTACGTCTCAAATATATATATATGTACATATATATGTAGCAAAAGTCTAGGCACAGTGGCTCACCTCTGTAATCCCAGCACTTTGGGAGTCCGAGGCAGGTGGATCAGTTGAGGTCAGGAGTTCCAGAACAGCATGGCCAACATGGTGAAACCCCGTCTCTACTAAAAATACAAAAATTAGCCAGGCATGGTGGCGCATGCCTGTAATCCCAGCTACTCGGCAGGCTGAGGTGGGAGAATTGCTTGGACCCGGGAGGCGGAGGTTTGGTGAGCTGAGAGCATGCCACTGCACTCCAGCCTGGGCAACAGAGTGAGACTCCATCTCAGAAAAAAAAAAAAAAAAAAAGAGAGAGAGAGAATAGCAAAAAACTGGGGAATTATTTTTAAATTGGAATATTATTCCAGTGCAGATGAACAAAAAGATGGAATCTGCAGAGACAATATAAGCAGGAAAACCAACTTCACCAGAAACTAAAATGCTTGTCCAAACACATTAAAAGCCAGAGTTCAGGGATATCAGAGCTAGAGAAAAACTGTCAAAAAGCAAATGCAGAGAGCCTTGAGGTTATGTGTGGAATACCCACGAGGAGGAAGTCCCTAATCAGTTATCTTGCAAAGACTCAGCAGAACCTGGGCATAAACCCAGACTTGAGCAAACACTAAGACAATGGCTCCTGCAAGAACTGTCTCCTCTCAATATTTGGAGTATGTCAGATACAGCAGTGCCTTTCAGAATGTGCCTAACATCCCTAAAGAATTTGAATATGCCACTCTTTTTTTCTGATTTAAAATTTTCTTACTGTTGCAAATTAAGAAATTAAAAAGATGTTTAAGATTTTCCATAAAAATACCACCCCCCAGGAAAAACTATAGCTAATATTTGGTACAAAATTAGGGTCATATGCTGTGCATTTATTACAGTACATCATCTGCATCTTTCCATGTCAAATTTATATATCTATTTTTTAAATTTTCTTTATCAAGGTATCTAACAATTACAGTTTTGAGAAAAGCAATTAAAATTTCTTCCTATCTGCTAGAGTTTGTTTTAATTTTAAAGGTAGCCAAAGAAATAAATGCATTTTTCAAGCATCATGGCAATATTTGTCAGGAAAAATATAGGCAGCAGTGTAATTATAAGGCAAGGATTATATTCTGGAATATTGCAGGGTTTATGAGCTGGTTACTTGCTTCACTACATTAACTGAACTCATTAGTGAAACCAAGTTTTAAGGGCAAGCTTAATTTGTTTTTTAAAATGGGATTTTATAATATTGAAACATGTTTAAATGATCACAGTTATTGGCAATTAATCATTTGGTATTTAAGGAAAAGGTTATAAATATTCAGTATAATTTAAAAATCATAAAAGTGAGTTTTGGCTCATTTATAAGAAGGAGAAAAACAGTCTGAAGTAGCCCAAAGATTTCCAAGCTTTAATTAAACATCCTTTACAAAAAAAAAAAGCAATGTAATTTAAAGAGTCAGCATTTTTTTTCTTATGAAGTTTTGGGGAAATATTATTTCCTGAGTGTGTTGGGGACTTAGAAAGTAGGAAAAGTGGAAAACAAAAAAACACAGAATTAGAAGAATTTATTGAGGGACTGGGTGTGGTGGCTCACGCGTGTAATCCCAGCACTTTGGGAGGCCAAGGCGGGTGGATCACTTGAGGTCAGGAGTTTGAGACCATCCTGGCCAACATGGTGAAACGTCGTCTCTACTGAAAATACGAAAATTAGCCAGGTGGGGTGGCACACGCCTGTAGTCTCAGCCACTCGGGAAGCTGAGGCAGGAGAATCACTTGAACCTGGGAGGCAGAGGTTGCATTGAGCTGAGATTGCATCATTGCACTCCAGCCTGGGGGACAGAGTGAGACTCTGTCTCCAAAAAAAAAAAAAAAAAAAGAATTTTGTGAGGGCTTTTTCCCCCTCCAAAAAACAGAAATTTTGGCTTTGAGATCCTTTGGCTTCCCACTCAACAGAAGATCTGAAAATATTCTCCACGTATTACCTTCATTTCCCAATCCTTGGGCTATAACATGTTCAGAAAACCTGTTTAAATGGAACAGTTTGACCCTTCCCCTACAGAAATCTTCCTATTAATCTCCACACTTCCAGTTTCTCTCATCTACCATTAGGATAAAACATTCCAACTGTGACTGTCTTTTATTGTTCATATTATTCTCCTTCACTCTTTTCCTCTTTTCTACGAAACTCTTTTTTAGCCCATCCAGCCCTTTTGCTAGAGTGGTACCAGCACACTGCTTTCTTGGACCTTAACTATTTCTCCTTACATGCCTTCCTCTCAGACCATCCTGCAAGTTTCTTTTACGTTCCCACCTCCTTCTAGTTCAAAACCCACTGCAAATTGTTGAAACCAAACAGTGATGAGATAAGATCTGCCTATTCAAAGCAAAACCAACTAATAACCATCCCTCTTACTATGTGTTTAAATTTAGGAGCAGTGTGTTTCTTATGTGTGATCACGGAATGAATAAAGAGCATGTATATATATATATGTGTGTGTATATATATATATATGTATATATATATGTGTGTGTATATATATATGTATATATATGTGTGTGTATATATATGTATATATATGTGTGTATATATATATATGTGTGTGTGTATATATATATATATATATATATTTTTTTTTTTTTTTTTTTTTTTGAGATGGAGTCTTGCTCTGTTGCCCAGGCTAGAGTGCAGTGGCATGATCTCGGCTCACTGCAACCTCTGCCTCCTGGGTTCACGCCATTCTCCTGCCTCAGCCTCCCAAGTAGCTGGAACTACAGGTGTCCGCCACCATGCCCAGCTAATTTTTTGTATTTTTAGTAGAGATGGGGTTTCACTGTGTTAGCCAGGATGGTCTCTATCTCCTGACCTCGTGATCCACCCGCCTCAGCCTCCCAAAGTGCTGGGATTACAGGCGTGAGCCACCGTGCCCGGCCAAGAGCATACATTTTTAAATTCTCTTCAGGGCCTGCTTAAATTTTCCCTCAATATCTCATGAATCCACTGAGTGCATGACCATGCAGTGCAGTTGCTCAGGCTGTGGTCCACAACAGGAGACTGGTTTCTTCCTGTCAGTGTTTTCACTTGTTATTAGGACATGAATAATTTAGGCAGAAATAGGTTAATATTGTTTAAGGCTGAAAACTCTTTTAAGCTACTTTCTATAATTCAACTGCATTTCTACTTGTAGATCCAGCCAAAAGGTTGCCTAGAATTTCTCTTGACAAGTTCTTGTTTCAGATTAACCTTAACTAAAAAGCATTCTCTGCTACTTGCAGGAATCCAACCACCCAGGTCAAACAGGAGGTTTTGTGCGAGTACCCCCAAGGTTGCCACCGAGGTAAGTAAATGTGGGAAAAGTTAGAGAAAAATTAATGACTCAGAGACCCAACTCTTTTTTATCACCAAGATTGAGTGTTGTTGGCCTTGAATCTTTTTTTAGAGATAAAATAATCTCACCGATTTCACGCAGGCCCCTAATCCACTGTCTGCTCCTAATGGTAGGTTGTGGGAATCTCTGCTCCCTTTTTAACACAGTTCAACTCATAGAGCATTTATTTCCTCAAATAAATGAACAAGACTCATTTCTGAACTTAAAACAGCTCCACTTCTAGAATATACGTATACATGCACACAAACACCCTCCTGGTTAAGAAACTGGTTTTTGGCATTTCCGAAGGAGACTGGCTTTGTGAGCTCAGAGGTGACTGCCTTCTGAGTTCCGGAGCTATTCAAATAAAGGGCTGTAATGCTATCAGAAGACATTATTACTATGTTGAAATTTATTTATTTATTTTTTTTTTGAGATGGAGTCTCCCTCTGTCACCAGGCTGGAGTACAGTGGCGCGATCTCAGCTCACTGCAACCTCCGCCTCCCGGGTTCAAGCGATTCTCCTGCCTCAGCCTCCCAAGTAGCTGGGACTTCAGGCATGAGCCACCATGCCCAGCTAATTTTTGTATTTTTAATAGAGATGGGGTTTCACCATGTTGGCCAGGATGTTCTCGATCTCATGACCTCATGATCCGTCCATCTGGGCCTCCCAAAGTGCTGGGATTACAGGCATGAGCCACCACTCCCAGCCGAAAATTATTTCTATCGTAGGGATTAAGGAAAGGCTTTCAAAGTAATAGTTGTCCTATCCTTTCAGAACTAGCTTTCTTTGTATTAATCTAAATTAGACTTTTAATAGTAACACCTATAACATGAATATTAGGGGATTTTGATGTTCCTTTTCTAATCATGTACAAGACCCCAGCACACATACATCGTATCTTATTATAAGCTTTTCATCTCAGACTTTGGTAGAAAGTACTTAGTTTCCAGAAATAGTCATGATGTGTTTAAGAGCAAATGGGACCTTAGAGAGCCCGTGATAGTAAATGCTTGTTTGTCTTGAACTAATGAATCTCTAGCGCAAGATAAGAGGAAACTGGAACATCATGGCATTTCCTCTAATAATGTAATGTTTAATGCAGCAGTCGTTTGCTCAAAAATAGCATACCCTGCATGTTTCAGTAAACTGTATTCCACTAGCAGAAAGCTGTGTCTCTGTGTGTGTGTGTGTGTGTGTGTGTGTGTGTGTGTAAGACAGGACAGGACAGAATTTAATACTGATCAAAACACTGACTCATGGCTACTACATTGACTTTCAGACCTGTGAATGGAAAAACCATTCCAACTCAACAGCCTCCAACCAAGGTGCCCCCTGAGAGACCACCTCCCCCAAAGCTTTCTGCAACCAGAAGATCTAATAAGAAACTGCCTTTTAATCGATCCTCTTCTGACATGGATCTTCAGAAAAAACAAAGTAACTTGGCAACTGGACTCTCAAAAGCCAAGAGTCAAGTTTTTAAAAATCAAGATCCGGTGCTACCCCCTCGTCCCAAACCAGGACACCCTCTCTACAGTAAATACATGGTAAATTTAGCTTTTAAAAATGTTTGTGGTCAAGAGGTGTGCCCTAAAGTATATATACGATTCATCATTCCTTAGAAAAAGATGATGGAACAAATGTGGAATTGTCCCTTGACGCCAAGAGTGCTTTAGATGAGTAGGCCATAATAAATTCTAGGTCTTGGTTGGGCACAGTGGCTCACACCTATAATCCCAGCACTTCGGGAAGCTGAGGCTGGTGGATCAGCTTGAGGCCAAAAGTTTGAGACCAGCTGGCCAATGTGGTGAAACTCTGTCTCTACTAAAATTACAAAAAATTACCCAGGCGTGATGGCACAATCCTGTAATCCTAGCTACTCAGGAGGCTGAGGCATGAGAATTGCTTGAGCCTGGGAGGCAGAGGTTGCAGTGAGCCAAGATTGCACCACTGCACTCCAGCCTGGGCAACAGAGCAAGACTGTCTCAAAGCAAACAAACAAAACACCTAGGTCTTTAAAGCAGGGTTTCATTATTAGGAGAAATGTAGGGAAAGAGGAGAGAAAGCAGGGCAGGCCGCTTGTAACTTGCTGCCTGGCTGGACCAAACAGAAATTCTGAAAAACCTGACCCAGTGGGTTATACTAATGGGAGTAACTCTGACAGATACTATAGTTTATATCTTTTGTTTTTCCTTTCATTTAAGAGATGGAGTGTCATTCTATCACCCAGACTCGAGTGCAGTGATGCAATCATAGTGCACTGCTGCAATCATAGTGTACTGCAGTCTCGACCTCCAGAGCTCAGGGATCCTCCTGCTTCACACTTCTGAGTAGCTGGGGTTATGGGAACATGCCTCCACTCCTGGCTTATAGTTTATATCATGATATAGTTTATATCTAATAACTCCTTTTCCCCTTGAGTAAATTTTAAAATGAAGTAGAAAGTTCTTACTAAGATGGATGGTTTTTCCCTCATTTTCCCCTTTTGTAAGCCCAATAATTATCGTGGTCCATTTAATAGTTACCAGTTAGAAGTTTTCATCAATAGTTGAGATATTGATTTTGTTCTCTTTTAATGTTTTTCTCATCAAATGACCTAAACCTTTGCCTGCATTTCCCACAGTTAAAAAACAGAGTTGCTGGGTGGTGGCTCATGCCTGTAATCCCAGCACTTTGGGAGGCCGAGGCGGGTGGATCACTTGAGATTGGGAGTTTGAGACCAGCCAGGCCAACGTGGTGAAACCTCTGTCTCTACTAAAAATACAAAAATTAGCTGGGCGTGTTGGCACATGCCTGTAATCCCAGCTACTCCAGAGGCTGAGGCAGGAGAATTGCTTGAACCCGGGAGGCAGAGGTTGCAGTGAGCCGAGATTGTGCCACTGCACTCCAGCCTGGGCAACAGTGAGACTCCATCTCAAAAAAACAAAACAACAACAACAACAACAAAAACAGTTGATGTGTTCTCTACTTTGATCAGGTTAACCTGAAAAATGTAAAACAAATAAAAATGATAAGGAGGCCAGGTGCAGTGGCTCACACCTGTAATCCCAGCACTTTGGGAAGCCAACTGCTTGAACCCAGGAGATGGAGGTTTCAGTGAGCCAAGAGCATGCCACTGCACTCCAGCCTGGGTGACAGAATGAGACTCTTTTTTAAAAAAAAAAATAAAATAAAAATGATCAGGAGAGCAGGACTGCTTACTCTTTTTAACAATTGAACGACAGAGTAGCTTGTAACAAGAACAGCAATTAATAATTCTATGTTGTGTTACATTTCCATCATTGAGCCAGTAATTATTTTTTCTTTAAGCTGTTCAGGGTTTTTCAAAAATCCTCTTTAGAGAAGGGTAAAGACAAATAAGAAGGAGGCAGTATATTCATATATATTAATATTCACTTAAACTGATAAAACTTTAATTTCTAAAACCCAGGGGTGTTCTTTGGGATAGATTACTTAATTAATAAATAACAGTAGTTGATGTATATTGAGTACTAATTATGAGCCAGGCGCTGTTTGAAGCACTTTATGTATGTATTAAATAACTCATTTATTCCTCATACCAACCTTGTGAGGTAGATATTATTATCCTCCTTTAACAAGTGAGGAAAATAAGAAACAGAGACATAAAGTAACATGCCCAGGGTTGCGAATCCAGTTAATGGTGGAGCAAGATTTGAGAACAGGTCAGCTGGCTCTGACACCTGCTCCTAACCATTACGCCAATCGTAGCCTCTACTTGATTTGGCCATTCTGTTAAGAGCCCTTTCTCAAGGGGAACCAGATTTCACATTTGGTTCTTGTCACGCACGTCTGTGTGAAGAGACCACCAAACAGGCTTTGTGAGAGCAACAAGGCTGTTTATTTCACCTGGGTGCAGGCGGGCTCATTCCAAAAAAGGAGTCAGCAAAGGGAGACAGGAGTGGGGCAGTTTTAAAGGATTTGGGTAGGTAGTGGAAAATTGCAGTTAAAGGGGGTTGTTCTCTTGCGGGCAGGGGCGGGGGTCACAAGGTGCAGGGTAGGGAGATCAGGAGACTCATTGTCCTGGGGAGGAACATAACAAGGTCGATTGATTAGTTGGGGTGGGGCAAGAACAAATCACAATGGTGGAATGTCATCTTTTGTGGTTCTTCAGCTGCTTCAGGCCATCCAGATGTATACGTGCAGGTCACAGTGGCTTAGCTTGGGCTCAGAGGCCTGACAGTTCTTAGCATAGTCGTATAATGTCAATAAAGCATTTTTTAAAACTCAATACATTCAAAATGATGGTATATATAGAGCTGTATGTCTCATTACAAAATAATTCTTCAAATCTTTCATTTATTGCATGCCTACAGTACCATTAAATTGCTAGCCAGGAATCTGGGTACATTGGAAGCCCTAGGAATCTGACAAAGATGTTGGGAAATGGCACCACCAAGCCAGCTGTACAGGGCCACATCCTTGCACTGTGGATCTTTGCTCCTGGGTGATCCAAGGCCCAGGCAGCCTTCTTCCCATGTTGGATGTGAGCTTGTGTGATTGCATTTCCTGGGTATGCCTTTTATATAGTACAGACCGTCTGATGTGCACTCATCAGCTAAAATTTTCCAAAGCAGGGAACAGAGCCTCCTGGACAAGGTCCAGTACAGATGTAAAAACCATTCTAAGATCAGACAGAGCTGAGTGGACCAGGAAGTGGCTGGGATCAGGCCATGAAATGGATTTAAGTAGACACTTGGTATCAGAGAGACTCTAGGAGAAGAGCTTCAAGGTCTATGGAAACAGGCAGGCAGTACACGGAGGGCTCCAATCACTGATCAGCCTTCAGAGGCCACCATTGTAAGAACCCTGAATTAAAGAACTGGCTGTGAGGTCAAGTGCTGGGTGTTTCTCCTTCAAACCCCCAGGGGACTTGGCGGATCTTGTCCTGTAGAACAGAACTTCCTGGTTATGGTCATTAAGGGAATGTTAGGCCATGTTTAGCTCTTGTGGTTCTATGGGCCTAACTCCAACTCCCAAGAGCCTCTTAACATCCATGAGAAATGGCAGGCTCCATTGATCTAGAGCGCGATGAAGCCAGGTGAGTTTAGCTGCTGGAGAAGGTGCACTTTAGGCACACACATGCCAAATTCCTAAATGATCAGCAACTTAAGAGGAGGTTATTTGATTGTGAATAAGCCTTTTATTGGTTTACGTTTAAGCTGTCTGTGCCTCATGGAATTGCCAATGAAGATATTGTCTCTCAAAACCCCGGAGAACTCTCTTGTAAGGTAAAGTAGAGCTCTTTCCTTACTGGTTAATGTAAAAAAAAAATTACTGGCCTCTGTTACTACCATTACACATTATTAAATGCTTTAGGCTCCAAAGATTAAAATGTGAAAAAGTAATAATGTTTTATTAAATAATAATTGCTTCAGAGAGTGGTATTGTACCTTGCAGCGTGGGGATGTACTTGTGATGCTGAAGCAGACGGAAAATAATTACTTGGAGTGCCAAAAGGGAGAAGACACTGGCAGAGTTCACCTGTCTCAAATGAAGATTATCACTCCACTTGATGAACATCTTAGAAGCAGACCAAACGTAAGGAATTAATATTGTTACAGCCCTCATATCACACATAGCAGCACATTTCATGGAACTATTAATTATATCTCATCTTCAGGTTTTTATTAGCACATTTATTTTAACCAGAGTAAAAATTACAGTAGCATTTATTCTACTTTTAGAATAAATTACTACTAAGAGACTTGCCACTGCCATACTAATCACTTCGATACAGAGTGACTACCCTGTGTTTTGTTTTCTTCACTGCACTCCAGCCTGGGCCATAGAGCGAGATTATGTCTTGGAAAAAAAAAACAAATAAAAAAATAAAGTAAATATGAAAAATAATAGTGATCAAGTAAAATACTTGGTTTGCCGTTTATCCTAGTTTTCATAATCTTTTCCCATTTTTTCTTCTTAGAAGGCAGTTTATCTTTTGAAGTTTGCTAAGAAACTAAAAAATTGTATTTGGAGAGCAGAGGAGATATGTGTTAAGGTAGCTTCTGCTGGCATATGAAAATCCTTACTTTAGCTCCCACGGGGCAAGTTCTCCACTGACTCATTTTCTCTGTTTTGGTACGGCATTATCCATCTGTCATAGCTGTCCTTCCTCTTTCAGAACACACTTATGGCAACAGTGGAAGTTATACTGCCAAAAAGCTTTCCTTTGTGAAAAATAGAAGCTAAAAAAAATTAGAATTTTTTTTTTTTTTTTTGAGATAAGGTCTCACTCTGTTGCCCAGGCTGAAGTGCAGTGGTATGATCACTACAGCCTTGACCTTCCCGGCTCAAGCAATCCTCCCACCTCAGCCTCCTGAGTAGCTGGGACTACAGGCGTGCACCACCATGCCTGGCAATTTTTAAAATTTTTTGTAGAGACAGGGTCTCACTATGTTGCCAGGGCTGGTCTGAAACTCCTGGGCTAAGCCATCTGCCTGCATGGGCCTCCCAAAGTGTTCAGATTACAGGTATGGGTCACCATGCCCAGCCAAAAGTTAGTCTTTTATAACAGTGCAAAGTTCTTTCCACCTTAAATACCACCTTCTCATCTTTTACTATAGACTTGCAGAGAGTTGGCCTCTGATGGGCAGCTATTGGTGATAATGAAATGAATCCTCCTTTATGCTTCTGGGTTCATGGCTATTGTTACATTTTTTTTTTAAATAAAACTTACCTATTTGAAAGCCTAGTTTTAAGGTAAATATCTCTACGAATATGTTGTACTTTGCCCTAACTTGGCAAACAGAAAATATTGAATGAACATGACCAGTTGTGGTTGAATCAGACAGATCATGGGAAAAGTGGAAGGTTGTTGCCTGGTACATGGTTGAGACCCCAGACCTGGGTTTCAGGGAAGTGGAATTTGGTTCCCCTTCCACCTTCTTCGGTGGTTATTTAACTTCTCTAAACTTTATTTTTTTAATGTGTGAGATAACTGCCCACAGAGTTGTCTTCAGAGTTGACAGATTATATGATGTTATTTGTGTAAAAGTCCAGAATAGATAAATCCATAGAGACAGAAAGTAGACTACTGGTTGCCTGGGGCTGAGGGGAGGGTAACTGGGGTGTGACACCTAATTAGTAGGAGGTTTCTTTGGGGAGTGATAAAAGTGTTCTGCACTTGGGTTATGGTGATGGTTGGATAATTCTATGAATATGCTACAGCCATGTTCACTTTCAGTAGGTAAATTTTATTGTATGTGGGTTATATCTCAAAGATGTTTAACAAATTCATTGAGCTAATGCATATAAGGTATTTAACACAGTGACTAGCACATGGTGAATGAGCAGTAAATATTAGCTATTCTTAATATTACAAAACCATTTGCATTAGCAGTTATAGTCATATTAGAAAGACCTTTGCATTATGTTATATTTACCTACCAGATACCTACCCCAGTGGTATGGTCTGAATTGTATGGACCACTTGTTGGCAACCCTGTCTAGCCTGTTCCTCTTGCCCTTCACCTGCTAGGCTGGGTTGATGAGCAGCATTGCCAGTGATATCCATACACTGAAGGCAGAGAAGGGAAAATGTGTGACTGGGAGGCACAAATTATCCCCTCCCTCCAAGGACTGGTTTATGTTTAGGCCTCTGGTCCATTTGGAGATTTCATGTTTGTGTTTGGTGTGTGGTAGGTCTCTGACATCATTTTTTCCAAATGGATAGGCATCTAGCCTAATAACACTTATTGAATAGTAATTCCTTTTTCTCCACAGATGTAAATCAGAAAAAAATGAAAATCACACATGCACATGTATAACACATTATATAAATAATAATTAATTTGTTTAACTTTTTTTGGAGAGAGTCACTCAGTCATCCAAGTCAGAGTATAGTGGCACAATCATAGCTCACTGCAGCCTCGAGTTCCTGGGCTCAAGAGATCCTCACACCTCTGCATCCCTAATAGCTGGGACCACAGGGGTGTATCACCATGCCAGGCTAATTTTTTATTTTTTTGTAGATATGGCATTTCTTATGTTGTCCATGCTGAATAATTATGAAAAGCCACTCCAGGCTGGGCACGGTGGCTCACTCCTGTAATCCCAGCACTTTGGGAGGCCAAGATGGGTGGATCACCTGAGCCCAGGAATTTGAGACCAGCCTGGGCAACGTGGCGAGACCCAATCTCTACAAAAAATACAAAAATTAGCCAGGCATGGTAGTGCTTGTCTGTAGTCCCAGCTACTTTGGGGACTGAAGTGGGAGGATAACTTAACCCCTGGAGGTCAAGGCTGCAGTGAGCTGTGATTGTGCCACTACACCACAGCCTAGGTGACAGAGCAAGACCCTGTGTCAAAGAAAAAAAAGCCATGTCAGACCTAAAATATCTCAGAATTCATGAAATTTCCATATTGTTCATTTATTTAGAGAAAAGCATTAAGCAGTCCATGAAAAAATGTTAGGGTCTTCTTAGTAAGCTAATATAGTAAGCTACATTAGCCATTAGAGTCTTAAGTTATATTTCAGTTTACCTAACTTGAGAGAATGAAAGTTTTGTTTCTGCAGGTGCATTTTGGTTGAAAGAGCAGCTGAGATTTAGAAAAGATCTCAGCAAAGGTGCTGCAGGGTTGAAATGGAGAAAGTGGACCATCATTCACAGTGCGCTGCAATCAGCCTGGTGCATCATGGCCAGGGGAAGGGCAGAGGTATAGATGTGTCAGGACGTCTCTAAGGGGACAAGAGTTATTAGAGGAGGTGAAGAGACAAGAAAGGGCACAAAAATCTGCCTTTATTTATTTCACAGGCTTGCCAGTGTTGAAGAGTGTTAAGTTATAACTCCAAATAATATCCTTCAGTGGGATTTGATGATGATGAGGATAAGCCTGTCTCTTGATATAAAGAAACTAAGAATAACAATTGCTAGTCAATAAGAAGAGGTCGCTCTTCAGCTTTGCCTTATCCTCTGGCCAATCTCGGCATTTGGCTAGATGGATAGAGAATGTTAGATTCTTTTTGCTAATTTATTTAGAACTACTGTTGAATAAACCATTCAGATTAAATACAAAATGCAGACCAGGCATGGGAGGTAGCATTGCTTTCAAATTAGAAAAAGCACTTAGTTAAGTGGTAATAAATGAAATGGATTTTACTTTTTGTGAATTATACTTCTGTTGAAAGTCATTAGCTCCTTTCATTACAAAAGGCAAGAGCATAAATCATAGAACTTTCTTCTTTTCCCATCCTAATAAAGACACAACTTTTAAGACTCTGTCTTGATCACAGTTTTAAGGAA
This sequence comes from Homo sapiens, assembly GCF_000001405.40. Lineage (NCBI taxonomy): Eukaryota > Metazoa > Chordata > Mammalia > Primates > Hominidae > Homo > Homo sapiens. The sequence goes on along the minus strand of NW_025791772.1, from coordinate 76,936 downwards.
AAAGCTATCCTTGAAAGGGAAAGAGGTCAAAAACCACTACTTTGGGGTAGAATAGATACTGTTTCAAAATAAATAAACAGTTCCCTTTTGTTTTACTCTCTCAGCTTAAAAAAGCAAAAAGAAAACATACTGGGGGATATTTTAATTGAGATTTTCATCCTCCCTTAGCAAGGACACATTCTTCTTCAACTTGATAATAATTCCCTTGTTTGGCTCAACTGTGTGGTTTGCATCATGTACTCATAATGTAATTGTGTCAAGAGGACTCTAATGAGAAAAAAAAAATTGGTCTCAGAGTGAATAATAAATCCACCATCTATCCTGCACACTTCATTCACAGCCCTTTTCTCCCCCTAAGGATCCAAGCCACGCTCAGAAGCCTGTTGACAGTGGTGCTCCTCATGCTGTCGTTCTTCATGATTTCCCAGCAGGTAAGGATGTAAATAATGCAGTGGGAGAACCACAGGATCCAGGAGTAAGTCTTTTTCCCTGCCGGGGGTTAGCCTCTCAAGGACATCCTTCTTCATTTTTCTGTGCCTATAGAGTCCGAGACTGGAGAGGTCATCTTATCCAGGACTCCACTTCAAGAAGGGTTGATTGTACCAGCCATTCCAGAAAGCTTAGTTGTATACCCTTGCCTTTGAAGCTCCCTGAGAAAGAGAAAGAGAGAGAGAGAGACTTTCCCTTACAAATGAACATTGCAAATTGCCTACCAGTCACAAACTTTTTAACTCTTTCAAAATAGTGGGTACTAGGCCGGGCGCAGTGGCTCACGCCTGTAATCCCAGCACTTTGGGAGGCCGAGGCAGGCGGATCACGAGGTCAGGAGATTGAGACCATCCTGGCTAACATGGTGAAACCCCGTCTCTACTAAAAATACAAAAAATTAGCCGGGCGTAGTGGCGGGCGCCTGTAGTCCAGCTATTCGGGAGGCTGAGGCAGGAGAATGGCGTGAACCCGCGAGGCTGAGGTTGCAGTGAGCTGAGATCGCGCCACTGCACTCCGGCCCGAGGGACAGAGCGAGACTCCGTCTCAAAAAAGAAAAAAAAAAATAGTGGGTACTAATTAACAATTGTAATATGGCTGGGCACAGTGGCTTACACCTGTAATCCCAGCACTTTGTGAGGCCGAGGCGGATGGATCACCTGAGGTCAGGAGTCCAGACCAGTCTGACCAACATGTTGAAACCCCGTCTCTATAAATACAAAAAAGTAGCCGGGCATGGTGACGCATGCCTGTAATCCCAGCTACTTGGGAGGCTGAGTCAGGAGAATCACTTGAACCTGGGAGGCAGAGGTTGCAATGAGCTAAGATTGTGCCGTTGCACCCTGGGCAACAAGAGCAAAACCCCGTCTCAAAAAACAACAACAACAAAAAAATTGTAATAAAGTTAATCCTAACTTAATAACTGAAGTTCTTTTGTCTTCAAAGTTGTCTCAGCTGCTTACTTACCTATGAGATCAAAGTAATTTGTGTGTGTGTGTGTGTGTGTGTGTGTGTGTGTGTGTGTGTGTGTGTGAGACAAGATCTTGCTCTGTCGCCTAGGCTTGAGTGCAGTGGTGCAATCACTATAACCTTGAACTCCTGGACTCAAGTGATCCTCCTCCCTCAGCTTCCCCAGTAGCTAGGACTACAGGGGTGCCACTACACCTGGCTAATTTTTTTTTTTCCTAGGGACATGGTCTCGCTATGTTGCCCAGGCTGGTCTTGAACTCCTGGCCTCAAGTGATCCTCCCACCTTAGCTTCTTAAAGTGCTGAGATAACAGGCATGAGCCACCCATGCCCACGCACAATATAAGTACTTTTGTAATAATTTTTAAAATGCCCTTCATATCCAAGGCTACAAATAAACTCCTGATTTACTTACAATCTCTTTTTATCCACTTGATAGGCTGATTTTTGTTTTGGTATGGGTAAACTTATTTGCTAAAGAGTTGTAGTACTCCCTTAGTTAATATTTGAAATTAAAATGATTTTTAAGCATAATTGAGAATAATAATATTATACCATGTCTATAAACTTTTTTCATTGTTCAGTGTGTATTCAGCACGGCTTTATATTGGCACAGTAGGAAACATTTGCTAACACAATAGTGTTTTTTTCAACCATTTCCCATCAATCAAAGCATGGTAAATGTGTCTAATTTGGTCTTTAAAAAGGGAGCTCATAACAATGTCCAAAAAAAGAATAGCATTTTTTAAGTCAATTTGATTAGTATAATCTGTTCTCAGAATCAGTGGAACATAACTGCCTCAGTGGACACAACTAAATGCTACTTTGTGCTTTTATCAAATCTGCAACCAGGATGATTCATCATACATAACTATAATTTTATATTACAGAGCAAGTTGATGATTTGAACCTCACTTCTGGAGAAATTGTTTATCTTCTGGAGAAGATAGATACAGATTGGTACAGAGGGAACTGTAGAAACCAGATTGGCATATTTCCTGCCAACTATGTCAAAGTGATTGTAAGTGGGTTGTGTTTGTTTTAATTTGGTCATATACTCAGTGGGTTCTATGTGACTTGTAGGTTGGAAAAAATAACTAGAAACCCAGATTCTAGTTCTCTTTCATTGATTCATTTGGCATTTGGAAAATTCAAAAATAAAGATTTGGTCAACTAGGTGATGGTTAATTATTATATTATGGAGTGTTAGAACTTAATGCCTAAATGCTGTCTGAAATCCTAAAGTGAAAGACCACCACAGGTCAACTGGTGAATCAGCTGTTCTTGGAGAGTTGTTAAGCACTTAAGGATATATGGTAATTCTTTGAGACATTTAGTGAACATGAATTCAGTGATACTAGCTTATCCTGTAGAGATGTTCTCTGAGGTTATGGTACCACTTCTTTTCTTTGGAGTACATTTTGGTTTGAGTTTCTTTCATCTTTTCCATTCTTATTTATCTCCATCTTTAAAAAAAAATTTATTTGGGAATACAGAAGTATTTATATTGGAGATAGTGGTTCATTAATGGTTGTACCCACAAAATAATTTCTAATCTGATTAGGAAAATTATATTAAAGCACCAGAATTTTTATACCCTCACGGCCTAACTTGTGAAAGCATTCCTATGTGTGAGAGCTGTGTGTAAGCCCAGATGGCTGTGTGAAACATGGGGATAAAATCAGACTGCCCTCACACATTTGTATCAATTGGAATAGGATGACTCGGTCCCTGATATAACTTACTGATACTGTGAAATATCAATAAATTTAGCTTAACAGCATTAACAGCTTATTTGGAAGGAAAAAGTAAATAAATTCCATTACATCAGAATATTAGAAAACAAGACTAACAGAAAATCTGAATTCTTCAAATAGAAATGAATTTGAGTCTCTTGGATTATGAAGGGTAGGCATTAAACATTGTCCAGTGTATCTATGCCTTGATTCTTTGGAGAAATTCAACCACATTCTGTAAATTAATATTAAGAATAATGTTTGTTTTAGCACTCTTCCTCATTTTTCTTCTGCCCAATGTAGCAGTACTTTAAAAAGCACAATTACCACACTGAAATCAATCACACAGAATCTGCCACATTATTGGTATAAGTGTTATTTCTAAGCCCACAAGTTTAAAAAATTGTTTTAAAACTTCAAAACTTTAAAATTCAAGAAGGCACTGATTTAATATAAACCTCGAGCTTTAAGTAGTTTTAAATTGCATGCATTATAGCCAAATATTTTATTGCAACCCAGCCCTCCTCTACTGAGCCTTGTAAATGAGATATTATATTAAGTGCTTGGCTGGGCACAGTGGCTCATGCCTGTAATCCCAACACTTTGGGAGGCTGAGGCAGTAGGTAGGATCACTTGAGCTCAGGAGTTCAAGACCAGCCTGGGCAACATAGTGAGACCCTGTCCCCACAAAAAATTGAAAAATTAACTTGGCATGGTGTTACGCGTGTGTAGTCCCAGCTACTTGGGAGGCTGAAGTGGGAGGATGGTGTGAGCATGGGAGGGCAAGGCTGCAGTGAGCCATGATCACGCCACTGCACTCCAGCCTGGGCAACAGAGTGAGACCCTGTCTCAAAAAATAAATAAATAAAATAAAACAAAGTGTTGCCACTTAGTTTGCTAAATACAGATTCCTTTCTTCCCTATTCATGTTGAAGGGGGAAAATATTTCAGTTATAAATGTGAAGAGAATCCACAAGTTGTTTTTGTTTTGTTTTGTTTTGTTTTGTTTTGTTTTGTTTTGTTTTGTTTTTGAGACAGTCTCGCTGTTGTCACCCGGGCCGGACTAGTCTCGAACTCCTGATCCTCCCAGAGTGCTGGAATTACAGGCGTGAGCCACTGTGCTCAGCCCGAGAATCCAAAGTTTTATTGAAATGTTTTATCTTGGGGTCAGAGAAGCATTGCAGGATTCTACCAACACTTGGAGTAGGTGTGGCAGGGCTAATGCCTGATTTCTATGTTAAGTCCTTCTCAGCTGCAGTTTTCAACCTGGAAAATATGGTATAGAGCTGGCAGGGTGCGGCAGCTCACACCTATAATACCAGCACTTTGGGAGGCTAAGGCAGGCAGATTGCTTGAGTCCAAGAGTTCAAGACCAGCCCAGGCAACAATGGTGAAACCCTGTCTCTACTAAAAATACAAAAATTTGCCGGGTGTGGTGGTGCACACCGGTAGTCCCAGCTACTTGTGGGGCTAAAGCAAGAGGATCACTTGAGGCTGGGAGGTCAAGGCTGCAGTGAGTTCTGATTGTGCCGCTGCACTCCAGCCTGGGTGACAGAGTAAGATCCTGTCTCAAAAAAAAAAAAAAAAAAAAAAAATGAGATAGAGAAAATTCAGTCAGAATTAGAGTGATATTAATGTGGTTATTCCAGTAAATAAGAGAATTGATTGGCTACTCAAGGAAGGCTACTTCACAAGTTACACTTTTTTTTTAATCCAAATTCAGGATTTGTTTTACCATTTAGCACCTGTAGTTCCTCTTAATCAGATTAACACCTAGCTAAACCGATCGATTTCAGTCATGTACTTTCTAATTACTTAACCTTAAATTTATCTTATGAAAATCTGAAAAAAATATAATTGTTGCCTTGATTTTATCTTTGCTAGATTGATATCCCAGAAGGAGGAAATGGGAAAAGAGAATGTGTTTCATCTCATTGTGTTAAGTAAGTTTTATTTGTGTTCTTTTACACAAAATACAAAGGAGATAACCATCTATATCATGAAGAATTATCAAGCTTAAAACACTCCAAGGCCAGGCATGGTGGCTCAGACCTGTATCCCAGTACTTTGGGAGGCTGAGGTGGGAGGATTGCTTGATGCCAGGAGTTCAAGACTAACCTGGGCCACATAGCAAGAACCCATCTCTATTATTTATTTATTCTTTATTTTAAAAGAAAACACTTCATATGGTGATAATTCAGATTCTCATCGTGTCTTTTTAATTACAAAGAAAACTTGTTTAAAAGGTGACAATGGGTTAAAATTCTGATGAAAATACATCATGAACCTGCTGATAGAAGCTTACCTAAGCAACTCTCCAACATCAGTGCAGGACATAAAGAAAGCAGCAAAGACAGTCTATGCCAGTGCTTCCTGCAGCCTGGTCTCAGCATGAGCAGAGATAGTTTCATCATTTACTGCATTTTATTTTGGCCATCTGGTGTTCACCCAGTTTTTAGAAGGTTCAAGTATTTTTGTCATGAGAAATAATTAAATCCTATAGAAATATGAATCCTACAATAACTGCTAGACATTTTGTATGTTTTTGTTTTTAAGAGGAACTAGAAGAAAGTGAAGGAAGAGTTAAGTTGAAGGGGTTTTCCTTTATCTCTGAGGACGTTTCCCTGAATTTATATACCCTTTTATGTGTCATTGTAACTCCTTTGTGATTTAAAGCACTGCCACAATGCAACTTTATATTCTAGTTAAATGAGCAAATTAATAGAATTCATTACCTGCTGAAGACTGTAAACCTGTCTATGAATAGGTCAGACATAAGCAGATGCTCCCAGAGGACTTTAGAAAACAAATGCAAAGGTTATCACAAATAAGAAAACTTCTGATCCACAATAGTTGAATTCTATTTCAGATTCAGTTTTTCTCTATTTTTAAGCAGCATATACTGTGTCTCAGCAGGTTGAATTCGAAGTGGGCTTTTACAGTCATTGACCCATTGATCTGACTTAAATCAGAATTCTATTAAAGCTAGAATCAACCTTTTCTTTTTAGGCAATTGCTTCTCCTTAGCCTGTTGCTATTGAAACTTCCTTTCTAAACCCTCAAATCTAGGGATTAGTATTAAAGCACACCTTCTAGAGACACAATTTTATCTCTGCTTTTATCTTATTTTCAGTCAAAATTGCAGATCATGTAAGGATTGTTCCAAATGTCAGAAATGAAGCCCTTTTAAAGGAGATTAAAAAAATCATTTTTAAAGGCAACAGGGTTAGTTCCAAGACTGTGTGTTATGATATGCCAAGTTTCTGTTTTCTTTAAACCTCCTAGTTTTTAAGGCCAGCTCACTGATTAATTGAGCATCTATTGAACATCAACTTTGCCCAGCTGATGCCCATTGCATTCTGCCCTGATTAGTAGTCAGAAAATTTGATTAATTGCCCTGAGATTCTCAGGGTTAGCACTCCTCAACTCAGTGCATTTATGATTGGAAGGGTTCAGACTGGACCACGGATTGCTGTGGCCCAAGGATACAAACATACGGAGACTGGGGAGTAAGAAGATCAAAAGACACAGCAGGGTAAACTAACCACCCAGCTGCGTGCACTCCGCGACCTTGAGCTTCAGCCTTTCTGAGTGAATAGGTTCATATCTGTTACTTAAAAGTGTAACTTACTCTTTTTCATGGAATAATTTCAAATTAGCCTAGTATACCTTATTCCATGGTAAACCCAGAATAAATATTTATTGAAAGACTGAATGAAGGTTTTTAAGCATTTTAAAAGCACTCTCTAGTCTAATCCACAAAATGTGTTCTTCATTCAGAGGCTCAAGATGTGTTGCTCGGTTTGAATATATTGGAGAGCAGAAGGATGAGTTGAGTTTCTCAGAGGGAGAAATTATTATTCTTAAAGAGTATGTGAATGAGGAATGGGCCAGAGGAGAAGTTCGAGGCAGAACTGGGATTTTCCCCCTGAACTTTGTGGAGCCTGTTGAGGATTATCCCACCTCTGGTGCAAATGTTTTAAGTGAGTATAGAGAATTTTTTTTATTATGTTATGTCCTAATTCAAATAAACCAAATAATATCATTATACTTAAGCTGTATAATAATCCATATTGCCATATTTTTACGGTAGAAGGAAAACTGATTTTAAAATGGGAATTTGTGTGGGATAGACATTATTTGTGGGCATCTCTCAAAGAGCTGGTTTTGGTATTTTAGGTAATTAGCAATAGCTTCATATAAGAAATGGCAAAGAGGCTGGGTATGATGGCTCAGACCTGTAATTCCAACACTTTGAGAGGCCACGGTGGGCGGATTGCCTGAGACCAGGAGTTCAAGGCTGCAGTGAGCTATGATTGTACCACTGCACTCCAGCCTGGGCAACAGAGCCAGACTCTGTATCTAATAAATAAATAGCAAAGACTTTTAAACAGAAATGAACTATAGACTGTTACTAATGTATATAGACTATAAATAGTTGTGTTTACAATTAACTAAACAAGCTCAGTGAAGTTAGTACAGGTTAACGCAACATAGACAATACATGAAGAGACCGGAGTGGAATCCCAGAGTCTTCACTCCCACCTCCCACCTCAACCATTTGTTTTTAATACTATGTGGCCTTCACATCTAATGTTCTGACTTCTTGTGTTTGTTTGTTTTTTTAATGTAGGCACAAAGGTACCACTGAAAACCAAAAAAGAAGATTCTGGCTCAAACTCTCAGGTAGGCTGCTTGAACAGATGACTATAGTGACAGCCAGGTTCAGACTCTGGGAGGAATATTAAAATCATAATTTTCAAGAGAATATAGTATGAATTAATTTTTCAATTCATACAACAAATGTTTGTAATAAATTCTTAGATGGTTAATATATTTTATATAGAGAGCTCATACAAAAACATGTAAACCCTGATAGAAAATGAAAACAGAGACTGGGCAGAGTGGCTCATGCCTGTAATCCCAACACTTTGGGAAGCCAAGGCAGGTGGATTACCTGAGGTTAGGAGTTCGAGACCAGCCTGGCCAACATGGTGAAACCCTGTCTCTACTAAAAATACAAAAATTAACCAGGCATGGTGGCGTGCACCTGTAGTCCCAGCTACTTGGAAGGCTGAAGCAGGAAAATAGCTTGAACCTGGCGGTGGAGGTTGCAGTGAGCCAAGATAGCACCACTGCATTCCAGCCTGGGTGGCAGTGCGAGACTCTATCTCAAAAAAGAAAGAAAGAAAATGATAAAAGAGACATGATTAGAGAATTCATAAAAGAGGCTGTGCGCGGTGGCTCATGCCTGTAATCCCAGCACTTTGGGAAGCCGAGGCGGGCGGATCATGAGGTCAGGGGATCGAGACCACCCTGGCTAACACGGTGAAACCCCGTCTCTACTAAAAATACAAAAAAAATCAGCCGGGTGTGGTGACCAGCGCGCGTATTCCCAGCTACTCAGGAGGCTGAGGCAGGGGAATGGCGTGAACCCGGGGGGCAGAGTTTGCAGTGAGCCAAGATTGCGCCACTGCACTCCCGCCTGGGAGACAGAGCAAGACTCTGCCTCAAAAAAAAAGAAAAAAAGAAAAAAAGAATTCATAAAAGAGATACCATAAGTGGCTAATATTGAAAAAATATTTAACCTTTCTAATAATCAAGAAAATATATAATAAAGCAGCAATAAAATACCATTTAACCTATTCAGTTAACAAAGATTCAGTGCAGCTCAGCACTAAACAAGCAATTATAAGCATGTGAGTGTTAAAAAAAAAAGAGAGAAAGTACACATTCTTATTTGTCACCCTAAGAAAAGGATAAAAAATGAGATAGGGTTTTAGTCACAAAGATGAGCATAGTGCTAATATAATAAGAAAAAATTGGAAACAACCTAAATATGACCATTATTGGGAGAATATTCTAAAGCTATGAAAAACTAGATTTATCAAATAAAATAATGTTTTTAAATGTCATGAGAGGAAACATAGGGAAAGGGGATATAAAATTGAATATATAGCATAAAAAGACTGGAAGGAAATTATTCAAGTTACTAGTATTAAATTGCATCTAGGTAGTGAGATTATATATACGGGTAGGTTTTTTTCCCCCACTTCTTTTTTTTTTTTCTTTTTTTTGAGACGGAGTCTTACTCCGTCGCCCAGGCTGGAGTGCAGTGGCGCAGTCTTGGCTCACTGCAACCTCTGCTGCCGGCTTCAAGTGATTCTCCTGACTCAACCTCCTGAGTAAGCTGGGTTTACAGGTGCCTGCCACTGTGCTTCGCTAATTTTTGTAGTTTTAGCAGAAACGGGGTTTTACCGTCTTGGCCAGGCTGGTCTTGAACTCCTGACCTCGTGATCCACCCACCTCGGCCTCCCTAAGTGCTGGGATTACTGGCATGAGCCACTGCGCCTGGCCTTCTCCATTTCTTTATACGTTTCTCAACTTTCCAAATATTTAGGAACATTTGTTTCATTTGTATAATGAGAAAGAGAAAAATAGTGGGTTAAAATTTTTACACTGTTCAGCATGACCCCAGAAATGCTTAAAGGTACTAGGAATGTGGTGCCTTCTGTTGTTTTTAGTTTTTTGTTGTTTTTGGTTTTATTTTGGTTTTTTTGTTTTGTTTTGTTTTGTTTTTTTGAGACAGGATCTCACTCTGATGCCCAGGCTAAGTGCAGTGTCGAGGTCTCAGCTCACTGCAACCTCTGCTTCCCAGGCTCAAGCAATCCACCTCAGCCTCCTAAGTAGCTGGGATGACAGGCACACACCACCACTCCCAGCTAATTTTTGTATTTTTTGTAGACAGGGTCTCATTTTGTTGCCCAGGCTGGTCTCAAAATCCTGGGCTCAAGCGCTCCACCTGCCTCAGCCTCCCAAGGTACTAGGATTACAGGGGTGATCCACCACATCCGGCCTTCCATTGTTTTTTGTGACAAATTTAGAAGAGTTAAGCCTGATGGGATCATTGTGTTTGTGAAAATGTCACTTGTAATTGGCCTGTGTGTCCCTTAATTCTTTATCCCTACCCACTGATAAAGTGAAACAGGAAGGAAACTGACTACAGTTCTCCAAAAGGAAATGTTCACATGGTTGTTGCCTGCATTTTTGGAGAATGATAAGTTCCATCCTTTAGGGTTGGTTACTCAAGTGCAGGAGCAAGAGGGGGTTAGTGTTGTTTGCTTGCTTTTTGTTTTTGTTTTATAAGCCATCAGTTATTGAGCACTTAAGATGTGCCAGGCACTGGGCTAAATGTTAGACATGCATTGTCTCATTTAATCCTCTTAGTAACCCCAAGATGAAGCTGAGCCTCAGAGAAGAGAAGCGTCTTGCCCAGTGTCACGAAGTTAAGAAGTGGCAGAACTGGGTCTGGAAACCTTGCCTGTGTAGCTCCAAAGCCTTTGTCCCGGCCAGGCGCTGAGGCTCACTCCTGTAATCCCAGCACCTTGGGAGGCCAAGGCAGGTGGATCGCTTCAGGCCAGGAGTTCGAGACCAGCCTGGCCAACATGGTGAAACCCCGTCTCTACTAAAAATACAAAAATTAGCTGGGTGTGGTGGTGTGCACCTGTAGTCCTAGCTAATCGGGAGGCTGAGGCAGGAGAATTGCTTGAACCCGGGAGGCAGAGGTTGCATTGAGCCAAGATTGCATCATTGCCCTTCAGCCTGGGCAACAGAGCGAGACTCCATCTCGAAAGAAAAAAGCCTTTTCATTATCCTCTACTGCCTTCTTGAGCCTCTTGAACATAGGGTTCCCATCCCAAATTGGCAGAGCTGCCTCTTCACAGAGCAAAACCTTTCTCTAATGTGCCTGGGATAAAAGTGTTCTTACACTAGCCCACCACATCTGGGTGTTATCCTGCCAATCTTAGAGTTAACTACAGCTCATAAAATTAAAAGTGTGAATTGATGAAGTTCTGTGCTATGGACTCTAATTGTCTCTGAATCAAGTAAAGACCTGGGAATTCATAGACCAACCCATTCTGATCCTTCCTAATTTAAATAAAGAAGAGCTTCACTGATAATTACATACTTTATCAGAATTTTTTCATAGTGTCAAATACTATGCATAAATATTTTATGCTTTTACCTAATTCTTTAATATAACAATATAATAGGTCATATTAAGAAAAAAGTTTTTTGGCTGAGTGAGGTGGATCATGCCTGTAATCCCAGAAGTTTGGGAGGGTGGGAGGATCACTTGAGCCAAGAGTTCAAGACCAGCCTGGGCAACATAGTGAGACTTCATTTCTGCAAAAATAAAATAAAATTAAATAGCCGAGTGTGGTGGCTGCACCTGTAGTCCCAGCTACTCGGGAGGCTGAGGAGGGAGGATTGCCTGAGCCCAGGAAGTCAAGGCTGCAGTGAGCTATGATTCTGCCACTGTACTCCATCCTGGGTTACTAAGTAAGAACTTGGCTCAGAAAAGAAAATAAAGAAAGTAAAAAAGTGTTTGCTTAAGCTTTGTATATCCCTTAAAAGCAGAAAAGCCACAAATTCTATCACACTTGTCATTTAGAGTTATAATTTAAGAAAAAATTATTGGAAACTTTTACTTCTGAAACTTGATAGCAACATAAAGTATTAGATAATTTAAAGAAGCCTTCAGGCTTTGAAATCTTAAGACCCCTTAGTTTTTTTTTCCCCACTACTTTTTAAGCTTTGTAGAACTCAATTTCAAATAAAATCTTACACTTCTGACCACACCTCTAATTTGATAACAGGTTAACAGTCTTCCGGCAGAATGGTGTGAAGCTCTTCACAGTTTTACAGCAGAGACCAGTGATGACTTATCATTCAAGAGGGGAGACCGGATCCAGATTCTGGAACGTCTGGATTCTGACTGGTGCAGGGGCAGACTGCAGGACAGGGAGGGGATCTTCCCAGCAGTGTTTGTGAGGCCCTGCCCAGGTATGACAACCGCAAGACATGAATGCGACTCCTCACGGGGAGCCTGAAACCTTCAAAACTATATACATTCCTTTCCCCTCTGGCCATGCTCAGTTTGTCTGTCTATATTTGAAAGAGCTGATACATGAAGTTATGCAAACTTCATTCATATGCTTTGTTAGAGTTATAGAAAAAAAAGATAATGTCTTCACTAAATAATGGCTAATTCCATCTAATAAATATAGTTTACGTAATTTTTCCCTGCTAAAAGAACATTGTTCATCTTTTTGAAAGTTAAATAAGTTCAAAATTAATTGAACATGTTTTTAAAAATGTTTTTCTTTGCCTAATATCACTACCTCTGAAGAGAAGATACTGTGTTTTTAGAGCGATAAGCGTTTTTTTTTAAAAAATGTTAGATTTGTGTTTTAGTCCACTGTGTTTCTATATATTTAAATTTTTTATGTCTTCACAGCTGAGGCAAAAAGTATGTTGGCCATAGTACCGAAGGGGAGGAAGGCCAAAGCCTTATATGATTTCCGAGGGGAGAATGAAGATGAACTTTCCTTCAAGGTCAGAATGTGTATCTCTTCATAACTGCATTAAGCACTATAATTTTTTAAATGTTTTCCATTGAAGGATGGAACATTTGGGTGGAATATTAATCATTACTCAAGAATGAAGAGATCTCAGGCCCTGATTCTAGGGGAAGACATTAGAGAAAGTGAACAGTGCAAATAGGCCTGTTAATTTACAGTATCAACCAGGCATTAATGTACTTAGAGAAAACCTTGGCTTTACACCCCCATACATCCCCAAAGTAATCCCTGTTCCTTGGTCTTAGGTCATCAGATCTCAGTAATATTAGGGTTTTTATTAGTAGCCCTGGTAACAGATGACTGTCTACATGGCCCTGCAAGCCTGCCATTGATGTGTCTTTGAAATTGATGGAGAATCAGATAGCACCTGCTACAATTTGCACTAGTAGCATAGTAGCCTCATAAGACACTAAATTCCTTTGGGAGGCCGAGGTGGGGGGATCACGAGGTCAGGAGATCGAGACCATCCTGGCTAACACGGTGAAACCCCGTCTCTACTAAAAAATACAAAAAAATTAGCTGGGCATGGTGGCAGGCGCCTGTAATCCCAGCTACTGAGGAGGCTGAGGCAGGAGAATGGCATGAACCCGGGAGGTGGAGCTTGCAGTGAGCCGAGATTGCACCACTGCACTCTTGTCCACAAAGGCAATGACCAGAGGTTTGGGGAAATAGTCCCAAAAGGTTGAGCTAGTTTGCAAAGGTTTTTTTTTTTTTTTTTTTCACCGAAGAAATGCCTAATTTCTTCTTAAAGTAAAAGTAGATATTTTCTTTTCTTTTTTTTTTTTTTCTTTTTTGAGACAGAGTCTCGCTCTGTCACCCAGGCTGGAGTGCAGTGGGGCGATCTCGGCTCACTGCAAGCTCCACCTCCCGGTTCACGCCATTCTCCTGCCTCAGCCTCCCGAGTAGCTGGGACTACAGGTGCCCGCCACCATGCCCAGCTAATTTTTTTGTATTTTTTTTAGTAGAGACGAGGTTTCACCATGTTAGTGAAGATGGTCTTGATCTCCTGACCTGGTGATCCGCCCACCTCAGCCTCCAAAAGTGCTGGGATTACAGGCGTGAGCCACCGCGCCCGGCCAAAAGTAGATATTTTCATGATTCTATTTCCCTAATCCACAACTGGACCATAGTCAGAGGAAAGCACTTTGGGAACAGTGCTAGAAGAAGGAGGGTGGTTTTAGTAGTCACTGCTGTCAAAATAGCCTGTGTCAGGCAGTGGTAAATTCTCTGTCATTGAAGATATTCAGTCAGAGGAAAGGATGCCATAGAAAGAATTAACATATCAAGGAATGATTGGACAAGGTGTGGTTTAAAACAGTGGACAACCAAACAGGGTTTTCACTTGTCTGCAACAAGATGAGAAAAAGGCCGAGCAACAGTGGCTCACACCTCTAATCCCAACACTTTTGGGAAGTCAAGGCAGGAGGATCGCTTGAGGCCAGGAGTTTAAAACCAGCCTGGTCAACATGGCAAGACCCCATCTCAACAAAGAAAAAGAGGAAAACAAGGCAATACCTGAATCAGGTATGTGCAGCCTTTGTCGGGGTAAGGGGGGATGCCTTGACTGAAATATGTCACCATAAAGTTGCTAACTTCCTATTTTGTGATGGGGTTTTACTTTATTCTGAATAATAAAATGTTATTTCATCTTTTTGTATTAAATGTCATTTCTGTTATAATATATTGTTAGCAAATAATAGATATTTCTTATTCTTCCTTCCTTTCTTTTTTTTTTTTTTTTTTTTTGTTTTTGAGATGGAGTCTCGCTCTGTCGCCCAGGCTGGATTGCAGTGGCATGATCTCGGTCTGCCTCCTGGGTTCAAGCAATTCTTCTGCCTCAGCCTCCCAAGTAGCTGGGACTACAGGCACACACCACCACACCTGACTAATTTTTGTATTTTTAGCAGAGACGGGGTTTCACCATACTGGCCAGGCTGGAATCAAACTCCTGACCTCGTGATCTGCCTGCCTCAGCCTCCAAAAGTGCTGGGGTTACAGGTGTGAGCCACCATGCCCGGCCTCTCTCTCTTTCTTTCTTTCCTTTCTTTCCCTTCTTTCCTTTCCTTCCTTTCTTTCTTTCTTTCTTTTTTTTTTTTTTTGGTTTTGTTTTGTTTTGTTTTGTTTCTGAGACAGGGTCTCACTCTGTTGCCCAGGCTGAGGTGCAGTGACACAATCTCAGTTCACTGTGCAGCCTCAGCTTCCTGGGCTCAAGCGATTCTCCACCCCTCAGCTCCCTGAGTAGCTGGGACTACAGGTGTGAGCCACCAATGCCTGGCTAATTTTTGGTATTCTTTGTAGAGACTGGGTCTCACCCAGGCTGGTCTCAAACTCATGAGCTCAAGGCGATCCATCCGCCCCAACCTCCCAAAGAGCTGGGTTACAGGCATAAGTCACCACACCCAGCCATAAATGATAGGTATTTCTTATGCTGTAAGCTATGCAAAATTAAAAACTCGTAACCTTCTATCAGTTCCCTTTTTTTCCTTTAACATCTTGGTCTTTAAAACAAAATTTAAAAAAGAAAGAAAGAAAGAAAGAAAACTGTTGCCTTAGTCCTTGAGAGTCAGTGGCTCAAAATGTATCCCGTTTATCTTTACATAAACTTACTGCAAGTGAAGAATCTGAATTCAAACTTCTTGGATGTTATTTTGGTCTTCATTTAAACTATGTGAGTATAAATAACAGAATGCACAGTATCCTCCAGAAAACAGGTTATCTTCATTTCATTTTACAAATGGTTGTCCATAAGATAGTTCTAGAATTGTTAGAATTGTTGTTGTTATTGTTGTTGTTAAGGGATTCTGCACTGCTTTCAGTTTTATTAAATATCCACAGAATGTTAATAGATAAAACTAATTTTTTTTTTTTTAGAGAAGGAGTCTTGTTCTGCTGCCCAGGCTGGAGTGCAGTCAGCGGCGCGATCTCGGCTCACTGCAACCTCCGCCTCCTGGATTCCAGCAATTCTCCCGCCTCAGCCTCCTGAGTAGCTGGGACTACAGGTGCATGCCACCATGCCCAGCTAATTTTTTGTATTTTAGTAGAGACAGGGTTTCACTGTGTTGCCGGGCTGGTCTTGAACTCCTGAGCTCAGAAAATCCACCTGCCTTGGCCTCCCAAAGTGTTAGGATTACAGGAGTGAGCCACTGCACCCGGCCAAAACTAATTTTTGAAAATAGCCCTAGCCTGGCTGGGTGCAGTGGCTCACGGCTGTAATCCCAGCACTTTGGGAGGCCAAGGTGAGTGGATCACCTGAGGTCGGGAGTTCAAGACCAGCCTGACCAACATGGAGAAACCCTGTCTCTGCTAAAAAATACAAAATTAGCCAGGTGTGGTGGTGCATACCTGTAGTCCCAGCTACTCAGGAGGCTGAGGCAGGAGAATCTCTTGAACCTGGGAGGCGGAGGTTGCAGTGAGCCGAGATCTTGCCATTGCACTCCAGCCGGGGCAACAAGAGCAAAACTCCATCTAAAAAAAAAAAATAGTCCTAGCCCTCAGGAAACTGACATGGTATGTAGGTTTGGACCAGACCTAAATAAAATAGCTTCAGTTAACTATTAAATTATAATTTAGGAACCAGAAGGAACTTATTTATAACAAAAACTTTGAATTGCCAGAATTTTTACAGATTTTAGCAGAGCAGAGTAAATTAATAACATCTGATTGCATGTTTCCTTTTCATTTTCCATAAAGAAAAGCCTTAAATCAAGCCATTTTTTTTTCCAGAGGGTAATGTACTAGGGCTACAAATAAATTCATTTAGCCCAATAAAGGTAGTCTTAACAGTAGCCAGAGTCATCTGGGACCATTGTAGCATCTTAAACACAGATTCTAAGAAATGTTTAGAAACTATAAAGAACAAAATAGTTATGTCTTCATCTGCTGAAGGAATTCTAATTTGCACATGAATAAGACACACAGCCCCTTTGACTAACCTGATGAAGATAAAACAGTGTCCTGAGTCAAGGTGAAGCTCTTTAAGATGGGAAAAAAATGCAAATTTGATATTGAGGCCATGGCAGGAGAATCACTTGAACCTGGGAGGCAGAGGTTGCAGTGAGCCGAGATCGTGCCACTGCACTCCAGCCTGGGCCACAGAGCGAGACTTTGTCTCAAAAACAAAAGATACTGGGGCCATAGGAGGAATGTGATAAACCAGATGGTAGAGGAGAAATGCCATTATGTGCAAGAATAAATGTAGAGTGCAAAATGCTCTGGGTGTTGATAAAAGGCAATTACAGTAAAAGCCTTTCTAAGTAAAAAGGTCCATTGTAAAATCTGGCGGCCACATAGCCTAGTGGTTAGGAATATAAGCCCAGGAATTGCACTAGATTTGAATCCTGGTTCTACCACTAACTAGACATGCGACACTGGCAAGTTATGTAGTCTATCTGAGTTTTGGTTTCTTTTTCACTAAAATAAGGAAATCTATAAAAATATATCTCAGCCAGGGGCAGTGGCTCACGCCTGTAACCCCAACACTTTGTGAGGCCAAGGTGGGCGGATCACAAGGTCAGGAGTTTGAGACCAGCCTGGCCAACATGGTGAAACCCTGTCTCTACTAAAAATACAAAAAATAGCTGGACGTGGTGGCAGGCACCTGTAACCCCAGCTGCTCGGGAGGCTAAGGCAGGAGAATTGTTTGAACCCGGGAGGCAGAGGTTGCAGTGAGCCGAGATTGCACCATTGCACTCCAGCCTGGGTGACAGAGCGAGACTCCGTCTCAAAAAAAAAAAAAAAAAAAAAAGTCTCTAAAATGAGGATAACATAGTACTCATCTCTAGGACTTTGGTGGTGTTTACATAAGAGTTAGTTCCTGTGAAGTACACAGAATAAGACAAGGCATACAGGAAGCACATGACTCACTTTCTCATCTCCAAATCTTTGCCTATATGACACCTTCAGTGAGGCCCTCCCTTGATGGCCCTAATGAGTTGGCAATCCCATGCTTTCTGTCCTCTTCTGCCAGTTTATTTGCCTTCCCGTTGTAGAATGAGGGAATATTAATTGTGCTCAGAACAGTGTCTGACACATAGTGGGTACTCAATAAATAATCGTGTGTGTGTGTGTGTGTGTGTGTGTGATAACTGGTATTATTTGTTCAAGAGGGATTTTAGATTAGGAGTGGTGAATTTGAGAGGCACAAAGTATAAGAGGGAAAATCAAAGTGCAGCAAGGGTGGCAGTGGCAAAGGAATGAGATTTAAGGGATAGAGGCTTACAAGCAAATGGCATCATTAGGTATAGATCATTGTTGTCATTTAATTCTCAACAATCAAGATAAATGAGTTATACAGAGAAGATTATTCATGCTGCCCTAGGTAGGCCACTATTTACCATGCTTATTCTCAACAGAAACCAGTAATTCTAACTCCTTTTGTCTTACAGGCTGGAGATATAATAACAGAGCTGGAATCTGTAGATGATGACTGGATGAGTGGAGAACTTATGGGAAAATCTGGAATATTTCCCAAAAACTACATACAGTTTCTACAGATCAGCTAGAGGAGAAGCTTGTCTGTGTTCCTTGGCACAAGAACTCACTTGAACTATCACCTTGACTATCAGATATGTTTTTGCACTATTTTTTTTAACTGAAAAAGAAATATCTAAGCTGTACATGGTACACTAGAATTTTCTGAAAGCAGAAAACGTTCAGATTTTGTAGTTAATTTTCATTACAATAGAAACATGCACATGGAAACCCATGAGCTAGGATTCTACCGAGGAAAACATCTAGTGGGATTAGCAAGGTGAAGGGAAAGCATCTGGTGGCATGGCAGCATGGGGAGGCTCACACACAGAAGTTGCACGTGGACATCTGTTTTAATCAGCACAAGTGAATTAACCATGCTTCTTCATTTTTTTACTTTAGTTAAAAAAGAGGACATTTAATATTCTACATGCTGTAACTATCAGGACATGGTTAGCAATCTCAATTTCATTTTTGATATTCAAATTAATTCTTACAGCTTGAGCATATCAGCCTTATTACCAGAGCAAATCCTTCCTTCAGATGGGATAGTTTACTGACTAGTTGGAGCATTTGTAAGCACATGGTGAAATCAGCCCCTGCCCACCAAAATAATCTTTATGTTACCAAGTGATTCCCATTTGTCTAAGGATTTGAAGGGGGTCTAAATTGGATGTATCTTACTTAGTCTAAAGAACCAAAACCATCCCTGAAATGCCTTGCTAATACAACTAATCCTTCCATATATGTGCCATACTTATTTTTTTCCTCAGTGTATACTTTATGTTAACAGGGTTATTACAAAGCACATTTTCTGAATCTGCAATCATTCCTTTGACAATTACTGGACCCAAAGGAAAATTCATTTTCTTTGCATTATTCCAGTAATATATAAAAACTGTGTCTTGTTATAGTAGTACATTATGAATCACATATAAAATCTTACAATACAGAACAACTGTTAAGATGGAAAACAGTGCCAAACCTCCACAGCTCATTTCTTTGTAATATAATCAGAATGAAAAATAATTTAAGAGGACAGAAGACTGGTACTTTTTTGTTTTATTTTTTCTCTAGCTTATCCCTGCACAATTATTAGAGTGAATGAAAAACCACTTTCCTGCTTTCCATTGTTATAAATTCTAAGCTTAAGATAAAAGTGGTTCTTTACATGACTGAATCAATTACAATTTATGGGCTAGAGCCAAATAGGTTGAAGACAATCATCCAAACAGATCAATGGAATAGAATTTCATTGGAAATGTAAAACACTTTCCCAACAATGGTCATGACTTTCTTCTGTTTTTGAGAAGAGTTTCATATGCTGGACCACATTTTAGCTTTTATTGTTTTTTTTTTCCCATTGTCCAAAAAGTTAAGCAACAAGTGGCCACACTTTTACGTGACTACAACCTGGAGTTCTGCAAAGAAGGTAATATTTACTTGGTCTTTGACTAAAGTTATCTCCCCATTCTATGGTTACATTTTATTTTGGACTATGGGGACTTCTAATACGTTTTGGTAAAGAAGAGAGTATAAAGAAAATTCTTGTCAAATTTCACTCAAAAGTAATTTCATGAGAAATCAATGATTTAAAGCATTATCCAAATTAAATTATCATTTGCAGCAAACTGTACAACAGCAGGAAGGATATGGAATGGAACATGAGGTATATATCTTTGCCTTTATAATTTTAACATCTTATATTGAAGATTCTGAAAACCTATCTTTATTAGAGGAAAATCTCAATCTTCAGTTTTGGCCTTCTGTCAGCAGAATGATAAGTGCAATAGTTGTAAATCTACTTGACACTGTAATAAACTGAACTGAACTTTCAAAGTCCCTTTCTCATACTAGACTGAGTTTTTTGAGAATGGAGGTGGTATCTTTTTTTTTTTTTTTTTTGAGACAGGATTTAATTCCCTTTGACCAGGCTGGAGTGCAATGCAATGTTGGCTCACTGCAGCCTCTGCCTCCTGGGCTCAAGTGATTCTCCTGCCACAGCCTCCTGAGTAGCTGGGACTACAGGCGCACACCACCGTGCCCAGCTAATTTCTGGTATTTTTTTTTCTTTTTGTAGAGACAGGGTTTCGCCATGTTGCCCAGGCTGGTTTCAAACACCTGGGCTCAAGCAGTCTGCCTGCCTCAGCCTCCCAAAGTGCTGGTATTACTGCACCTGGCCTGTGGTACCTTATTTATCTTTGTATCTCTAGTCCTTTGCACCATTCAGCCTCAATAAAGGTTGGTTGGTGGGTTGGGTGAGTTGGTTGGTTGGAATGGATGGATGGATGGATGAATGACTTTCACATACAGCAATACCATCTTGGATTCACTCAATATCTTTCCTCTTTAATTTTTGACATAAATCTATACTAAAAATTCACAGTTTTATGTCATTTCACTCTCATGTTCTATGTTGTGCTTGCCACTTATTACCTACTCAACTGACAGGAAGCAAAAAGGTAACATATGGGCTCTCGTAGATACTTTCTTTTTTTTTTTTTTTTTTTTGAGATGGAGTCTCCCTCTATCGCCCAGGCTGGAGTGCGGAGGCACGATCTTGGCTCACTGCAAGCTCCACCTCCAGGGTTCACGCCATTCTCCTGCCGCAGCCTCCTGAGTAGCTGGGACTACAAGCGCCCACCACCACGCCCGGCTAATTTTTTGTATTTTTAGTAGAGACGGGACTTCATCGTGTTAGCCAGGATGGTCTCGATCTTTTGACCTCGTGATCCACCCACCTCGGCCTCCCAAAGTGCTGGGATTACAGGCGTGAGCCACCGAGCCCGGCCTCATAGGTACTTTCTTATTCTGTATATTGATTGAATTCAAGGCAAGACTGAGCATGTTTAAGGAGAAACATAATTTTTATACTCAGTGAATTTTATGGGAGAGAAATAGGAACACATTCTGTTTCCTTTCAGGAATTTTAGGTTAAAATCTGATCTTGTTCATCTAAACCTCCTCAAACTAGAATCTCTTAATCCTTTTTCTTTGATAAATTAAACCTAGAGGGCTGGGCGCGGTGGCTCACGACTGTAATCCCAGCACTTTGGGAGGCCGAGGCAGGCGGATCACGAGGTCAGGAGATCGAGACCATCCTGGCTGACACGGTGAAACCCTGTCTCTACTAAAAATACAAAAAATTAGCCGGGCGTGGTGGCGGGCACCTGTAGTCCCAGCTACTCGGGAGGCTGAGGCAGGAGAATGGTGTGAAGCCAGGAGGCGGAGCTTGCAGTGAACCGAGATCGCGCCACTGCACTCCAGCCTAAGCGACAGAGTGAGACTCCGTCTCAAAAACAAAAAAAAACCTAGAGAAGCCTTTCCAAGCAAGGCGACTCAGTTGAAAAAAAACCTAGAGAAGCCATTTAATATATTATTCTTATCCTTTGAACACTAAAAGCGTTTTTCTTTAAAAGATGCCCTTGTTTACATGGCTAGAAGGGTAATGGAATATATCTGTCATTGTGCTCATATAAATCACAGGTCTTGAATTCAGTCTGTAATATTCAAAATGAAAGAAAGTGCGTTTATCAGAATTTATTAGTAGAACTTGCATTTGAAAAAAAAATTTTTCTATAAGATTGTAGATCAATACTCCTAACATTCATTTCTTAGTTTTTACTCAGTTTCTTAAGCTTACCTAAATATACCTAGAGAAAATAATGATGACTGTATGGACTAATAATTATAAGGCGATATATTCACTTTGGTATAATCATTAATGGTTTATTTCTTTTAATTAATGTCAAATGCACATGAGCCATATGATTCATGATTCAATGTCATTTTGAATGCCATTGAAT
Source organism: Homo sapiens (assembly GCF_000001405.40). Classification (NCBI taxonomy): domain Eukaryota; kingdom Metazoa; phylum Chordata; class Mammalia; order Primates; family Hominidae; genus Homo; species Homo sapiens. Next base: position 55,047 of record NW_025791772.1, on the reverse strand, counting down.
GAATTCTTCACAGTGAATTTATTATTTTATTTTATTGTATTGTATTTTAGAGACAGGGTCTCACTTTGTTGCCCAGGTTGGAGTGCAATGGCATGATCTTGGCTCACTGCAGCCTTAGACTCTTGGCCTCAAGTGTTCCTCCCACCTCAGCCTCCCGAGTAACTGGGACTACAGGCATGTGCCACCATATTTGGCTAATTTATTATTTTTTTCATTTTATTTTTTGAGGTGGAGTCTTGCTCTGTTGCCCAGGCTGGAGTGCAATGGCACAATCTGGGCTCACTGCAGCCTCTGCCTCTCAGGTTCAAGTGATTCCCCTGCCTCAGCCTCCTGAGTAGCTAGGATTACGGGCACGCACCACTGTGCCCCGCTAATTTTTTTGTATTTTTAGTAGGGACCAGGTTTCATCATGTTGGCCAGACAGGTCTTGAACTCCTGACCTCAAGTGATCCATCCGCCTCGGCCTCTGAAAGTGCTGGGATTACAGGCGTGAGCCCCGGCATCCAGCCTAATTTTTTATTTTTTGTAAAGACGGGGTTTCACCATGTTACCCAGGCTGGTGTTGAACTCCTGAGCTCAAGCAGTCTTCTCGCCTCGGCCTCTCAAAGTGCTGGGTTTGCAGGCGTGAGCCACCTTGTCCAGCCAACTGAATTTTTTTCAGAACTAACGTGAAGTCATTTTCTAACTTGTGCCTTTTTACTTCACTGTAATTAAAGAAGGAAAAAAAATAGAAAGCCTGACTCAGAACAACACTACCATCTAGGGGCCGCTCTCTTAATTGCGAGCTCATCCTGTTATACCACAGAAGAGAGCCCTTGGAGACCAGAGTTCAACTTGCAGAGGTTAAATGATTTGCCTAAAGTCACAGTTACTTGCAGAGCCTAAAGTAAAACCTATCTCTGCGGATTTCCAATCCAGTTCTTTTTCCGTTTATTATGGCAAAGTGATAACATTTTTTTTAGCAGTTAAACAAGAAGAATTGATCCGTTTCATTGGCCTGTAGTGGTTGTAGCCTCTAATACTTAACGATTAGAAAGAATTACACAGTATGTATTAAAGCCTTGAAGTTTTATCCTTCAGGAAGAAAAGTCCTGTCAGCTTCTTGGTTTTATGTGGACAATTTATATTGATGTTACCTAGAAACTGAAACATGAATGGATCCACTAATGTGGATTCCTTTTTCTCTTTAATAGAAAATATTCAAAAATTTAGAACATCAGATCTTGTACAGCTGTATCTTGTAGGGCTGTGCCCTTGGCAACAGTAGAGCAATCATAAATCTAGATTTTCATTAAAATATAACACAAAACACTGTTATTAGTATTTTGGAGTATAATAGATTAACCAAAGCACTGTTAAGCTGATAGATTTATATTTCAGAGTCTGAGACATATTCTGATTTTTTTAAAGGAATTCTAATTATATGTATACCATGGATTATTTATCTTCAAGTACTGTAAATTAGGCAATAATTAAATGAAATATTTGGTTGTCTATGTTTCACAAAAATTAACTAACAATACCAAAATATTGGCCTCTGGCTGAGCACTATGACTCACGCCTGTAATCTCAGCACTTTGGGAGGCCAAGGCGGGTGGATAACCTGAGGTCAGGAGTTCAAAACCAGCCTGGCCAACATGGTGAAACCCTGTCTCTACTAAAAATACAAAAATTAGCCAGGCTATGGTGGCGTGGGCCTGTAATCCCAGCTACTGGGTGAGGCAGGAGAATTGCGCAAACCTGGGAAATGGAGGTTGCAGTGAGCTGAGATTATGCCACTGCACTGCAGTCTGGGCAACAGAGAGTGACACCATCTCAAAAAAAAAATGTGTGTGTGTGTATATATACATATATGTATATATGTGTATGTGTATATGTATGTGTGTATACATGTATGTGTGTATGAATGTATACGCATATGTATATGTGTGTACACGTGTGTATATATACATATGTATGTGTATGCATAGTATATACATACATGTGTATATATACATATGTATGTATATGCATAGTGTATACATACATATGTATGTATATGCAGTGTATACATACATATGTATACATACGTATGTGTATATGTATATATACGTATACATGTATACATGCATGCATTTATACATATGTATGCACATATATACATATACACATATGTGTATACACATACACACACTTTAAATATATACATACATATACACATACGTATGTATGCGTGTATGTATATACATATACACATACATATATACATATACGTATACACAAATGTATATGTGGTAATATACACATATATACTTACATATACATGCACATATACACATATATATACATACACATATATACGTGTATATACATATATGTATCAAAAAAATAATAATAGGGCCGGGATGGATGTTATACACTTCTAGGAGCTGACACCTGCAATAATTTTTCTGCCTTGACTTCTTTTTTTTTTTTTTTTTCTGAGACGTAGTTTTGCCCTTGCTGCCCAGGCTGGAGTCCAATGGTGCGATCTTGGCTCACTGCAACCTCTGCCCCCAGGTTCCAGCAATTCTCGTGCCTCAGCCTCCGAAGTAGCTAGGATTAGAGGTGCCCGCCACCACGCTTTGCTAGTTTTTTGTATCTGTATTTTTATTTTTGAGATGGAGTTTCGCTCGTCAACCCAGGCTGGAGTGCAATGGTGTGATTTTGGCTCACCGCAACCTCTGCCTCCTGGGTTGAAGCAATTCTCCTGCCTCAGCCTCCCAAGTAGCTGGGATTACAGGTGCCCACCACCATGCCCAGCTAATTTTTATATTTTTAGTAAAGACAGGATTTCACCATGTTGGTCAGGCTGGTCTCAAACTCATGACCTCAGGTGATCCACCCGCCTTGGCCTCCCAAAGTGCTGGGATTATAGGCATGAGCCACCGTGCCCAGCCAATTTTTTGTATTTTTAGTAGACATGGAGTTTCGCCACTTTGGCCAGGCTGGTCTTGAACTCCTGTCCTCAGGTGATCCACCCGCCTCACCCTCCCAAAGTACTGGGATTACAGGTGTGAGCCACCGCACCCAGCCCTACTTTGACTTCTTAAATGATCTTAGCAAATGGAAACTCATTACCCTTCATAGCTGTCACACTTGCATTGCCTATCACAGCGTTACGTCAGAGAATTAATGACTCATTAAATTGGTATGACTGGATATTTAAAGATACTAAAGATTATTACTGAAATTTGGAGCTGTGTTAATAGGATTTTGGTTACATTTCTTTTTAAGAAATCATTTCAGAGATACATGATGAAATATTTACATTTGATAAGTTAAATTTGCTTCAAATAATTGAGGAGGAGAAATTGTCAGGAACTGTGCAGTGTTTGACATTTTACCCAACTTGTAAGCTAAACATTTAGCCTGGCATGGTTTCATGGATGTTAGCAGAAGACATGAGACTTCTGGGACAGGAGCAAAACACTTCATGATAGCAAAAGTGAGAACCAGAGTTTCGTGTTCTTATGTGTCAGTTTCCCATACCCCACCAAATCCCGAGGAGGTGATGCAAAGGGCCCATTATACAGTGAGTTGTGTGACAGGAGAGGAACACTGAGATCCACCACTTTTATAGCAAATGGAAGCAAGCTTGCTTTTTTTCCTGGGGGAGACGTTACCTCATCCTTCAAGGTTGCTCACAAGGGTGCAAACACAGCCCTGAGAAGTGGCCAGGGTAAAGAACAGTCAAGGGATTGTATTCTTGGCATACTCAGCAAGAATGTGCAGAGACACTTAGGGTATACAGCACATTGCCTCTGTCACTATTCACTCCTCAGCCTGACACATTCTTGGCCAAACTTAAATTTTTACACAAGTGTGCTACTCTGACAACCACTTCGATTAAGCTAACCAACAGAAGCCAGAACCAAATCCACTCAGTTTGTCTCACATGACGTTTAATTAAGTCTATTATCAAGACTCAAAGCAGCAGATGAAGCCAACCTGCAGTATTGATCTCAGTCTTACTCTCCAGGGTCCCAGACAGCTTACTGTGAATAATCTCAGGGAGTACCAGTAGGTCTGATTTTAGGCAGCCATGAGGTATTCTAGGGCCAGGGTATTTTATTCATTAAGACCTGTACAGAGTTTAAACTGATCTGTTAATCTCTGGTGTCGCTGCAATAATTAGACAATTGATGGGCCAGAAAGCGACCTCTGTCCTTAATGGGGAGACATCTCATGACCCATTTTTCTCCTACCCATTTTTCCCCTATATACCAAAATATAACCCCAAAGGACACAAGTCACTTTGGTTCAGGACTCGTTGCTAAACCTGATTTGTATCATCACATTGGTTAAGTCACAGGGGCAGTGTCACCAAATAGCTGCAGCTTCGGTTGCCATATACGGTATTACCCAAGACCACTCAGGCGTCAAAAGCATATGATCAGTCAGATTGAATCAAGGTTGTGTTGGTCCTGATGTCTGTATACATTCGAATTTGGGTGCTGTTGTTGATGGTATCAGGCACAGCAGAACAGTGCAGGACTGACCATGTTTATGAGAGATTTTCGTTTTCATAGCACATTTCATGGTGGTCTGGACAAGCCCAGCAGCAGGTCAGACTGTTAGCTGCAGCTGCCACTTGATTCAGGTAGTGGTTTTGAATCAAGGGCAGTGGTTCCAGCTGGGGGCAGTTTTGCCCTCCAGGGGACATTTGGCAATGTCTGAGCCATTTTTATTTGTCACAACTAGAGGGAAGGTGCTACTGGCATCTAGTGGGTAGAGGCCAGTGTAACTGCTAAACAACGAATTATCTGGCCTAAAATATTAATAGTGCCAAGGTTGAGAAACTGACCTAGGGAACAAATTGTGCATTAATTATTTCCCTTCCAGCTAGGCATGGTGGTTCACACCTGTAATCCCAGCACTCTGGGAGGCTGAGGCAGAAGGATCGCTTGAGCCAGGAGTTTTAAGACCAGCCTGGGTCTTAATATGACACATTAGTTTCAAGAGCTGTAATTGTATGGTCAAAGTCAGTTGGTCAGACCGAAACAGCAACGTCATAGCCTAAGAAGGTCTTAACAGCAGTCAGCCCCTCCGCCATGAGTTGCCCTAACAGGAGGTCAAATGGCCAGTGTAGTCAGTCAGTTAGGAGCAAGCGGGCCCATGTCCTGTATAGTATGGCCTTATTTACCTCCAGACAAATGGGATAACTTTAGCAGGGGTCACCAAGACTGGCATGCATGAGAAAGAGTTCTTTACTGGGTGCCTAGTCCGCCATGGTGGATGTGTTGCCATTGTGAGGACAATCCAGGTGATGCTGGCTTCATCAGCAGCTTGATTCCACTAGGTGTTATCAGTCACAGGTGTTATCAGCCCTTAACTGTAGTCATCTACATGAATGACCCAGATGTTCTGGTTGGCAGCCACAATTTATTTTCATAGTTTATAGCCTTAAAAGAGATGTCTTTAGTCTGCCTTTCAACTGGCAGACCAGATGTCTAGGCCATTAGTAACAGCCCAAGTCAGCAAAAACTAGTGTGGTGGCTCACACCTGTAATCTCAACTTTGGGAGGCTGAGGCAGGAGAATCACTTGAGTACAAGAGTTCAAGACCAGCCTGGGCAACATAGCGAGATGCCCATCTCTACAAAAATTTTAAAAAGCAGGTCATGGGGACACACACCTGTAGCCCCAGCTACTCAGGAGATTGAGGTAGGAGGATCCCTGAGTCCAGGAGGTTGAGACTGCAGTGAGCTGTGATCACACCACTGCACTCCAACCTGGGCAACAGCACAAGACCCTAACTCTAAAAATAATAATTTTTAAAATAGGGCAAGGTTAATCAAAAGCAGTATTGGCTATGAGAACTGAGTTCCGCCCACTGAGCAGGGACTTCATTCACTTTAGTTGCATGGCTAGCACTGAGGTTGGATTGCAACAGCAACACAATGGATACTACCAGCTTTCCATTCTGCAGAGCCATCAGTGAATCAGGCCCAATCATTTAGGAGACTTAGGTGAAGTAAGGACCCCATTGACCCAACAGGTGCAAGTACGCTTCACGCAGTGGAGTGCTAGATAAAGTTTTCCAGGAGTTTCTACCACCACTTCATGAAAAACCAAGATGATCCTAAGGCTGCTACATCCCAGAACACACTGTTTTTTATCAGCAAGGCTTGTTTAGTGAGGCATGCGGTCTCCAATACCCAAAGCCCTCCAATAAGCCTAGAAGCAGCAAAAGGTTAAAGAGATAGCAGTTTGTCCTTGACTGCCAGAGGGATTAAGCACTGTGAATCCATCCACACAGTCCCAAGAAACTACTTGGTGAACAGGCTCCTGAATTGTTTTGGAGTTTTATCAAACACTCCTGTTGGTGGAGGTGTGATGAAACCACAGTCAAGGTATGAGATTGAGAATTCTGAGTTGTCAAACAACTGGACAGCATCCTCGCTCTCATGTGAAAACTGTGGCCGTCAGAGTAGAAACACTTGTGTTTAAATACTGACACACACACACACACACACACACACGGCAAATGGCAGAGGAGTTTGTTCCATTAACACTTTTCTAAATACAGCAGTGCCCTGAATGGGAGAACCTCCTCTGAATACATGAAGTGCACAAGCATGTACACATCAGTCTCACATTTAGCAGTGCAAAATAGAACGCTGAATTGGCCCAGAGGGACTCACACACTTAAATATAAAAATATTTTTGCCTGGGCGCGGTGGCTCAAGCCTGTAATCCCAGCACTTTGGGAGGCCGAGGTGGGTGGGTCATCTGAGGTCAGGAGTTCAAGACCAGCCTGACCAACAATGGAGAAACCCTGTCTCCACTAAAAATACAAAATTAGCCAGGCATGGTGGCACATGCCTATAATCCCAGCTACTGGGGAGGCTGAGAAAGGAGAATCACTTGAACCTGGGAGGCAGAAGTTGCGGTGAGCCGAGATTGTGCCATTGCACTCCAGCCTAGGCAACAAGAATGAAACTCCCGTCTCAAATATATATATATATATTTTTATAAATTTAAAAAACCTTTTTCTCCACTGCAAGTTTTGCCCAAACCCTGTCAGTTGAATTTGGATGCTTTATTTCCTTATTTACAGTAGCACTGGCAAACTTTTCTCTGTGAAAAGCCAGATAAATAGTTTTGGCCTTGTGGGCCAAGAAGCAAAAGTGGGATGTAGGCATATAACAAGAGGAAACAAATCTCCACAAAATTATTAATGAAGTTCAAACTATCATGATAATAATTGAGTACTTTTCTGTAATACAGATCTACTAATGAGGAAAAAAATGGAATTTTTTTCTTTTGGGATGGGGAATAACATTTCATTAAATTAGAGCTTAGTGATTCCCATTATAAAAATGAGTTGCAAATTTTCATCTGTGAACAGTGACTTGTAATGAGATTTTATGTATTTCTTTTTTTTTTTTTTTTGAGACGGAGTCTCACTCTGTTGCCCAGGCTGGAGTGCAGTGGCGCAGTCTTGGCTCACTGTAACCTCCACCCACTGCAACCTCTGCCTCCCAGGTTCAAGCGATTCTCCTGCCTCAGCCTCCCAAGTAGCTGGGATTACAGGAGCATGCCATCACGCCTGACTAATTTTTGTATTTTTAGTAGAGACGGGATTTCACCATGTTGGCCAGGCTGGTCTTGAACTTCTGACCTCAAGTGATCCACCTGCCTTGGCCTCCCAAAGTGGTGGGATTACAGGCATGAGCCACAGTGCCTGGCCTGTATTTCATTTTTGAAGATGTCTTTTCACAGGTAAAATGTGTGGCACTCAAAATGTTTGAGCGTGGTATCGCTGCAGTTTGCAGTGTGCACCGCAGTGTGAAGTGATGAGTGCACCACCTCAGTGTGAACTGCACCTGCACCACTGCAGTTGTAGTGTAAAAAGCAGCAAGTGGGCCAGGGGCTGTGGCTCATGCCTGTAATTCAGCACTTTGGGAGGCTGGGGCAATAGGATCCTTTTGAGTCCAGGAGTTTAAGGCCAGCCTGGGCAACATAGTGAGACCCCATCTCTATTTAAAAACAGATTAAAAATGTTTTGAAGCAGAAACACAATATTTAAAGATAAATGAGTATGATCATGTTCCAATACGACTTGATTTGTGGATATTTATGTTTATTTTGAATTTCATATAATTTTTACACGTAGTAAAATATTTTTTCAAATCTATAAAAATAGAAAAAACATTCTCAGCTTGCAGACTATACAAAAATGGAAACTGGCCAGATTTACCATAGGCAGCAATTTGCCAACTCAGCCTGGACTAAGGATTATATCACATGGATGGTTAGCAATTATAACTGCAGCTGCTTTTAAGATCATAGGTGAAGAAGTCCCTGATACAGAAAATCAGAGCAAGGACACAGAATGCTAAAAACTGAAATTTAGGAAAACTTTACCTGCAAAAGATTTTTTTTTTTTTTTTTTGAGACAGATTCTGGCTCTGTCTCCCAGGCTGGAGTGCAGTGGCACAATCTCGGCTCACTGCAAACTCCTCCTCCAGGGTTCAAGTGATTCTCCTGCCTCAGCCTCCCAAGTAGCTGGGATTACAGGCCCACGCCACCAAGCCCGGCTAATTTTTGTAGTTTTAGTAGAGACAGGGTTTTGCCACGTTGACCAGGCTGGTCTGGAACTCCTGACCTCAAGTGATCTGCCCAGCTTGGCCTCCCAAAGTGCTGGGATTACCAGCCTGGCCAACATGGTGAAACCCCATCTCTAATAAAAATAACAAAATTAGTTGGGCATCGCGGCACACGCCTGTAATCCCAGCCTCTCAGGAGGCTGGGGCAGGAGAATCGCTTGAACCTGGGAGGCAGAGGTTGCAGTGGGCTGAGATTGCGCCATTGCGCTCCAGTCTAGGCGACAAGAGCGAAACTCCGTATCAAAAATTAAAAAAAGAATATACTGCCTACGTAACACTACTTAATCAGAAAAAAACCCTAGTAAGACATATTCAAGCAAAATTACTGGATTTTAAAGAAACAGAAGGCTGGGCGCGGTGGCTCACGCCTGTAATCCCAGCACTTTGGGAGGCCAACGTGGGCGGATCATGAGGTCAGGAGATCGAGACCATCCTGGCTAACACGGTGAAACCCCGCCTCTACTAAAAATACAAAAAATTAGCCGGGCGTGGTGGTGGGCACCTGTAGTCCCAGCTACTTGGGAGGCTGAGGCAGGAGAATGGCATGAACCCAGGAGGCAGAGCTTTCAGTGAGCCGAGATCATGCCACTGCACTCCAGCCTGGGCGACAGAGCAAGACTCCGTCTCTTAAAAACAAACAAACAAAAAAAACAGAAAGGCTGGGCACGGTGGCTCACGCCTGTAATCCCAGCCCTTTGGGAGGCCGAAGCAGGCGGATCACAAGGTCAGGAGATCGAGACCATCCTGGCTAACATGGTGAAACTCCGCTTCTACTAAAAATACAAAAAAATTAGCCAGGCATGGTGGTGGGTGCCTGTAGTCCCAGCTACTCAGGAGGCTGAGGCAGGAGAATGGCGTGAACCTGGGAGGCGGAGATTGCAGTGAGCTGAGATCGTGCCACTGCACTCCAGCCTGGGCGACAGAGTGAGACTCCATCTCAAAAAAAAAAAAGAGAAAAAACTGGGGGGCCTCTACCCAAAATCGAAGACTTTTAAAAGAAATTTAATTATCATACTTTTCACTAGCAATGCTTTAAGTTATTTTTAAAAAAATGGGAGTAGCATATTTAAGATGCTTAAAGAGTGAGCCAAGGAGCTAAGGATGCAGCAAAAGTGACTTTGAGATATAAAGTACTCTGACAAATTATACTCACCATGGAAGAATAAGAACTTCCTAAGGAACCTACCAAAGGACATGCTTCAGACAACCAAAATAACTAGAGAGCCATCAATCTAAAGACTGGTGGTGGGCATTAAACATAGTTACTTGTGGCCAGGCGCGGTGGCTCATGCCTGTGATCTCAGCACTTTGGGAGGCCAAGGCGGGTGGATCACCTAAGGTCAGGGGTTCGAGACCACCCTGGCCAACATGGTGAAACCCCGTCTCTACTAAAAATACAAAAAATTAGCCGGGTGTGGAGGCCGGCACCTGTAATCCCAGCTACTTGGGAGGCTAAGGCAGAATGACTTGAACCCGGGAAGCAGAGGTTGCAGTGAGCTGAGATTGTGCCACTGCACTCCAGTCTGGGCGACAGAGCAAGACTCTGTCTCGAAAAAAAAAAAAAAAAAGCATTATTTTTGGAACCTCTTTCAAATGAGCCCTTCTAAAAATAGAATACTATGCCAACCCCTATTCCAAGGTGTAGCAGATTAGAGCTTGATTATGGATTATACTATTACCTTACTAAATGATATCCAGCCTCAGTGCATCAAGAGGAAAACCACCATTTATGTAATAATCAGTCCTCATCCCATGACCTCTTTTTCTACCCTGGGGAGGGAGCCCCTGCCATTTGGGACCCATATCTATGTCTAAACCAGCCTTTAGTAGAAAGTAAGGCATTTGTTTCTTGGCTAAGGGACATTAATAGGGAATATCACTCATTCCTTTATTCAACAAATATTGAACTAGGCAATGATGATCTGACAATTAATCAGTGCCCTACCACCACCAAAAACACTGTCCTCATGGAATTTTTCTCATAGACACGAGTAAACAAAACTGGAAAAAAATCACAAGTGTCAGAGGGCACCACCAGATTCTACGGAGGAGACATTATTAGAACAAACTTCAATTCCTCATTCAGGTTGCTTAAAAATAAACAACAAACAGCAGAGACTTCAAGGAGGTGAAATAAACACTGTGGCCATGTAAAGGAGAATATTTCAAGCACAGGGAAGAGCAAGGGGAATAGGAGTAAGAGACAAGTCAGATGCAAGATCACATGGGATCTTTGAATGAATCGTCTAAAACAGATTTTCAGGGCCTGGTATAGTGGCTCATACCCGTAATCGGGAGGATCACTTGAGGCCAGGAGTTCCAGACCAGCCTTGGAGCCTTGGGAATATAGCAAGACCCCATTTCCACATGAAATATTTTAAAATTAGCCAGCCATGGTGGCACACACCTGTAGCCCCAGCTACTCAGGAGGCTAAGGCAGGAGGATCACTTGAGCCCAGGAATGCAAAGCTGCAGTGAGCTGATTGTCTCACTGCATTCCATTCTGGGCAACAGAGTGAGATCCTGCCTATAAAAAATAAAAGACTTCCACAAGATAGGACATAGACAAGGTAGGCAGGAACAATCCAAGTAGTAATGGTGGCTTGTTTCAAATAGCAGAAGATGGTAATAACTGATTAGACTCCAGATATATATAGTTTGAATCAACTGTGAATGGTCAAGGATGACCACAGAGGATTTTGGCCTAAGCAACCAAAAGGGTGGGTACAATTGAGATAATACCATTTTAGAACACTGTATGTTAAATGCCTGTCTGACATCCAAGTGGGGATATCAAGTAGGCACTTAGACAAACCTGGATGTCCCAAAGAAAGGTATAGGCTAGAAATATAAAAATCTCCATTAATTTAAAACCAAGAACCTAGGGAGAGTATAGAAATGTCTAACGACCAAGCCCTAGGGCCTTCTTTTTTTTTTTTTTTGAGACGGAGTCTCACACTGTCTCCTCAGCTGGAGTGCAATGGCCCAATCTCAGCTCACTACAACCTCTGCCTCCCAGGTTCACGCAATTCTCCTGCCTCAGTCTCCCAAGTAGCTGGGATTACAGGTGCACACCACCACACCCGGCTAACTTTTTGTATTTTTTAGTAGAGACAGGGTTTCACTGTGTTGGCCAGCCTGGTCTGTAACTCCTGACCTCGTGATCCGCCCGCCTCAGCCTCCCAAAGTGCTGGGATTACAGGCGTGAGCCACTGCACCCGACCAGCCCTAGGGCCTTCTAAAACTGATTAAAAGTCTAAAAAATGAACTAGTAAAGGAGTAGCCAATGATGTAGGAGGAAAAGCTTGAGTCGAGGATCTGGAAGACAGTTAAAATCAGGAAGAAATCAACTGTCAAGAGTCACTAACAGGACAAAGTGATAAGCAAGTCACTAACAGAGGTCAAGTAAAAGACCTCTAGTAAAAGAATGGACCACTGAATTTAGCAACAAAATCACTGCTAATCTTGACAATGAAATGTCTTGGAGTGGTGTTGGGAGGAAAGCCTAACTGCAGCAAATTGAAGAAAAATAAAATAAAAACTAAAAAATGTGGCTGGGCACCATGGCTCACACCTATACTCCCAGCACTTTGGAGGCTGAGGCAGGAAGATCCCTTGAGGCCAGGAATTTGAGACCAGTCTGGACATAACAGCCAAGACCCTACAAAGAACTTAAAAACTAGCAGATTAGGCCTGGTGCAGTGGCTCACACCTGTAATCTCAGCAATTTGGGAGGCCAAGGCGGGAGGATCACTTGAGGCCAGGAATTCAAGACAAGCCTTGCCAACATGGCGAAACCCCCATCTCCACTAAAAAATGCAAAAATTAGCCCAGCATGGTGGTGGGTGCCTATAATCCTAGCTACTGGGGAGGCTGAGACACAAGCATCGCTTGAACCTGGGAGATGGAGGTTGCAGTGACCCAAGATCGCACTAACACACTCCAGCCTGGGTGACAGTGAGACTGTCTTTAAAATAAAAAAAGCTGGGTGTGGTGTGGCACAGGCCTGTGTCCCAACTACTCAGGAGGCCTGAGAGGGAGGGCTGCTTGAGCCCAGGACTTTAGGGTTACAGCGAGCTATGATCACACCATTCTACTCCATCCTGGGTGACAGAGTAAGATCATGTCTCTCAAATGTAATTTTTTTTTCAACAGTCTCATTTTGTAGCCCAGACTGGAGTGCAGCTCACTGCAACCTCCACCTCCCAGGTTCAAGTGATTTTCATGCCTCAGCCTCCCGAGAAGCTGGGATTACAGGCACCCCGCCACCACACCTGGCTAATTTTATTTTTTTTAGGTGAGACGGTGTCTCACCATGTTGGCCAGGCTGGTCTTGAACTTCTGACCTCAAGCAATCCACCCACCTCAGCCTCCCAAAGTGCTGGGATTACTGGCATGAGCTACGCACTTGACCTTTAAAATATATTTTATATGTAAAAAAGTTTTAAAAATTAAAAAAAATTAAATGATACCAATATATAAAAAATTCCTTTGAGCTTTGCTATAAAGGGACTTAGTAAGGTGCTCTGGGAGGGTATACTAGTATTTGTATACTAGTATACAAGGGACAGCGAGGAATTGATAAAGGTGTGAATTGCTGAAGCCATGAGGCTGATTGGGCAAAAAAAAAAAAGGCTGTCTTATGTCTTAGCACAATCCATCCAGTGGTATGACAGAAGGTAGTATGATTAACACATGCATAGGTGGCAGAATATAGGTAACAGAAATTTGTGGGGTTCTTTTCTCTGCTTTAAACTTTTTTAGTGATTAAAGGAAGCAAGGTTATCAGCTAAGCAAGAAATGAGAAAACTGAAAAGGCTTGAGAAGAGGTAGAAACTGAATGAATGAGTGACTATAGGTGGATAGCACTAAATGCCCACTTGGTAACAGCTTCTCCGCCCCATTTCAGCTTCACAGTAAAGGTGCATAGTAGTATGTTTATATCCAATTTGTCTGGGTCAGAAAAGTTTACCAGCTGTCAAATTTACTGTCTAATCCACCAAGCTGTCAGATTATTTTTAAAAAAAGAATGTTCAGAAGCAAACCATCACAAATAGCACTTTTTATTTGCCACTATTTGAAGTCTGAACTTTAAACAGATTCTTGGACTGGTGGTTCATATCCATCAGCTCGTTCAACTTTAGCACCTGTCTCGTCCCCAGTGGCTTTTCCAGAACTACTGCCTTCACCATGAAGCTCCATGAGCTTTCCCACTAAAAGGCAAAAAAAAAAAAAAAAAAAAAAACCAAAAAACTGTTAGTATATCTTGAAATAATGGTCATCACTACTATGCAAGCATGACAGGAAGAAAAAGAAGGCCATGATATGGCCCCACACTCCTCCTCCACCCAAAAACAATGTATTTGGCCCTACAGGAATCATGTGATTTCTCACTTACATTCAAACTTGGGCTTCTTCAGCATTTTTACTTTTCTAACGAAGACATCATGGAGAGGATAAATAGATTGGCAAGCCTTTTCTATGTCTTTTCCAATGCTGTCTGGAATCCTGCAAACCAGTAACAGTAAATTTTTTTCTAAAAGTCCTAGTTCTCAGATATAAGCCATTTCCTTTAAAAGTAGAGAAGCCTTGGAATAAACCTACACATAACACCTACCTCATTTAACCTGCATAAATCCTCCTGTTAAGATAAGCCATTATTTACCTTTCACATGTAAAGGATAGATGATCTGAATTACATAGCTAGCTAGTGGCAAAGTTAGTAGAGTCTTCTGAGTCCAAGCCTTATGCTTTTTCCATTACACCCTCTTAGCTAACTGTATATTGCATGGGAACATCAGAAAAATGTTGTTATCACTGGCCATCATCTGGGACCGAAACTTTTTTCATCACTTATTCCCGTGCATCATTAATCATGAAAGGTTTTGTCTATTCAGTGTATTTTTTCTTTGTGTGTGTATATATATATACGTATATTTTTTATTTTTTGGGACAGGGTCTCCCTATATTGCCCAGGCTGGCCTCAAACTCCTGGGCTCAAACAATCCTACCACCTCAGCCTCCTGAGTAGCTGGGACTCCAGGCACATCCCACCCCACTCAACTTATTCAGTGTATTTTCCAAGTAGGGGAAAAACATTTCCTGTCCTTCAACTCCATCTACTGTGAGACAGCTTCATTCAAAATAAATAAACACGAAAAAACTGTTATCATTTAGAGTACTGGCAGATCACCTGAAGTCAGGAGTTCAAGACCAGCCTGGCCAACATGATGAAACCCCATCTCTACTAAAAATTTAAAAAAATTAGCTGGGTATGGTGGCAGTCCCCTGTATTCCCAGATACTCAGGAGGCTGAGGCTCAAGAACTGCTTGAACCCAGGAAGCAGTGGTTACAGTGAGCCAAGGAGGATCACAATACTGCACTCGAGCCTGGGCAACAGAGCAAGACTCTGACTCAAATAATAATAGTAATAATAATCATATTTACTGAGTACTTAACACTCTTTCACTTAAAGAGATATAGCTAGAAGGATTCACAGACAGGATTTCAACAGACCTTTACCTTGTCTCATATGCGTTCTCTCATCTCAGGAATAATCCAATACTCAAGGTTGTGTTGTGTGAGGAAGCAAAGAAACACTTACAATTTATTGACCACTTCTTTCAAGTCATTTGTCTGCACCTCTCGGGTCATGATTTCCATCATCTTCTTCCGGATTTGGCGGACCTGTTGGTGCTGAGCATAAGAGGTCTTCCGTATCTGATTGTTGCGTTTTTTAGTAAAACCAACACAGAACAGACGAAGCAAGTAACCATCGGTAGTCTTGACATCAACGTGAGCTTCAATCATTGTCTGGAGAAAAAAGATACCGTCAGATTTAACAGGTTTTACGTTATCCATTTATCCCTCAAGTTCTAATTTTAAAAAGCTGGATTGTCAAACACTCATTATTAAATATAAAGTATCCTAACATAAGTAACATCTCTTTAAGTTTACAGAATTAACTTCCTTGAACTTACCAAGTTACCCCCAAATTCTTACCCAATTAAATAACCAGGTCCTCTCAACTGCCCTCCCTCCTCCTTTCTACCCTCCATTAACACTACCACTATCTTGACGGCATCCAAACCCACATCCATTGCATATACATATACCCCTTTAAACAGCTCATACCCCCTCAAGTGTAAAACTACACCAGAGGAAAATAGGTCTGAGAGGATCCATGGTATTCTATGGTATGAACACATCTACAGTGATTATGTCATTTTTCAAAAAACTGTGTTGTAAATAGGTGACTGCTATAACTCTAAATGCACACTTTGAAAGACGTCTTTTATGTTCCAAACTAAAGCCATGCTGATGATTAAATACCCAATTTCAGAGCTAAAATATAATTAAAAACCCCTAGTTAGTGGTCATATTATTGCCTAAATTGAAAAAACAAAAAACATCTTGGGTAGTGATGAAAACTGATTTACCTTGTTTGCATTTTGTAAATTTTATACCTTAGTATAAAAAAAAACTAATCAAATACAATTTACAGCTAAGGGACCTTAAAATATTTCTAGAAATGTAAACCATAAAGCCTTAGAGGAATGTCAGGATAAATATAATGGTATAATCAGTATGTATCATTTGGGACTGAAACATTTTGTCATCATTCATTCCCACATACAAAATATTCGAACTGTGCCAGGTGCAGTGGCTCACACCTGTAATCCCAGCACTTTGAGAGGCTGAGGCGGGCAGATCACTTGAAGTCAGGAGTTCGAGACCAGCCTGGCCAATATGGTGAAACCCTGTCTCTACTAAAAATACAAAAATTAGCTGGGCGTGGTGGCGGGTGCCTGTAATCCCAGCTACTTGGGAGGCTGAGGCATGAGAATCCCTTGAACCCAGGAGGAGGAGGTTGCAGTGAGCAGAGATGGCGCCACTGCACTCCAGCCCGGACGATAAGAGACTCAATCTCCCAAAAACAAAAAACTCCCACAAAATATTCCAACTGGATAGTTAGCCAGACACATCTGAAATATTTTCATTTCATCCTCACAATTCAATAAAATGACACTCTTATCTGCACTTTACAAATAAAGAAACCGAGGCTTAGAAAACAAGTTACTTTCCAACGAGAACACAATAGGCAAATGGAGCCCAGATTTTAACCTCACTCCAGAGGCTCTGCCACAATTATGCTCTACTGCCACAGTTAATCAACATTCACTCAATTCTGAGGTCAAAAAACATCCTTAAGACAGGCAAAACCGCCCACCTGCACCTAAACGTTCCTCAAAAAACCACTAATCTATGCAGCAAGAAAATCTGACTTTGATGATACACCACTATTAAATCTTAGATTTAAATAGTAAGTAAAATATGGTGTGGCAACCCCAGAGTTAGCACTCAACAACGGCAAGAAAACAAAAATTTAAAATGAACTTTGTGGACATTTCACTGGTCTCAATAAATAAATAAAATGAACTTGCTCCTTCCAGTCATCAAACCATGCTATCCTTGGTCAAACACCCATAGCACAACCACTCTAAGGAACTTTGGGTCTCACCTGCCATTTTTTGACCATGGAACACATTTTGTCACGGGTAAGATCCATGCCATGGAAGTTAGTCAGGCAGTTTTTACCCTGAACATCTTCAGTAATCAGCTTGAATTTTCTAAATGCAACTTCATCATTCTGCAAATCAGCAAGACTCACTTCAAACACACGACCCTTGAGACCATCAGATGCAATTTCTACAAAAGAAAAAAACAAGTATCTTAACATTTAGGAACCATATAAGCAAAGTCAAGCCTGTAAACTGAGGGTAGAAATTAAGTTAATGGTAAATTATAAAGACCTTAACCTTTGTTATCAAATCTATCCAGACACCAGTGACTTATCAACAGTACTTATTTGAAGCTCAGAACTACCCATGGCACATTTTCTTAATTCAAAAAGCACCATCTTGCTTCTCTCCAAGTGCTGTACTAAAAATGATCACCACAGGTGCCAAGGCTGCAACCAAGAGCTGACATTTCCTTAAAGTCTCCCACCACAGGACCAACAACAGACCAAGATGCCTGCTACAATATACAAGCGCCAACTTAAGGAAAATACAAACCAAGAATAAGCTACTTACTGGTTCCTTGGGTCCTGGTGACGAGCGTCTTTCCAATATTTCTTATATTGAACATAGCAGGTGCTTTCACATCATACCAATCTTTCTTAGAAAATGGATCAACCCTGGATTTTAAGAAGATGCTTAAGTTCCATTGCAGATCAATTCTTACTGTATTTTTCACTGTTAATGGTATTTCCCATTAATATTTTAAAAAGCTAACCGGCAATTTGATACCAAAGTATATCTCACAGTGAGGTGAGGGGAACAAACATAAATCTAGCTCTTCCCACTGTACGTTTCACTGCATGCATCAGACTTTGAAAGGTTATGTCCACTTCCCACCCTCATCGGTCCATCCACTACACAGGCACTTAGAATAACATGCATCGGTCCTTCCACTACACAGGCACGAGTAACATGCAATCTCATTAACTTTGCTGGCACGTAATGGCATGTACTGGTAACTAAGAGACTGCATGGCCCCAAAGCTTAGCAGGAGCTCGCAGATTCCAGCGGGACCAAGCAAAGGCGAGATTGACGGGTCCTGAATGGATAGAAGGGTGCTTTCCTCAACTCCTGCTGTCGCAGTGCCATCAAACACTCGCAGAATTGAGGCAGCTCGTGAGCCCACAAAACTAACATTCCAGCCGAGTCGCGCCGGCAAGCCGGCTCAAACGCGACGCGCGCAAGGACCAGAAGGCCTGGGAAAGGCAGCCGACCTGCCGCTACTCAACACCGACCCTCCAGGCCGCGTTCCTGGGTGCACCAACCCGCCACGGCCCGCACAATCCGACTGGAATCCTCGCCATCCGGCCTACGCCGCGATCTAGGACCAGCCCGCCGATTCCAGCAGACCCCCAAAAAGCAAGACGCCACGACAGTCGCGACTTACACTTTCTTCTTGGCTCCCTTTTTGCCGCCTTTCGTAAGGCGCTTGTTCTTGCCAACCGCCATGGTGCTGGTCAGAGAGCCAAAAGGGCGGAAGTGGGAGTCGCGCGAGAACTTAGGCGTACGGGGGCGGGGCGCGCCGTCTACGTGACCTTTGCCCTGTTATTCTTCCGGCCTCAAGAATTCCGGGACAGTAGAGAGCGCCACTCTTTCTACTGTGGTTGCGACATCGCCATCGTGTGTGGGGAGGCCGCGCGGCATGCCGCGGGCTCACTGGAGGCTGCGCTGTGTAGACCAAGGCGTCGGTGGCCTGACGTGCAGGCGTCTGGTTACCTGTGGTTTCTGTGGCTGTGACGTCGGGAAGTAAGTTTCTGTAAAACGAGACGCCCACTCAACATCGTTCAAAGCTGAACTCACCGTCTAACCCCCAAACCTGCTTTTTGAGAGCATTGGCTTTGGAGTCAGTCAGCGGATCTGATTCAAATGCCGGTTTCAACAGGGCTTTGCTTGAGACCGACCTCTCCACGCTTGTTTCCTCATGCGTAATATGGGGGTGATAAAACGGTCGGCTTCATGAGGTTTCATAGGGCTAAATGAGCATCACTCCAGAGATGCTAGCGACGTTCTGCTTGTTGATGTGGATGCTGGTTCATCTCAGGTGTTGTTGCTTTGTGAACATTCACTAAGCTCTACGCTTATTTGTGTCCTTTTCTATATGTCTGTTATATATTGATTAAAAGGTTTTTTTAAAATAGAGTGAGACCGAACTCGTTGGCTCACACCTGTAATCCCAGCACTTTAAGAGGCTGAGGCAGGGGAATCAACTGAAGCCAGGAATTGGAGACTAGCCTGGGCCACACAGCCAGACCCCGTCTTTACAAGAAAATGATAAAATTAGCAGGGCGTTGGCCGGGCGCGGTGGCTCACGCCTGTAATCCCAGCACTTTGGGAGGCTGAGGCGGGCGGATCGCCTGAGCTCAGGAGTTCGAGACCAGCCTGGCCAACATAGTGAAACCCCGTCTCTACTAAACATACAAAAAATTAGCCGGGTGGGTGCCTGTAATCCCAGCTACTCGGGAGGCTGAGGCACGAGAATCTGAGCTCAGGAGGCGGAAGTTGCAGTGAGCCGAGATCGCGCCATTGCCTGGCCAACAAGAGTGAAACTGCGTCAAAAAAAAAAAAGTGAGATCTCCAAATGTTTCCATTTTTGCAACTAATCCAAACCCGCCTCCCCCATTTTTTTTAACTGTAGGGGTTAACAGAGCACATCCTGGCAAGGTGTGGCTGGCTAGCTCAAGTGTGCAGCCCTCGGAAAGCATCTGGCCCATACAGGCTTGGTACTCAGCCAGTGGTGTGTTGAGTTCCCTTCTCTAACTTCCCCTCTGGCAGAAAACCCTGTGACCAAGCCAAAACCAACCCTTACTTACAAGGCCCCCTGCAAGCTTTTAAACTTACAATCCCTTCCAGTCCTGCTAGCCTCCATCCCCTACCTCCCACTACACCCACCCCCCAAGACAACCTTCCTAAACCTCTAGTAGGGTCCTGAAATCTTTCAGTAATTCCATAAATCTCAGTTGCCTGGAGGATAAATTCAAAGTCTTAGTTTCATAATAGTATGAATGTACTTAACACTACTGAACTCTACACTTAAAAAAGGTTAAGGTAGCCCTGCCAGGTGTCTCAGGCCGCTAGTTCCAGGTATTCGGAAGGCAGAGGCAGGAGGATCACTTGAGGCTAGGAGTAGGACTCCAGCCTGGGCAACATAGTGAGACCCCATCTCTTTTTTAAAAAGATGATTAAGATGGTTAATTTGGCCAGGTGGTGGCTCATGCCTGTAATCTCAGCACTTTAAGAGGCCAAGGCAGGAGGTTTTCTTGAGCTCAGGAGTTTGATACCAGCCTGGGCAACATTACAAGACCTAATCTCAACTAAAAATAAAAAAAAATTAGCCCGGCTTGATAGCTCATGCCTGTAGTCCCAACTACTCGGAAGGCTGAGGTAGGAGGATCCCCAGCACTTTGGGAGGCCAAGGCAGATGGATCACTTGAGGCCAGGAGTTCGAGACCAGCCTGGACAACATGGTGAAACCCCGTCTCTACTAAAAATACAAAAATTAGCTGGGCGTGGTAGTGCACACCTGTAGTCTCAGCTACTCGGGAGGCTGAGGTACGAGAATCGCTTGAACCTGGGAAGTGGAGGCTGCAGTGAGCCGAAATCACACCACTGCACTCCAGCCTGGGCTGGACAGAGTGAAACTCCATCTAAAAAAAAAAAATATATATATATATATATATATGTATGTATATGTATATATTATGGGCCCCCAGTCTGCCTACTCCAGCATAAAAACCAAACTTACCTTCTTCCTGGTCTGATTCCTCTTTCTGCCCAAGAGTGAAAGCCACAGGGAGAGACCTTAATGAAGTCAGCTGCATCTAATTTATTTTAGCAGCACCAGCACCTAAGGGATTTGTCAGAGGTCTGTATTTCAATCCTCAACTTTGTTTTGTAGTAAAAGCTTTAAAAATTTTCTATTAATATTTTTCTGACCCTTTACATTAAATGGTGCAATCAGCAGTTTTAATGTAATTGTGTTGAATAAAAGTTAGGGGGTGTGAAATTAGTTTATTGGGTCTCAACCATCATTTAATATTTTCAGATAGAATAAAATGGAACAGGCCAGGCACGGTGGTTCACGCCTCAGCATTTTGGGAGGCTGAGACGAGTGAATCTTTTGAGCTCAAGAGTTGGAGACCAGCCTGGACAACATGGCAAAAAACGCTGTCTCTACAAAAAATACAAAAATGAGTCAGGTGTGGTGGTGACTTGTGGTCCCAGCTACTTAGGAGGCTAGGTGGGAGGATCGTCTGAGCCCGGGAGGTTGAGGCAGCAGTGAGCCATGATGGTACCACTAAGTGAGACCCTGTCTCTAAAAAAATAATAATAAAATGGAACAGAAAAATGTCAGAATACATCAAACCTAGTAAGGTGTCAATATTGTTTCATTGGCTGGGTGTGGTGGCTCACGCCTGTAATCCCAACACTTTGGGAGGCTGAGATGGGCAGGTCAGCTGAGGTCAGGAGTTGGAGACCAGCCTGGCCAACATGGTGAAACCCTGTCTCTACTAACAATACAAAAATTATCCAGGCATGGCGATGGGCACCTGTAATCCCAGCTATTTGGGAGGCTGAGGCAGGAGAATCACTGGAACCTGGGAGGCGGAGGTTGCAGTGAGCCGAGATTGCGCCACTGTACTCCAGGCTGGGTGACAGAGCGAGATTCCATCTAAAAAAAAAAAAAGTACAGTATTATAATCTTGTGGGATACTGGTATTGACTGGAAGTCATTATGTGGCACATAATTGTAGTAGACATTCAGTAACTTTAACTTTCCTTTTCTCTGTTCCCCAAAATAAATATAAGATTTATTATCTAGCTTTCTCTCCACTGCCCACTGACATTTATATCAACATCTCCCTGTCCTCAACCTTGTGATAACTTTATGTTGAGTGTTGCTCTTGTTGGAGTCATTTCCCATCCCTGTCTCCCCTGCAGAGTTTGTTGTGATTGCCAGATAGGAAGAAAGAACTTGTTCCAGGATATAAAGCAAGAGGATTGAGAACAAAAGCTGAGATTAAATCTGTACATGGTGATATTAGTGTCATTCTAAAAGTACAGAGGTACAACCAAACTGGATTCCTTCATACCATTGCTGTTCCTAAGCGCAGCACACGTCCAGGGCAGGGGCACTCCCTTTGCTTCACTATCCACACTGCCATCGTTGTTGCTGTTTTAACATGGGAATTGAAACCACTGCACTCCAGTGTGGGTGACAGAGAGACTCCTTCTCAGAAAAAACAAAACAAAACAAAACAAAACACTGCTCGTACTGTAAAAGCACAAGTGCTGGAACTTTCCTTCTAGTCAGCAACATTTCACGAAGTGAAAATCCAGGGCTAGAATCTAGTACAATCACTATTTGGTATCATGTAGGTCTAGGTTCAATCCCACCTTATCACATAGTTTTTTTTGTTGTCATTTTTGGTTTTAAACATTTACTTTAGGTTCGGGGTACATGGGCAGGTTTGTTATATTGGTAAACTCATGTCATGGGGGTTTGTTGTATAGATTGTTTTATCTAAGGTGCTAAGCCTAGTACCCACTAGTTATTTTTTCTGATCCTCTCCTTCCTTCCACCCTCCACCCTCCATTCTCAAGTAGTCCCCAGTGTCTGTGTTCTCCTCTTTGTGCCCATGTGTTCTCATTATTTAGCTCCCACTTATACACTTATAAGCGAGAATGTAGTATTTGGTTTTCTGTTCCTGTGTTAGTTTGCTATGGATAATGGCCTCAAGCTCCATTCTTGTTCCTGAAAAAGACATGATCTTGTTCTTTTTTTATGGCTGCGTAGTAGTCCATGGTGTGTATATACTACATTTTCCTTATCCAGTCTGCCATTGATGGGCATTTAGGTTGATTCCATGTCTTTGCTATTATCACGTAGCAGTTTGACTTCAGAAAAATTTTTAATCTTTCTGAACTTGTTTTCTCATTACCATATTAGTTCAGTTCAAGGCTGCCATGTTGGACAATTCCAGGAGAGCCACTCACATAGATTGCACAGGGAGTTACACAACAACTTGGTTCAGAAGCTGTAACAGAGACTTAAATAACAGTGGCATAAACAAAGTAGAAGTTGGCCAGGTGCAGTGGCTCACGCCTGTAATCCCAGCACTTTGGGAGGCCGAGGAGGGCGGATCATGAGGTCAGGAATTTGAGACCAGCCTGGCCAACATGGTGAAACCCCATCTCTACTAAAAATACAAAAATTGCCTGGGTGTGGTGGCAGGCACCTGTAGTCCCAGCTACTCGGGAGGCTGAGGCAAGAGAATCGCTTGAACCCAGGAGGCAGAGGTTGCAGTGAACTGAGATCGCGCTGTTGCACTCCAGCCTGGATGACAGGGCGAGACTCTGTCTCAGAAAAAAAAAAAAAAAACAAGGTAGAAGTTATTTCTCACTTATGTGACAGTCCAAGTGGATGCAGTCCAGGGCTGATGATGTGTATGCCCCATAGTGTTGGTTACCTAGGTGTCAGTGATTTCATCAGTCTTATTACTCTGCTATCCATACTGTGCTGTCATCCATGTGGTCTGGAATGAAAAGTCAACATTTACGCTGGGCGTGCAGTGGCTCATATCTGTAATTCTAGCACTTTGGGAGGCCAAGGCAGGAGGATTGCTTGAGCCCCAGAGTTCAAGGCTGGAGGGAGCTGTGATTGTACCACTGCACTCCAGCCTTGTTGACTTGTCTCTAAAAAATAGAAAGAAAAGTCAACATTTAGTCCAGCAGAGAGAGGGAGAAGCAAAGAGGAGGGCACATTCCTTTCCTTACACAGTACCATCCACAAGTTACACACATCCATTCTGCTCATGTCACTTTCCTGTGTCCCTAGCTACGAGACTGGCTGAGAAATGTAATAATAGAACTTAGCAGAAAAGCCATGTGCCCACCAAATATTCTGTTACTTTCCAAGAAGGGAAGAACAGATATTTAGGAACAATTATTATCTGTCTCCCTTACTTATAAGGTTTTTGTGAAAATTAAATGCATAGCAAAATATCTGGCATAAAGTAGATGCTCAAAAAAAGTTGCTTCCTTTCATTTTTTTTCCCATTCTTCTTACCCTTACCCTTTTACCAAAAAAGACAACTTATTTCCAACATTTGTTGATTAACAATCCATTTACAACAGATCAATAACAATTGTATAGAGTGAATTTTTTTTCTTTTTCTTTTTTATTTTATTTTATTGAGACAGTGTCTCACTCTGTTGCCCAGGGTGGAGTGCAGTGCTTACTGCAAACTCTGCCTACTGCAGCCTCCCACCTGGGTTTAAGTGATTCTCATTCCTCAGGCTCCCAAGTATCTGGGACTACAGGCGTGCGCCACCGTGCCCAGATAAGTTTTTTGTATTTTTAGTAGAGACAGAGTTTCACCATGTTGGCCAGGCTGGTCTTGAACTCCTGACCTCAGGTGATCCACCCATCCCAGCCTCCCAAAGTGCTGGGATTACAGGTGTGAGCCACCATGCCCGACCAATTTTTTTTTCTTAACTGGCTAATCGCAAAGTTCATACATCTGTAAAACTGTGGAATACAATGCGTGAAAGATTCTGAATATAAACCAAAAATAAAATTCTAAGCCCCCAACCAACTGAACGGACTCCTCCTGTCAGCTAAGAGCATTCCAAAGTAAACCTAAAACACTAGTTCAGGCCATGATGGGTCAGACATACCTCATTATACCCTCCTCCCCTTGGAATTCAGGTGCAACTGACCAGCATTAACATTGACAGAGACCTTAAGACTGACAAAGCCAACTCTTGTGGCAAGAAGATACCAACATGACAGATAGTGGGCCCTGAAAGAAATAAAATATTCTATCCCAAAATATATATTTTGGGGGATATGCTGGGGATTGGGAGGGGAGACAGGGTCCCACTCTATTGCCCAGGCTGGGGTGCAGTGACGTGATCTCGGCTCACTGCAGCCTCAATCGTCCTGGCTGAAGCAATCTTCCTACCTCAGCTTCTCAAGTAGCTGGGACTACAGGCATGTGCCATCATGCCTGGCTAATTTTTTCGTATTTTTTCTAGAGACAGGGTTTCGCCATGTTGCCCAGGCTGGTCTTGAATTCCTGGGCTCAAGCAATTTGTCAGCCTCGGCCTCCCAAAGTTCTTGGGATTACTGACATGAGCCACTGCGCCTGACCCCAAAATATATTTCTTTGACATATTTTTAAATGACCTTGCAAAACTGTCTCTTGTGGAGAAAAATCTACATTTTGTAGAGAATCCCCTTCCCTTTCCAGGTCTTTTTCCTCATCCAGGAGCGAATTAAGTCTGGCACCTTAATTAAGTCTGGCACCTTTTCATGTCTCATAAGAAACATTTACAATCTATTCTCTCTAAGCCTGCTACCTGGAGGCTTCATCTGCATAGTAAGAACTTTGGTCTCCACAACTCCTTATCTTAACGCAGACACTCCCTTCTATTGATTCTAGGTCTTTAGATAAACTCTTTCAACCTACTGCCAATCTGAAAATCTCTGAATCCATCTATGACCTGGAAGCCCCTCCACCAGACCTGACTTCAAATTGTCCTGTCTTTCCTGACCAATGTACATCTTTGTGTATTTTCGCTTTTTGTTTTTTGTGTTTTTTTGAGATGGAGTTTCGCTCTTGTACCCCAGGCTGGAGTGCAATGGCGCGATCTCAGCTCACCGCAACCTCCGCCTCCTGGGTTCAAGCGATTTTCCTGCCTCAGACTCCCGAGTTACTGGAATTACAGGCACCCACCACCACCACCTGGCTAATTTTTGCATTTTTAGTAGAGACAGGGTTTTACCATATTGGCCAGGCTGGTCTACAACTCCTGACCTCAGGTGATCCACCTGCCTTGGCCTCCCAAAGTGCTGGGATTACAGGCGTGAGCCACCGCGCCTGGGCTGTACATCTTACATGTATTGATTGATGTCCTGTGTCCCACTAAAACGTATAAAACCAAGCTGTAACCTGACCACATTGGGCACAGGTTCTCAGGATCTCCAGGGCTGTGTCATGGCCCATGGCCACTCATATTTGGCTCAGAGTAAATCTCTTTAAATATCTTGCAGAGTTTGACTCTTTTCATTGACATGCAGAAATTAAAGGCTTGGAAAATAGAATGAGCAGTAAGAACCTTGAATGTGCTGATTTCGATCAGAAGCTTGGCTTATAAAAACTAAGTAAGATAAATTCCAGCACTTTGGGAGGCCGAGGTGGGCAGATCACGAGGTCAGGAGACCGAGACCAGCCTGGCCAACATGGTGAAACCCCATCTCTACTAAAAATACAAAAATTAGCTGGGTGTGGTGGTGCACGCCTGTAGTCCCAGCTACTCCGGAGGCTGAGGCACGAGAATCTCTTGAAACGAGGTGGCAGAGGTTGCAGTGAGCCAAGATCGTGCCACTGCACTCCAGCCTGGCGACAAAGCAAGACTCTGTCTCAAAAAAAAAAAAAAAAACCCACAAAAATCTGAGTAAGATAATGGAAATGGTAATAAGCAAATATATGTGAGCAGTCCAGAAGACCCCAACATAGTCAGGGGCCAAATGACTGTGAGAGTCACCTTGATCTGTCATTTATCTTCCCCTAGATTAAAGGGAAGAAAGGATCTTGTTTCTGGAGGGAATTCAGTCTGGTCCTGGAGTGGAAATATTTTTGACTGAGGACAGAATAGTGACCCCAAGGGTCAGAAGTAGAGAAAGGTGCTTTTGACAAGATGAGTTGGAGAAGGATAATTTTAAAGAAAATGAGTTCATTCACTCACTCATTTATGTATTCATTCATTAGTGCTAGGTACTGTGATGTGGGTGTGAGAGGGAACAGCCTCTATCCTCAGGGATCTTGTGGTCTGGAATCTAAGGATATTGAGTAATGTGGGTCTCTGTTTACTTACACACTCCCATATCCATATATGGATTGTACTCAGCGATACCTTCACATGGTATACTAAAACAGCGATGTCCTGTACATACTACCATGAAGTCCATGTCAAGTCAAATTACAAAGCTTTCTTTTTTTTTTTTTTTCTTTTTGAGGTGGAGTTTCACTCTTGTTGCCCAGGCTGGAGTGCAATGGCATGATCTCGGCTCACAGTAACCTCTGCCTCCCAGGTCAAGCGATTCTCCTGCCTCAGCCTCCTGAGTAGCTGGGATTACAGGCATGCGCCACCATGCCCGGCTAATTTTGTATTTTTAATAGAGACGGCGGTTTCTGCGTGTTAGTCAGGCTGGTCTCGAACTCCTGACCTCAGGTGATCCACCCGCCTTGGCCTCCCAAAGTTCTGGGATAACAGGCATGAGCCACCGCACCTGGCAAATGACAAAGCTTTCAAAAGATTCACTCATTTTGTTTAAACTTTTTATTTTGTTTTATTTTTTTTGAGACAGGGTCATGGTCTGTCGCCCAGGCTGGAGTGCAGTGGTGCCATCACGGCTCACTGCAGTCTCGACCTCCTGGGCTCACAGGTGATCATCACAGTAACCTCTGCCTCCCGGGTTCAAGCGATCCTCCTTCCTCAGCATCCTGGGTAGCTGGGACTACAGGCATGCACCACCATATGCCTGGCTAATTTTTTGTATTTTTTTGGAGAGATCAGCTTTCACCATGTTGCCCAGGCTGCTAAATTTTGATCGGAATAAATATCCATACATATGCTTCCTACCCTCTGTTCCCAAAATCTGTATTGGAAATAGGGAGCTTCTCTTAAATAGCATGGAGATCCTCTTTGCTTCCTTTCCTATGGAAATAGCATTCATTGTGTATATGCAATGGTATTCACTGTAATAAGATTTTTACTGGCTGGAAGTGGGACTCACACCTGTAATCCCAGCAGTTTGGGAGGCCAAGGTAGGTGGATGACTTGAGGTCAGGAGTTTGAGACCAGCCTCACCAACATAGTGAAAACCCGAGTCTACTAAAAAAAAAAAATACAAAAAATACAAAAATTAGCCAGGTGTGGTGGCGAGTGCCTATATATAGTCCCAGCTACTCAGGAGGCTAAGACATGAGAATTCCTTGAACCTGGGAGGTAGAGGTTGCAGTGAGCGGAGATCACGTCACTGCACACCAGCCTGGGCAATAGAGGAAGACTCCATCTCAACAATAAAAAAATTTTATTTATAAATCGATATTTATTTATTCAATAGTATTATTAACCATTAACTATTGAATAAATATATATCGGATTTATAAGTGCATAGTGACCCTTATCCTCTCAGTATTACCTTTGTTTTGAGATATTCTCAAAAGCTCTGAGACTATGTAATTTGTAATTAATTGACATGACTTCAATTCCAGCTTCCTCATCAAATAGTTTTGTAATCACAGGCAAGTCACTTAATCCCTCTGTGTTTTAGGTCCCTGTAAAATGGAGGTAGTAATGCCTGTCCTACCCACCTCAAAGGATTATTGGCATTCTCTCAGTAAAATAAAAAATACATAGAATGGTGATTTTTTTCAGTTATTTTTATTTTTATTATTATTATTTTTGAGACAGAGTCTCGCTCTGTTGCTTAGGCTGGAGTGCAGTGGTGCAGTCTCAGCTCACTGCAGACTCCACCTCCCAGGCTCAAGTGATTCTCCTGCCTCAGCTTCCCCAGTAGCTGGGACTACAGGTGCACGTCACCACGCCCAGCCAATTTTTTTTTTTTTAAGATGGAGTCTCATTCTGTCGCCAGGCTGGAGTGCAGTGGCATGATCTCAGCTCACTGCAACCTCTGACTCCCTGGTTCAAGGGTTCTTCTGCCTCAGCCTCCCGAGTAGCTGGGATTACAGGCACGTGCCACCACACCCAGCTAATTTTTTATATTTTTAGTAGAGACAGGGTTTCACCATGTTGGCCAGGATGGTCTTGATCTCCAAACCTCGTGATCTGCCCGCCTCGACCTCCCAAAGTGCTGGGATTACAGGCATGAGCTACTGCACCCGGCCTTTTTGTATTTTTATTAGAGACAGGGTTTCACCATGATGGCCAGGCTGGTCTCGAACTCCTGACCTCAGGTGATCTGCCTGCCTCGGCCCCCCCAAAGGGCTGGTATTACAGGCGTGAGCCACCACGCCCAGACTTTTCAGTGATTTTTTTAAAAACTGCTATCATTGCAGGCTTTGAGCATACACCAGCATTCAGGGTGGTATGTCAAATAATTTTTCTGAGTACCTTGAAAAATGATCTCATACTGAATTTCTCTTTTTCTTGGAAATACCATGCAACCTCATTTTTCTATTCCTATTCCTGTTTGTGCATTTTTCCTTCCCAATAATTGCTAAAATGAGTAGTTTAAGTAATTTAAGCCTCTGGTAGTTACAATAAAATAATGAGAAAACAGGTAGAAGCTTTTGTTATATTATGGTGTGATAGGAAAATAAAATAAATCTTGGGACCCCAAAATCACTAAGTCAAAGGGAAAAGTCAAGCTGGGAACTACTTGAAAACCTGATTTTCTTTCTTTTTATTTTCATTTTTTTAAATTTTTGACAGTCTTGCTTTGTCACCCAGGCTGGAGTACAGTGGTGCAATCTCTGCTCATTGCAACCTCCGCCTCCTGGGTTCAAGGGATCCTCCTGCCTCAACCTCCCAAGTAGCTGGGACTACAGGCACATGCCACCACGCCTAGTTAATTTTTGTATCTTTAGTAGGACGAGGTTTCTCCGTGTTGGCCAGGCTGGTCTTGAACTCCTGACCTCAGGTGATCCACTGGCCTCAGCCTCCCAAAGTGTTAGAATTACAGGCATGAGCCACCCCACCCAGCCCCTGCCTTTCATTCTATTCCTTAAAAAAAAAAATAGCTACTAAGATTAAAAAGCTACATACCACCCTCACAGGGAATTTCCTTGTGGACAAAGGACAGACAGAACTCAAAGTCATCCCCTTGCTCACTGAGATAAATGCACATCTGATTGCCTCCTTTGGAAAGGCTAATCAGAAACTCAAAAGAATGCAACCATTTGTCTCTTAACATCTATGACCTGGAAGCGTCCTGCCCACTTTGAGTTGTCCCACCTTTCCAGACGGAATCAATGTCTATCTTACACATATTGATTGATGTCTCATGTCTCCTTAAAATGTATAAAACCAAGCTGTGCCCCAACCACCTTGGGCACATGTCGTCAGGACTTTCTGAGGCTGTGTCAAGGACGCGCGTCCTTAACTTGGACAAAATAAACTTCCTAAATTGACTGAGACCTGCCTCAGATATTTGGGGTTCACAATGGCAATGGGAAAGAAAAGATCGTGGAAATCCTGACCTAGTAGTGTAACTACCCGATGGCTTTCACCTTGACCACTGTCGAGATCTGGATTCATCAAGTCAGGAGAATTGCAATAGAGAAAAAGTAATTCACGCAGAGCCGGCTGTGCGGGAGACTGGGGTTTTATTATTACTCAAATCAGTGTCCCCGAGCATCCGAGCATTCAAGCATTCAGGAAGCAGAGTCTTTAAGGACAACTTGGTGGGTAGGGGGAATCCAGTGAGCCAGGAGTTCTGATTGGTCAGAGGTGAAATCATAGGGAGTCGAAGGTGTCTTCTGTTCCTGGGTGGAGGCCACAAGATCAGATGAGCCAGTTTATCCATCTGGGTAGTGTCAGCTGATCCATCAAGAGCAGGGTCTTCAAAATATCTCAAGCACTGATTTTAGGAGCAGTTTAGGGAGGGTCAGAATCTTGTAGTCTCCGGCTGCATGAATCCTAAACTGTATTTTCTAATCTTGTGGCTAATGTTCGTCCTACAAAGGCAATCCAGGCAAGAAGGAGAAGTGCTTTGGGAAAGGGCCATTACTGTCTTTGTTTGTTTTATTTTGTTTTGTCTCGCTCTGTCGCCCAGGCTGGTTGGAGTGCAGTGGCGCTATCTCAGTTTACCGCAACTTCTGACTCCCTGGTTCAAGCAATTCTCCTGCCCCAGCCTACTGAGTAGCTGGGATTACAGGCACCCGTCACCACACCCAGCTAATTTTTTATTTTTAGTAGAGACCAGGCTTCACCGTGTTGGCCAGGATGGTCTGGATCTACTGACCTCGTAATCCGCCCACCTCAGCCTCCAAAAGTGCTGGGATTGCAGGGGTGAGCCGCCACACCCAGCCTCTGTCTTTGTTTTAAACTGTAAACTAAGTTTCTCCCAAAGTTAGTTCAGCCTACGCCCAGGAATGAACAAAGATAACTTGGAGGTTAGAAGCAAGATGGAGTCAGTTAAGTTAGATCTCTTTCACTGTCTCAGTCATAATTTTGCAAAGGTGGTTTCAGTAGTAGAATTATTTACGTGATCTCATTGAATCTCTTTTAGTCCTCACGACATTGCTGCAGGGTAGGATTAGTGTGGAGCTAGAATTCAAACCCAAATTTGACCTCAAAGATTAACTTTTTTTTTTTTTTTTTTGAGATGGAGTCTCACTTTGTTGCCCAGGCTGGAGTGCAATGGTGCGATCTCGGCTCGCTGCAACCTCCTCCTGGTTTCAAGTGATTCTCCTGCCTCAGCCTCCTGAGTAGCTGGGATTACAGGCACCCACCACCATGCTCAGCTAATTTTTGTATTTTTAGTAGAGACCAGGGTTTCGCCATGTTGGCCAGGATGGTCTTGAACTCCTGACCTCAGGTGATCTGCCCGCCTTGGCCTCCCAAAGTGCTGGGATTACAGGAGTCAGCCACCGTGCCCGACCAAAGATTAACCTTTTCATCTAACAAATTCTCAGGTGGTACCTATGCTGCTAGTCTGGGGTCCCCATTATGTGAACCACTGGGCAAAAACTCTGCGGTATTTATCCTCCAGTACCTGTGTTCCGTGTTATTTTATGTGATTATGAGTCAGGTGTGGCCACAAGAGGAGATAAAGGAGATGCACAGGAAAATAGATAATTATACTTACAGGTCCTGAAGAGGGGGTCACTGCATACCATGCAGGGTCACAGGGGAAGCACCAGGTTTGGGTCAGGTGGCAGAAGCTAGAATTGGGTTTGAATTCTAGCTTGGGAAACCAAGGCTAGAGCCTTTATTGGGATTTTGTAGAACGACAGGGCAGAGTAAATGGTTAAGGCCTGGTGCATGGGTATAGATAGAGGCCATGGGGCTCTGGATTGGTTAGTTTGCATATAGAAAGCATGCTCTCAGCTGAGTTCTTTGCTATCTTTAACTGGCACCAGCCTGGGCAACATGGCAAAACACCGTCTCTACAAAACCATAAAAATTGCCTGAGCTTGGTGTCTCATGCCTGTAATCCTAGCACTTTGGGAGGCTGAGGCAAGCGAATCACCTAAGGTCAAGAGTTCGAGACTAACTTGGCCAATATGGCAAAACACCCTCTCTACTAAAAATGCAAAAATTAGCCAGGTGTGGTGGTGCATACCTGTAATTCCAGCTACTTAGGAGTCTGAGGCAGGAGAATCTCCTGAACCCCTGGGGGCAGAGGTCGCAGTGAGCTGAGATAGCGCCACTGCACTCTAGCATGGGCGACAGAGTGAAACTCCGTCTCAAAGATTTAAAAAAAAAAAATTAGCCTTGGTGATGTGCACCTGTAGTTCTTGCTACTTGGGAGGCTGAGGTGGGAGGATAGCTTGAGCCTGGGAGTTTGAGGCTGCAGTGAGCCATGATCACACGACTGCACTCCAGCCTGGGTAACTTGGTGAGCTTGTCTCAAAAAAGTAAAATAAAATAAATAATTGGGATTGAACACAGTAGGGCATGCCTATAATCCCAGCACTTTGGGAGGCTGAGGTAGGCAGATCACTTGAAGTCAGGAGTTTGAGACCAGCCTAGCCAACATGGTGAGACCCTGACTCTACTGAAAATACAAAAATTAGCCAGTCCCGGTCCCATGCACCTGTAATCCCAGCTACTCGGGAGGCTGAAGCACGAGAATCAGTTGAATCTGGGAGGTGGTGGTTACAGGTGGGAGCCAAGATGGCACCATTGCACTCCAGCCAGGGCCACAGTGAGACTTTGTCTTAAAAAAAAAAAAAAAAAAAGCCGGGCACAGTGGTGGCTCACGCCTGTAATCCCAGCACTATGGGAGGCTAAGGCAGGTGGATCACCTGACATCAGGAGTTCAAGACCAGCCTGGCCAAGATGGTGAAACCCCATCTCTACTAAAAATACAAAAAACTAGCCGGGCGTGGTGGTGGGCGCCTGTAATCCCAGCTACTCAAGAGGCTGAGGCAGGAAAACCCCTTTAAAAACTCGGGAGGCGGAGGTTGCAGTGAGCCTAGATTGCGCCATTGTACTCTAGCCTGGGCAACAAGAGTGAAATGCTGTCTCAAAAAAAAAAAAGAATTGGCTAGCCCTGGCATGGGCAATCACCCTAGACAGAAAAGTTTTTTCAGATTTCAAAACATCATTATATACAGAAAATAAAAAATGGCCAGGCGCGGGGCCGCACACCTGTAATCCTAGCACTTTGCAAGGCCAAGACGGGCAGATCACCTGAGGTCAGGAGTTCAAGACCAGCCTGGCCAACTGGTGAAACCCTGTTTCTACAAAAATACAAAAATTAGCCGGGCAAGATGGTGCGTGCCTGTAATCCCAGCTACTCAGGAGGCTATAATAGTGGGCCGGAGGTGGTGGCTCACACCTGTAATCTCAGCACTTTGGGAGGCCGAGGTGGGCGGATCACCTGAGGTCAGGAGTTCGAGACCAGCTTGGCCAACACAATGAAACCCCATCTCTACTAAAAATACAGAAATTAGCTGGGCGTGGTGGTGGGCACCTGTAATACCAGCTACTCGGGAGGCTGAGGCAGGTGAATCGCTTGAACCCGGGAGGCAGAGGTTGCAGTGAGCTGAGATTGTGCCACTGCACTCCAGCCTGGGCAACAGAGCTAGACTCTGTCTCAAAAAAAAAAAAAAAAAAAAAGTAAGAGCACTGAAAGGTAAGAGTTACAGACCAAGACCCTGACAATACCAAAAAAAAAAAAATTTTTTTGCCAGGCCTAGTGGTGCATGACTATATAGTCCCAGCTACTAGGGAGGCTGAGGTAGGAAGATTATTTGAACCCAGTTCAAGGCTAGCGTGGGCAACATAGCAATACCCCTTCTCTTTAAAATAAATATATAGGCCAGTCGTGGTGGCTTATGCCTGTAATCCCAGCACTTTGGAAGGCCGAGGTGAGCGTCGCCTGAGGTCAGGAGTTCGAGACCAGCCAGCCTGGCCAATGTGGCAAAACCCAGTCTCTACTAAAAATACAAAAATTAACCAGGCGTGGTGGTGCGTGCCTGTAATCCCAGCTACTCGGGAGGCTGAGACAGGACAGCAACTATGACTAAGTTGGATCTATCCTAAGAATATGAAGTTGGTTTAATATCTGAAAATCAGTAAGTGTAATACATCATATCAAATGCATTGACAAAACTCAACATTCTTTCATATAAAAACCCCTAAACTGGGAATAGAAGAGAACTTCCCTAATCTAATAAAAAGCATCTATGAAAAACCCACACCTAACAGTATACTTCATGGTAAAAAATGGGATGACTTTTCCCTAAGATCAGAAAAAGGGAAATGGGGAGAAGTTAGTCAAAGAGTACAAACTTTCTTTCTTTCTTTTTTTTTTTTTTGATACAGAGTTTCACTC
The DNA here is from genome assembly GCF_000001405.40 of Homo sapiens. Lineage (NCBI taxonomy): Eukaryota > Metazoa > Chordata > Mammalia > Primates > Hominidae > Homo > Homo sapiens. The sequence goes on along the minus strand of NW_025791772.1, from coordinate 20,296 downwards.
TTGTTGCCCATGCTGGAGTACAATGGTACAATCTCAGCTCACTGCAACCACCACCTCCCAGGTTCAAGCAATTCTCCTGCCTCAGTCTCCTGAGTAGCTAGATTATAGGCACCCACCACCATGCCCAGCTACATTTTTGTATTTTTAGTAGAGATGGAGTTTCACCAGGTTGGCAAGGCTGGTCTTGAACTCCTAACCTAGGTGATCCACCCGCCCTGCCCCACAGCCTCCCAAAGTGCTGGGATTACAGGCGTGAGCCACCATGCCCAGCCGAGTACAAGCTTTCAATTAGAAAAACAAATAAATCCCGGGGAGCTAATATACAGCATGGTAACTATAGTTAATACTGTATTATATACTTGAAATTTGCTACCAGAGGAAATTTTTTTTTTTTTTTTTTAGACTGAGTGTCACACTGTCACCCAGGCTGGAGTGCAGTGGCACAATCTTGGCTCACTGCAACCTCTGCTTCCCAGGTTCAAGCGATTCTTCTGCCTCAGCCTCCCAAGTAGCTGGGATTACAGGTGCCCGCCACCATGCCCAGCTAATTTTTTGTATTTTTAATAGAGATGGGGTTTCACTATGTTGGCCAGGCTGGTCTCAAAGTCCTGACCTTGTGACCCACCCCCCTTGGCCTCCTAAAGTGCTGGGATTACAGGCATGAGCCACCATGAGCCACCATGCCCGGCCGTATATCTTTTTTTATTTTCTATTTTTTAGTCCTGATCATGGCAAGGACAAGGACAAGAGAGTAAATTTTTTTTTTTTTTTTGAGACAGAGTCTCGCTCCGTCACCAGGCTGCAGTGCAGTGGCGTGATCTCAGCTCACTGCAACCTCCGCTTCCCAGGTTCAAGCAATTCTCCTGCCTCAGCCTCCTGAGTAGCTGGGATTACAGGCGCATGCCACCACGCCAAGCTAATTTTTCTGTTTTTTTTAGTAGAGACGGGGTTTCACCATGTTGGTCAGGCTGGTCTCAATCTCGTGACCTCATGATCCACCCGCCTCAGCCTCCCAAAGTGCTGGGATTACAGGCGTGAGCCACCGTGCCCAGCCAAGAGAGTAAATCTTAAGTGTCCTCACCGCCCCCCAACCCCCCAACACATAGAGCTATGTAAGGTGATGGATGGATGTGTTTATTAACTTGATTGTGGCAATTGTTTCACATATATGTATACTTAAATGATCATGTTGTACACCTTGACAATATATATAATTTTTATTTGTCAATTATACTTCCAACAAGACGATGATGTCTACTCTCACTACTTCCTCAAGATTATATAGGAGGCTCTAGCCAGGGAAATAAGGCAAAAAAAAAAAGGATCCAGATTGGAAATGAAGAAGTACAACTACCTTTATTCACAGTTGACATCATTTTATATACAGAAAGTCAGATCGAGCTCAGTGGCTCATGCCTGTAATACCAGCACTTTGGGAGGCTAAGGTGGGAGGATCACTTAAGGTCAGGAGTTGGAGACCAGTCTGGCCAACATGATGAAACCACAACGCTACTAAAAATACAAAAATTAGCTGGGCGTGGTGGTGTGCGCCTGTAATCCCAGCTACTTAGGAGGCCGAAGCATGAGAATTGCTTGAACCTGAGGAAGCGGAGGTTGCAGTGAGCCGAGATCGCACCACTGCACTCCAGCCTGGGTGACAGAGGCTGAGTGATCCTGTCTCCAAAAAAAAAAAAAAAAAAATAGGAAAATCAAAAATACACAATAAAAACTATTAGAGTTCATAAACCACCACAGCAAGCTTGCAGGACACAAAATCAATATACAAAAATCAACTATTTCTATATACTAGCAATTAACAATCAGAAAATAAAATTAAGAAATAATGGCTGGGCGCGGTGGCTCAGGCTTGTAATCCCAGCACTTTAGGAGGCCGAGATGGGTGGATCACGAGGACAGGAGATCGAGACCATCCTGGCTAACACAGTGAAACCCCATCTCTACTAAAAATACAAAAAATTAGCCGGGCGTGGTGACGGGCACCTGTAGTCCCAGCTACTCGGGAGGCTGAGGCAGGAGAACGGCGTAAACCCGGGAGGCAAAGCTTGCAGTGAGCCGAGATCACATCACTGCACTCCAGCCTAGGCGACAGAGTGAGACTCCGTCTCAAAAAAAAAAAAAAAAAAGAAAGAAATAATTCTATTTACAATAGCATAAAAAAGAATAAGATACTTAGGAATAAGTTTAATAAATGCAGTGCAAAATATGTAGATAAACAGAAATAAACCCATGTGTATGTGATCAACTGATTTTTTTTTTTTTTTTGAGTTGGAGTCTCCCTGTGTCGCCCAGGCTGGAGTGCAGTGGTGCAATCTCGGCTCACTGCAACCTCTACCTCCCAGGTTCAAGCGATTCTCCTGCCTCAGCCTCCTGAGTAGCTGGGATTACAGGTGCGTGCCACCATGCCCGGCTAATTTTTTGTGTTTTTAGTAGAGATGGGTTTTCACCAAGTTGGTCAGGCTGGTCTCGAACTCCTGACCTCATGATCTGCCCTCCTCGACCTCCCAAAGTGTAGGGATTACAGGTGTGAGCCACTGCGCCTGGCCAACTGATTTTTGACAAAGTTGCCACGACAATCTAATGGGGAAAGAATAGCCTTTTTAGCAAATGGTGCTGGGACAAATTGATAGCCACCTGCAGAAGAATGAATTTGGACCCTTACTTCACACCATATACAAAATTAACTCAAAATAGATCAAAGACTTTTTTTTTTCAGGTGGCGTTTTGCTCTTGTTGTCTAGGCTGGAGTGCAGTGAATGGCGGATCTCAGCTCACTGCAACCTCCGCCTCCCAGGTTCAAGTGATTCTCCTGCTTCAGTCTCCCAAGTAGCTGGGATTACAGGTGACCACCATCACACCCGGCATATTTTTGTATTTTTGTATTTTTGTTTTTTTTTTTTTTTGAGACGGAGTTTTGCTCTTATTGCCCAGGCTGGAGTGCAATGGCGAGATCTCGGCTCACCGCAACCTCCACCTCCTGGGTTCAAGCAATTCTCCTGTCTCAGCCTCCCAAGTATCTGGGATTACAGGCGCATGCCACCACACCCGGCTAATTTTTGTTTCTTCAGTAGAGACGGGGTTTCACCATGTCGGCCAGGCTGGTCTGGAACTCCTAACCTCAGGTGATCCACCCACCTTGGCCTCCCAAAGTGCTAGGATTATAGGCGTGAGCCACCGCCCCTGGCCCAATTTTTGTATTTTTAATAGAGATGGGGTTTCACCACGTTGGCCAGGCTTGTCTCAAACTCCTGACCTCAGGTGATCCACCCCCCTTGGCCCCCTAAAGTGCTGGGATTACAGGCATGAGGCAGCGCACCCGGCCGGATCAAAGACTTAAGTGTAAGAGCTAAAATTATAAAACACTTTAGAAAAAAAAAGGTAGCCGGGCACAGTGGCTCATGCTTGTAATCCCAGCACTTTGGGAGGCTGAGGTGGGTAGATCACCTGAGGTCAGGAGTTTGAGATCAGCCTGGCCAATATGGTGAAACCCCGTCTCTACTAAAAATACAAAAATTAGCTGGGCGTGGTGGTGGGTGCCTGTAATCCCAAGTACTAGGGAGGCTGAGGCAGGAGAATCACTTTCACCTGGGAGGCGGAGGTTGCAGTGAGCTGAAATTGTACCATGGCACTCCAGCCTGGGCAACAAGTGCAAAACTCCATCAAAAAAAAAAGAGAGAGAGAGAGAGAAGAAAGGAAGGAAGGAAGGAAGGAAGGAAGGAAGGAAGGAAGGAAGGACGGAAGGAAGGACGGACGGAAGGACGGACGGAAGGAAGGAAGGAGGGAAGAAAATATTCTTGTTCTCAAAATGTGGTAATAGGGCCGGGTGCGGTGGCTCACACCTGTAATCCCAGCACTTTGGGAAGCTGAGGCTGGTGGATCACTTGAAGCCAGGAGTTCGACACCAGCCTGGCCAACAGGGCAAAACCTTGTCTCTACCAAAAAATACAAAAATTAGCTGGGTGTGGTGGCAGGCACCTGTAGTACCAGCTACCTGAGGCAGGAGAATCGCTTGAACCAGGGAGGTGGAGGTTGCAGTGAGCCAAGATTGCGCCGCTGCACTCCAGCCTCGGTGACAGAGGGAGACTCCGTTTCAAAAAAAAAAAAAAAAGAAAAGAAAAAAAATGACAATAGATTCTTTCTTAGATGTGATGTCAAATGCACAAACAACAAAAGAGAAAACTAGGTAAATTAGACTTCTTCATAATTAAAAGTTTTTCTGCTTCAGATTATACTATGAACAAAGGGAAAAGACAACCCACAGGATGGGAGAAAATATTTGCAATAATATATCTGATAAGGGACTTATATCTAGAATACATTAAAAAACTCTATCAACTCAATAATAAAAGAGAGAAAATCCAATTTTAAAATGGGCAAAGGCTCTGAGTAGACATTTCTCCAAACAAGATATACAAATGGGACTGGGCACGGTAGCTCATGCCTGTAATCCCAGCAATTTGGGAGGCGAAGGTAGGAGTATCACTAAATCCCAGGAGTTAGGTACCAGCAAGGCAACATAGGGAGACCCTGTCTCTATGAAAAATACAAAAATTAGCCAGGTATGATGGCTCGTGCCTGTAGTCCCAGCTACTTGGGGGAGGCTGAGATGGGAGGATTGCTTGAGCCTGGGAGGTTGAGGCTGAGTGAGCCATGATCACACCACTGCACTGCAGCCTGGGTGACAGAGCCAGACCATGTCTCAAAAAAATAAAAATAAAAAAAGGTATATAAATGATGAATATGCAGAGGTAAAACTAAGCCCTGATAGTCATCAGGGAAATGCAAATCACATTTCACCCATGTTACGTTTTATCCACTAGAATGGCTGTAACAAAAAAGTCAGATAATAAATGCTGGTAAGAATATGGAGAAATCAGAACACTTATACACTGCTGTTGGGAATGTAAAATGGTGCAGCCATTTTGTTTATTTTAATTAATTTATTTTTATTATAGAGGCAGGGTTTCACCATGTTGGCAAGGCTGGTCTCAAACTTCTGACCTCAAGTGATCCACCCACCTCAGCCCATGGTGTAGCCACTTTGCAAAACAGACTGATGGTTTCCCAAAATGTTAAACATAAAATTTCCATATGACCTAGCAATTCCACTCCTGGACATATGTACCCTAAAGAACTGAAAAAAAGGCCAGGTGCAGTGGCTTATGCCTGTAATCTCAGCACATTGGGAGGCCAAGGCAGAGGGATCACTTGAGCCCAGGAGTTCAAGACCAGCCTGGGCAGCATGGTGAAATCGTGTCTCTACAAAAAGTACAAAAATTAGCTGGGCATGGTGGCACATGCCTGTAGTCCCAGCTACTTGGGAGGTTGAGGTGGGAGGATCACCTGAGTCAGGGGAAGTCAAGGCTACAGTGAGCTATGATCTCACCACCGCACTCCAGCCTGGGCAACACAATGAGTAAGAGCCTGTCTCAAAGAAAAAAAAGAAAGAAAAATGAAAAAAAGAAAATAAGCATTCATACAAAAACTTGTTCACAAATATTCATAGCAGCACTATGTGAAATAGGCAAAAGATGAAAATAACTAAAATGTCCATCTTGGTATGAATATTATTCAGGTATATAAAGAATGCAATGCTGATATATGCTACAACATAGATGAAACTTGTGAACATTTTGCTAAGTGAAAGAATTCAGACAGGCTGGGCATGGTGGCTCATGCCTGTAATCCCAGCACTTTGGGAGGCCAAGGGGGGCAGATCACTTGAGGTCAGGAATTCAAGACCAGCTTGGTCATCACGGAAAACCCCACCTCTACTAGAAATACAAAAATTACTCCAGTGTGGAGGTGCACACCTATAATCCCAACTACTCAGGAGGCTGAGGCATGAGAATCGCTTGAACCCGGGAGGCAGAGGTTGCAGTGAGCCGAGATGGTGCCACTGCACTCCAGCCTGGGCGACACATCGAGACTCTGTCTCAAAAAAATAAAATCAAGAAAGAATCCACACAAAAGGCCACATATTATATGATTCTGCTTATTGAAATATCCAGAGTTGGCAAATCCTTAAATACAGAAAGCAGATTAGTTCCCTGAGGCTAGAGATGAAGGAGAAATGGCGAGTGACAGTTTAATGGGTACAGGGTCCTTTTGGGGTGATGAAAATATTCAAGAAGTAGATAGTGATGTTTGTGCAATATTGTAAATACACTAAATGTCAGTAGTGGTGAATTTTATGTTATGTGTCTTACCACAATGTAAAATACAAACAAACCATGTACCTACCATTCAGTTTAAGAAAAAACACTTTCTGCAGCCATAAAAAGAATGAGTTCATGTCCTTTGCAGGGACATGGATGAAGCTGGTTTGAAACCATCCTCCTCAGCAAACTAACACAGGAACAGAAAACCAAACATTGCATATTCTCAGTCATAAGTGGGAGCTGAACAATGAGAACACATGGACACAGGGAGGGGAACATCACACACCGGGGCCTGTCAGTGGGTGGGAGGAAAGGGGAGGGAGAGCATTAGGACAAATACCTAATGCATGCGAGGCTTAAAACCTAGATGACAGCTTGATAGGTGCAGCAAACCGCTATGGCACATGTATACCTATGTAACAAACGTGCACGTTCAGCATATGTATCCCAGAACTTAAAGTAAAATACATTTAAAAAAAAAAAAGATAAAAAGGGCCGGGCACGGTGGCTCACGCCTGTAATCCCAGCACTTTGGGAGGCCGAGATGGGCGAATCACGAGGTCAGGAGATTAAGACCATCCTGGCTAACATGGTGAAACCCCATCTCTACTAACAATAAAAAAAAAAATTAGCCAGGTGTGGTGGTGGGCACCTGTAGTCCCAGCTACTCAGGAGGCTGAGGCAGGATAATGGTGTGAACCCAGGAGGCGGAGCTTGCAGTGAGCCAAGATCGTGCCACTGCACTCCAACCTTGGCGACAGAGCAAGACTCCGTCTCAAAAAAAAAAAAAAGATAAAAAGAAATAACACTTTTCAAATACAGAATAAAGGTAAACTCTCTTCAGCAATAAAAATGGGCTGGGTACGGTGGCTCACACCTGTAATCCCAGCACTTTGGGAGGTTGAGGCAGGCGGATCTCCTGAGATCCGGAGTTTGAGACCAGCCTGGCCAACGTGGGGAAACCTTGTCTCTACTAAAAATACAAAAATTAGCCAGGCATTGTGATGGGTGCCTCTAAACCTAGCTACTCCGGAGGCTGGGGCAGGAAAATCGCTTGAACCCTGGAGGCAGAGGTTGCAGTGAGCCGAGATTGCGCCACTGCACTCCAGCCTGGGTGACAGAGCAAGACTCCGTCTAGAAAAAAAGATAAAAATAATAAAACTAAAATAAAGAAGCACGTGGGAGCCTTTTACTGCATATGGTACATCAAATACCAAAATATACAGTTCAGATTTCCTTTGTAGGCTATGAGGAGTCTTCCTAGTTTATTGAGAAGTGAAGTGACAGATTCCAAACTGTGCTTTAGGAAAACCAACTGGCATCACAGGCTTGATTGGTGGGAGATGGACTGGAGTTTGCCCTTTTGTCTTCATTGATGCCCATTTCTCCTATAATCAGGTTTTCATTGTAACTGGAGTTGGCCGACCACAAGATCTGTAGCAGTGCTGGGCATAGTGGCTCATGACTGTAATCCCAGAATTTTGGATGGCTGAGAAGGGAGGATCACTTGACCTCAGGAGTTTGAAACCAGCCTGGGCAACATAGTGAGATCCCATCTCTATTTAAAAAAAAAATCTGTAGCACTGTCCTTCCGGATACAGGTATATCTAGAGCTTCCCCAAAGGGAGATACCAGACCAGACTGAGTGCAGTGGCTTACACTTCAAATCTCAACACTTTGGCATTTGGCAGCCTGAGGTAGGAGGATTGCTTGAGCCCATGAATTCGAGACCAGGCAGGGCAGCATAGGGACACCAAGTCTCTATAAAAAAAATTTTTTTTTTTTGAGACAGAGTCTTGCTCTGTCGCCCATGCTGGAGTGCAGTGGCACGATCTCGGCTCACTGCAAGCTCCGCCTCCCGGGTTCACACCATTCTCCTGCCTCAGCCTCCCGAGTAGCTGGGACTACAGGCGCCCACCAACAGGCCCGGCTAATTTTTTGTATTTTTAGTAGAGACGGGGTTTCACCGTGTTAGCCAGGATGGTTTCGATCTCCTGACCTCTTGTTCCGCCCGTCTCAGCCTCCCAAAGTGCTGGGATTACAGGCGTGAGCCACTGCGCCTGGCCAAAAAATTTTTTTTGAATTAGCTGGATGTGGTGGCCCATGCCTATAGTCCCAACTACTCAGGAGGCTGAGGCAGGAAGATCACTTTAGTCTAAGAGGCTGCAATGAGCTATGATCACGCCACTGCACTCCAGCCTGGGAAAAAGAACCAGACCCTGTTTCCAAAAAAAAAAGATATCAGACCAGGAAATATTGGGTAGTCTAAAACTGTTTTGTTTTTTTTTTTTTTGGTTTGAGACAGGCTGGAGTGCAGTGGCACAATCAGGGCCCACTGCAGCCTTAACCTCCCTGGGCTCAAGTGATCCTCCCATCTCAGCCTTCCAAGCAGCTGGGACTACAGGTGTGCACCACCACACCCAGATAATTTTTGTATTTCTTGTAGAGACAGGAGTCTCATTATGGTGCCCAGGCTTGCCTTGAACTCCTGGGCTCAAGTGATCCACCTGCCTCAGCCTCCCAAAGTGCTAGTATTACAGGTGTGAGCCACCATGGCCAGCCTTAAAACATTTTTTTGTTAAGGAAGGCATTTACAATGTTTGCTTTCTTAGCATGTATTCATCTGACCTAAGATAAACAGCAGCTGTCATTTATTGATCATTTGCTAAGTGAATTATATGTACTATGTATATATAGCTCACAATCATTTTTACAACCCTGTAAAGTATTGCTTCTGTCCATCTTACAGATGAGTAAGCTGAGGTTCAGAACAATTAAGAAACTTGCTCTTAAGCTTAAGGGGAGTTGAACTTTGCTCCTGACTCCAAAGCTTGTGTGCTCTTAAGAAGAAAATAGAAAAGAAAGTTGGAATTGAGAAGTATGGTGTTTATGCTGCTCTAATCATACCTCTAAGCCATCTGAACTTATCATGGTCTTCTTTGTGATAATCTGAACCTACCTTAAAGTTTAAAAGTAAAACACAGGACACCAAAGATAGGGGTTAAGCAGCTCAGTCACTTCTCACGATTGCCCATATAGACAATCTCCTTCCCTCCTCTTCCTGCTATGGAAGAGCAGGATTTGTATTAATGGAGCCAGGCATTTGGCAGGCTCCATTTAACCTAGAATAATGTTTTTCAAATTGCAAGTCAGACCTATTAGTGGGTCATGAAATCAAGTTAGTGGATGTGAATCAGTACTTATTTTTTGTTTGTTTGTTTTTGAGACAGAGTCTTGCCAGGCTGAATTGTAGTAGCTATTCACAAGTACCATTATAGCTTATCGTACACTGTGGCCTCGAGCTTCTGGCCTCAAGTGATCCTCCCATCTTAGCCTCCCAAGTAGCTCATACTACAAGCACGCATCACTCAGCTAGCACTTGTTTTTAAATCAAATAAAATTGAAAACTATTGCATCCTTGGAAAGTGCAATTGTCGTTTTGTTAGCTTCTGTTTCAGTTTTTAAAAACATAACTCTGTGTGTGTGTGCCTGTGTGCGTGTGTGTGTGTGTGTGTGTGTGTGTGTGTGTGTTAAGTCACCATGTAAAATGTATTTCTTATTGTGGTTTATGATCAGAGAGGTTTGGAAACCATTGCTACAGGTATATATCGAATGAAATCAATTAGCTAAAGTCACACTTATCAAGGGAAAAAAATTGGGTCCTCATATTTTATTTATTTATTTATTTATTTATTTATTGAGATAGAGTTTTGCTCTTGTTGCCCAGGCTGGAGTGCAATGGTGCTATCTTGGCTCACTGCAACGTCTGCCTCCTGGGTTCAAGCGATTCTCCTGCCTCAGCTTCCCAAGTAGCTGGGACTACAGGTGCATGCCACCACACCCAGCTAATTTTGTATTTTTAGTAGAGACGGGATTTCTCCATGTTGGTCAGGCTGGTCTCAAACTTCTGACCTCAGGTGATCTGCCCACCTCGGCCTCCCAAAGTGTTGAGATTACAGGCATGAGCCACCACGCCTGGCCAGGTCTTTATATTTCATTTTATTTTATTTTTTCAGAGACACAGTCTTGCTCTGTCACCCAGACTAGAATGCAGTGGCGTGACCTTGGCTCACTGCAATCTCCACCTCCCAGGTTCAAGCAATTCTCCTGCCTCAGTCTCCTGAGTAGCTGGGACTATAGGCGTGCGCCACCACACCTGGCTAATTTTTGTATTTTTAGTAGAGACGGGGTTTCACCATGTTAGCCTGGCTGATCTTGAACTCCTGACCTCAGACAATCAGCCTGCCTTGGCCTCCTAAAGGGCTGGGATTACAGGTGCAAGTCACCGTGCCCGGTGGGTCCTTATATTTTATTGTTTCTTTCACTTTAGAATTTGTACTCAGAGTTTGTGAAAAAATAAACTCCCTTACACAATTATTTTTGGTGCTTTCATTCAGGAATTTTGCACCGTTTAATAGTTCATAGCTCTGTCAACACTTTAGCATGGCCTTTGGCTTGGCCTGCCCAAGTAAAGACACAAATCCGCTAGTGAGTTTAGGTGCCTGGAAATAGTGATCTCTTGTGGGACTCAAACGTCTTTAACCTCTTGACTTCCTTCCAGAGTGATAGGTAGGCATGCCAATGGATGTACACTGTGACTTCATCCGAAAGATACCATTTGTAATCTCTCAATGAACGACTACTCATCACCCCTTAATTTCTTGGTTCTGTAGTCTTTTTATTATTATATATACATATTTTTTTTTTGAGATGGAGTCTCACTCTATCGCCCAGGCTGGAGTGCAATGGTGCGATCTTGGCTCACTGCAACATCCGCCTCCCAGGTTCAATAGATTCTCCTGCCTCAGCCTCCCGAGTAGCTGGGATTACAGGCACTTGCCACCACGCCTGGCTAACTTTTGTATTTTTAGTAGAGACAGGGTTTCACCCTGTTGGTAGGCTGGTCTCGAACTCCTGACCTCAGGTGATCTACCCTCCTCAGCCTCCCAAAGTGCTGGGACTATAGGTGTGAGCCACCATGCTGGGCTGGTCCTGTTTGTAGTCTTTATTATAAATTCAAATGTCATAATTTAACTACAACTTTAAAAGATTAACTTTGCAAATTTAACAGTGTAAATTTTTTTTACAAATTTAACTTTGTCACAATGCCCCCTCTGACACCCTCTGCCCCTTGAGTACAAGTAAGTATTTAAATAATTAAATAATTAATTCTGAATCTTAATCATACCAAATTACATGTGACTTTCTTCTGTGTATGCCATAGTTCATGTTCATTCATTTATCTCCCAGATAGTTTTTATCACTTTATAAATTTGGTTTACAAGCCAAGGACTCAGAAATCCATTTCCTTCTAGGTTATAGACAGTAGCATCTTAGGACTTCAGAGCTTGGAGAGGAAAAAAATAGAGTTAGAGACAGGTCTCACTCTGTTGCCCAGACTGGAGTGCAGTGGAGGGAACACATCTCACTGCAACCTTGACTTCTTGGGCTCAAGTGATTCCTCCTACCTCAGCCTCCTGAGCAGCTTGGACTACATGCCACCATGCTCAGCTAATTTTATTTTTCTTTTTTTGGTAGAGGAGGAGTCTCATCATGTTGCCTAGGCCGGTCTCAAACTCCTGGGCTCACTTGATCCTTCCGCTTTGGCCTCCCAAAGTGTGGGATTGTAGGCGTGAGCCACCATGCCTGGCCAAGAGTAGAGTTCTTTACCAAGACAGATGAGCAAAGAATATTAACTGACATCTCTAGTAATATCAGTCAGTAATTAATAAGTTACAGACAATTTAAGGGAAATTTAAGGAAACCCCAACAGAAGTAAAATTCAATTTTTTTTTTTTTTTTTGAGATGGAGTCTTGCTTTGTCACCCAGGTTGGAGTGCAGTGGCGTGATCTTGGCTCACTGCAACCTCCATCTCCTGGGTTCATGCAGTTCTCCTGCCTCAGCCTCCCGAGTAGCTGGGATTACAGGCATGTGCCACCATGCCTGGCTAATTTTTGTATTTTTAGTAGAGACAGGGTTTCACCATATTGGTCAGTATGGTCTGAACTCCTGACCTCAAGTGATGCACCCACCTCAGCCTCCCAAAGTGCTGGGATTACAGGCATGAGCCATCACACCTGGCCGATTTTATTGAGTATAAGTAGTTGACTCCCTGTCATTTATTCCACCTCAGATAACTAGTCTAATCCAATTCTGGTTATTCTACCATCTCCTTGGCAGTAATTCGTTTTAGAGTAGGAGTGTGGCCAACTGTGCAGGGTTCTTAGAAATACTTTCTTGTGGTCGGGTGCAGTGGCTCACACCTGTAATCCCAGCACTATAGGAAGCCGAGGTGGGTGGATCACTTGAGGTCAGGAGTTTGAGACCAGCCTGACCAACATGGAGAAACCCCGTCTCTACTAAAAATACAAAATTAGCCGGGCATGGTGGCACATGCCTGTAATTCCAGCTACTTGGGAGGCTGAGGCAGGAGAATTGCTTGAACCCAGGAGATGGAGGTTACGGTGAGCCAAGATTGTGCCATTGCACTCCAGCCTGGGCAACAAGAAGAAAACTCTGTCTCAAAAAAAAAAAAAAAAAGAAAAAAGAAGAAATTCTTTCTCACTCCTAAGAGTGCTCTTCTTCCTCTGCATATTGGCATGGCTGAGTTAAAAGAATTTCTGCAGTTATCTTGCTACTGCCTGAGGATAAAGCTGTTACCAAGAATGGGATAGGGTAAAGGGATGGATGAACCCTGGATCCTTCATGACATTGTAATACAACTGCATCAATCAACCCTGTCCTATCTCTGAGCTTCCTTGTTGTATGACATAGTAAATTTCCTCATTTGATTATTATTCATAGTGTGAGTGGGTTTTATTATTTACAACCAAACCATTCGAACTGATCTGCTGAACGTTAGTACCACTTGGTAACACTGATTTTCCCTAGATTCCGGTAAAATGCTTTCTTCAACTCATCCTGTATTTTCCACTATAGTTAGAGAACCCTCTGAAGAATACACATGGCTCCAAAATTTTAGAAACTCTACCAGGTACCCAGTCCTCAACATCTTGTCAGGATTAGTTTACATCAGAAGCTGCGACTCTCTTCCTTTCAGCCAGATACTCCACTGACCTCCATGGTAAACTCAGGCCAGGTTGGAGAATTCAGTTCTTTCCTTAAGCATGTAAAAATTCCCAGGTGTGAAGATCCTGCTTACTGCTGGTGCCTTATATCTTCTACTTAACTCTGCTTGAATTCCAAATTCTTTTGGCTAGACTTCTTAAATAGGTTCCTCACCCACATATTGCCCTTCTTGCCTGTGCTGCTGACCCAAGCTGATGAGACTGCTTCCAAACTTACCTTCAAGAGCTCCCCTGTTGTTTCAACCTCACCTGCCTACGAGAATTCCTGATCCATTCCTTCTCCAACTTTCAGTATCTTCATATTTATTTAAAGCACAGTAGAACGTATTTACAGGAAGGAAATAAATAGCCCAAAGTACACTGGAGAAATATTTTAGCAGGAGTGACCACAATAGTGGTTCATGTTTTTTTATGTCTGTTTTCTTTCTTAAGGTAAGGAGAATTTATAAGCTGTTAACTTTGTATGCTCTACATGAACTGTTGTAAAAGTTTCAGATGCAATTGAATGTAGTTTTTTTAACTACTAAAGATTCCAAAGAGAGAGGATAAGTTAATAAAAAAGTTTTATCTCAAGAGCAATTTTTATTAATTAAAATATAACTAGCAGAGTTCATTATATAAAGTTAATAACTTCTTTAATATAGCCATTTGTCATTTATAGACATCAACCCCTTAACTTGAGTAATCAACTCTGGTTTCCTTTCAGTCCCATTTAGTCAGGTTTAGGGGTAAGTATGGATTTTTCTCTGGCTTTTGTTTTGTGTAATAACCTCTTGCAATCTGCTTTATGTGCATTTACACACATGAAAAAAGTCCAAATATATTACCAAGCCTTTATTCTTATATATTAACTATGTGAAATTTAATTTCCTACCCATTAAAATATTTTTCCTTTCAATTAATTATCAATTAGTTCCTCTTGTTCTTCTTGTAATACACTCCTGAATTACTTTCCTACTTGCTATAAAATTCTATGAAACTATTCAGTTGTGTTAGGGACACCCTATCCTCTATCCAGATTTCCAAAGGTATTTTTAAAAAGCAATTTATCATCAACATTTAAAAAACTTTTTTTTTTTTTTTGAGACAGAGTCTCGCTACGATGCCCAGGCTGGAGTGCTATGGTGTGATCTCAGCTCACTGCAACCTCCGCCTCCCGGGTTCCAGTGATTCTCCTGCCTCAGCCTCTTTAGTAGCTAGAGCTACAGGTGTGCGCCACCAGGCCTGGCTAATTTTTTTTGTATTTTTAGTAGAGACGGGGTTTCACCATATTGGCCAGGCTGGTCTCGAACTCCTGACCTCAGGTGATCTGCCCGCCTTGGCCTCCCAAAGTGCTGGGATTACAGGCTTGAGCCACCATGCCTGGCCCTCACAGTGGCTCAAGCCTGTAATCCCAGCACTTTGGGAGGCCAAGGCGGGCAGATCAAGAGGCCAGCAGATCGAGACCATCATGGCTAACACAGTGAAACCCTGTCTCTACTAAAAATACAAAAAAATTAGCCAGGTGTGGTGGCGGGCACCTGTGGTCCCAGCTACTCAGGAGGCTGAGGCGGGAGAATGGCGTGAACCCAGTAGGCGAAGCTTTCAGTGAGCAGAGATCGCGCCACTGCGCTCCAGCCTGGGCAACAGAGCGAGACTCAGTCTCAAAAAACAAACAAACAATCAAAAAACTTTTATGCTTCCAATCATACTGTCAAGAAAATGAAAGTCTGGGCATGGTGGCTCATGCCTATAATCCCTGAACTTTAGGAGGTCAAGGCAGGTAAATCACTTGAGGTCAGGAGTTTGAGACCAGCCTGGCCAACATGGTGAAAGCCCATCTCCATTGAAAAATACAAAAATTAGCCAGGCCTTGCGGCGCACACCTGTAATCCCAGCTACTCAGGAGGCTGAGGCATGAGAATTGCTTGAACTCAGAAGGCAGAAGTTGCAGTGAGCAGAGATCACACAACTGCACTCCAGCCTGGGCAACAGAGTGAGACTGTCTCAAAAAAAAACCCAAAAAACAAAAAACAAAACACCAGAAAACCAATGTACATCTATTAGGTATCAATTAAAAAAAAAAAACCCAAAACAACCCAATTTAAAATTGAGCCAAGGAACTGAATAGACATTTCTCCAAAGAAGATATACAAATGTCCAATAAGGACATGAAAAGATGCTCAATATTATTAGTAACTGGGAAATGAAAATCAAAACCACAGTGAGATACCACTTCACACTCACTAGAATGGATGGTGATAATTAAAAAAGACAGGCAATAACAATTATCGAGAATTTGGAGAAATTGGAACCCTCATACATTGCTGGTGAGATTGTGAAGTTATGCAGCCACTGGGAAAATCAGACTGGCAGTTCCTCAAGTGATTAAGTAAAGAGTTATTATATAACTTAGCAGTTCTACTCCTGGGTATACATCCAAGAGAATTGAAAACATATGTCCACGTAAAAACTTGTACACAGATGTTCATAGCAGCATTATTCACAAAAGCCAAAAAGTAGAAACAACCAAATGTCCGTCAACTGATGAATGGATAAATACCAGTGGTATATATTACACAAACAGTGGAATACTTTTCTGTCATATAAAGGAATGAAGTGCTGATATATGCTATACGTGGATGAAACTTGAAAGCATGCTAAGTGAAAAAAGGCAGACACAAAAGGCTACATATTGTATGATTCCATTTATATGAAATGTCCAGAATTGGCAAATCTATAGTTTGAAAATAGATTAGTGTTGCCAGGAGTTTAGGGGGAGAAGGAGGCATGATGAGTGACGTAATGGGTATAGGATTATTTTTAGGGTGATGAAAATGTTCTAAAACTAGATAACAGTGATGGTTATCTGAATGACTAAATGTTTAACTCTGAATATGTTAAAAACCAGTGAACTGTATACCTTAAAATTATGAATTAACCAGGGATGGTGGCACATGCCTATAGTCCCAGCTACTTGGGAGGCTAGGGCCAGAGGGTCGCTTGAGCCCAGCAACTCAAGGCTGCAGTGTGCAATGATTGTTCCTGTGAATAGCCACAGCACTCCAGCCTGGGCAACATAATGAGATCCCATCTCTTTAAAAAAAAAAAAAAGCTTAAATTAAATTTATATCTATTCAGCTTCTGTTTTATGTCTATTTGGGTTCTGTTACAGTAACAAAACTTTAATTCTAGAAATATATTCAGAATTGAGATAAGAAGTATATGGAAAAAAAAGTCAACAACAATGAATCATGTACAAATTCACATTTTACTCTCTCAAGTATTTTCCCCTGATTGATAATCACATGTGTTTTCCCTGAAGTACTTACTGTTCTCTGCATTGAAATAACAAGGTAACTATCCCTGGAGATCTCTCTAAATGTTCTAGAGGAGATAAAGGGTACAATTAGAGTAATAGACCATTTATTGCCACTAAGGGTGAAGTCAAAATTAACACTCATCTTTATCTGCTCCATCCAATTTGTTTCCAAACCTTTAGAGATTTTTAAAAGGTGTCTCTAGGTTATCTACAGAATGCAATATTTTTCTCTTTTAAGAAGTACAGCTTTTAAAAAGAAATATTTTAGGAACTTTAGAGTCAATTTAAACTTGCCATTTATTACATTTGCCACCATTCCTTAATAAATATAATGAGAATCCCATAGATGATGAATACTCATAGGAGTATAAGTGAATCTCTGAAAAGATGCTAAACTTCACTGAAAATTAAGGAAGTGCACCTTAATATGCCTTTTTTCTTTTTTTTTCTTATATTTCTTTTTTTTCTTTTCTTTTTTCTTTTAGAGACAGGGTCTTGCTCTCTCATCAAGGTTGGAGTGCAACAGTGCAATCATAGCTCACTGAAACCATGAACTCCTAGGCTCAAGTGATCCTTCTACCACAGCCTGCTGAGTAGCTAGGACTATAGGCACGAGTCACCATGTCCAGCTGTGCACATTAATATAATAACTATAAATTATTTTACCCCTCTCAGATTAGCAAAGATTTAAAAGATTGCTAATATTCAGTGTGGAAGAGAGTGTTTGGAATAAGCACTCTCACTTTACTGGTGATAGGAGAATAAAAATATACCATCATTTTGGGTGGTAATTTGCAATGTTATAATTTTAAATATGTACACTCTTTGACTCAGCATTTCCATTTCAAAAAATGTGTTTTAGAAAACATACATAGATTTTGACAGGGTCTTGCTCTGACACCCAGGCTGGAGTGCAGCAGCATGATCTCAGCTCACTGCAACCTCGGCCTTCCAGACTCAAGCAATTGTCCCACCTCAGCCTCCCAAGTAGCTGAGACTACAGATGTGCACCACTATGCCAGGCTAATTTTTGTATTTTTTATAGAGACAGGGTTTCATCATGTTGCCCAGGTTGTGAATTTTATTTATTTATTTATTTATTTATTTATTTATTTATTTATTTATTGAGACCAAGTCTCACTCTGTCACCCAGGCTGGAGTGCAGTGGCATGATCTCCGCTCACCGCAAACTCCGCCTCTCGAGTTCACGCCATTCTCCCGCCTCAGCCTCCTGAGTAGCTGGGACTACAGGTGCCTGCCACGACGCCTGGCTAATTTTTTTTGTATTTTTAGTGGAGACGGGGTTTCACCATGTTAGCCAGGATGGTCTTGATCTCCTGACCTCGTGATCCACCCGTCTCGACCTCCCAAGGTGCTGGGATTACAGGCGTGAGCCTAACATTAATTTTATTTCAACTGTTTTAGGAAAGTAAGGTTATTTTGTGTCACAAATAAACAGTGATTTTAAGTAATCCAAAGAAATTCAATTAACTACTATTCAGTTCCTACAAAGCTTGGGTACTGAGAAATTGAAAGGGCCCTTAGAGACCAACAGAGATATAATAGTGTACAGTCATCTTCTATTAATTTAATAAAGAATGTTTATTTAGGTTTTTTTTTTTTTTTTTTTTGAGACGGAGTTTCGTTCTATTGCCCAGGCTGGAGTGCAGTGGCGCAGTCTTGGCTCACTGCAAGCTCCACCTCCCGGGTTCACGCCATTCTCCTGCCTCAGCCTCCTGAGTAGCTGGGACTACAGGCGCCTGCCACCATGCCTGGCTAATTTTTTGTATTTTTAGTAGAGATGGGGTTTCACTGTGTTAGCCAGGATGGTCTCGATCTCCTGACCTTGTGATCCACCCGCCTCGGCCTCCCAAAGTGCTGGGATTACAGGTGTGAGCCACCGCACCCGGCCTGTTTATCTAGTTTTATAAGAGACTTTGAAGGCTTAATAAGAATTGCATTTATTCATGATACTACTTTAAACCCCCAACTCTCAGGAAGTATTACAGAAGTTACTGAAAGCAGCCAGGTGTGGTGGCTCACATCTGTAATCCCAGCACTTTGGGAGGCTGAGGTGGGCAGATCACTTGGGCGGGCCAGGAGTCGGAGACCAGCCTGGCCAACATGGTGAAACCTCGTCTCTATTAAAAATACAAAAATTAGCTGGGTGTGGTGGTGCGCGTCTGTAATCCCAGCTACTCAGAGGCCAAGGCAGGAGAATCGCTTGAACCTGGGAGGCGGAGATTACAGTGAGCCAAGATCATGCCACTTCATTCCAGCCTGGGCAATAGAGAAAGACTTTGTCTCAAAAAAAAAAAAAAAAAAAAAACAATTAGAGACAAATTAAATAAAATGTATTAGAGATAATATCCTGCATTAAGCTTAAAAGGATTAATTGCCAAATCAATGGCTCTTTAAAAAACAAGTTAGAAGGCCAGACTGGATGGTACATGTCTGTAATCTCAGCACTTTGGGAGGCAAGGTGGGCAGATTGCTTGAGCCCAGGAGTTCGAGACCAGCCTGGGTAATAAGAGGAAACCCTGCTTCTACAAAAAAATATAAAAATTGTCTGGGCATGGTGGTGCATGTCTGTAATCCCAGTTACTTGAGAGGCTGAGGTGAGAGGATCACTTGAGACCAGGAGGTCGAGGCTACAGTGAGCCGTGATCACACCACTGCACTGCAGCCTGGGTGACAGCATAAGATTCTGTTTCAACATAAATACATAAATAAAACAAGTAGAAACTTTTTGTCTTTTAGTTGACTAGAAGCTCAATATAAACCATTGGCACAAAAATCATTCTGCAATCTTAGGCTGCATGCATAGAAGATGGTATTCAGGACCGAAGCAGGCAGCATCTAAGATGGGTCATTGCCTATATGTAATCCTTTGGACTGGACCTAGTGGCTATTCTAACAAATAGAATATGGCAGATGTGAAGGGATGGGATACTCCTTCTAAGATTATATTATAAGACTGTGATTTCTGTCTTAGATGTCTCTCTCTCATTTTTCCTCCTTCCCTCCCTCTGGGATCCCTTGATCTAGAATTAGCAAGCTGCCATGATGCATGATGGAGAGGCCTATGTGGTGTGGTGAGTAACTGAGGCCCTCAATTTAACCATGAGAAAGTTAAATCTGACAACAACCCATGAGTGAGCTTAAAAGAGGATCCTCAGCCCCAATTGAGTTTTTGTTTTTGTTTTTCTTGAGACAGAGTCCTGCTCTATTGCCCAGGCTGAGAGTGCAGTGGTGCTATCTCAGCTCACTGCAACTTTCCTCTCTCGGGTTCAAGCAATTCTCGTGCCTACACAGTTACCCAGCTCATTTTCTTTTCTTTCTTTCTTTTTTTTTTTTTTTGAGACGGAGTCTCACTCTGTTGCCCAAGCTGGAGTGCAGTGGTGCTATCTCAGCTCACTGCAATCTCTGCCTCCTGGGTTCAAGCTGTTTTCCTGCCTCAGCCTCCCAAGTAGCAGGGGTTACAGGTATGTGCCACCATGCCCAGCTACTTTTTGTATTTTTGGTAGAGACAGGGTTTCGCCATGTTGCCCAGGCTGGTCTTGAACTCCTGGGCTCAAGTGATCCGCCCGCCTTAGCCTCCCAAAGTGCTGAGATTACAGGCATGAGGCCTGGCCCCTAGTTGGGTTTTGAGATGACTACAGCCCTGGCTGATGACTTCAGTGCAACCTCATGAGAAACCTTGAGCTGTTATGCTTCTCCTGAATTC